>NC_000007.14:95537082-95840112 GCF_000001405.40 Homo sapiens | reverse complement strand
ATCCAGATTCAGGAAGCCCAAAGAACACCAAGAACACCATATAAGATAATCCCAAAGATGCCCAAACCAAGGACATATTATAAATAAATTGTCAAAAGTTAAAAGCAAAGAGAGGATTTTGAAAACAAGAAAATGGCTACTTGCTATCTACCTGAGAACCCTCATAAGACTATAAGCCGATTTTTCAATAGAAATCATGCAGGCCAGAAGGGAGTGTGTGATATATTCAAAGTGCTGAAAGAAGAAAAAAAAAACCTGCCAATCAAGAATACAATACCAGGCAAACCTGTCCTTCAGAAATGAAGGGGGCAATAAAGCCTTTCTCAGACAAACAAAAGCTAAGAGAGGTTACCATCACTAGTTCTGACATACAAAAAAATGCTAAAGAAAGTTCTTCAACTTGAAATGAAAGGATTCTAAACAGCAACACAAAAACATAAGAAAGTATAAAATCTGTTGTTAAAGGTAAATATATAGACAAAAACAGAAGACTACATTGTTATAAAGGTGGTGGGTAAACAGCTTTTGGTTCAAATATAAAAGTAAAAAGACAAATGAATTAAAAATGACTATAACTAAATTATGTAAATGGACACACATTCTAAACAGATATGAACTGCAACACCAATTGCACATAATGTGGGGGGAAATGAGATAAAAATGTAGAGTTTTCGTATGCAAGAGAAAATGCTATCAGCTCACTATAATAAATTTTATGTAAGTCCCATAATAACCACAAAGAAAATACTTATAGAAGTTACATAGAAGAAAAAGAGAAAGGAGGCTGGGTGCAGTGGCTCACATCTGTAATCCCAGCACTTTAGGAGGCTGAGGTGGGTGGATCACCCGAGGTCAGGAGTTTGAGACTAGCCCGGCCAACATGGTGAAACTGCATCTCTACTAAAAATACAAAAATTAGCCAGGCATGGTGGCGCATGCCTATAGTCCCAGCTACTTGGGAGGCTGAGGCAGGAGAATTGCTTGAACCTGGGAGGCGGAGGTTGCAGTGAGCCAAGATCGCACCACTGCACTCCAGCCTGGGTGATAGAGCAAGACTCTGTCTCAAAAAATAAAAAGAAAAAGAGAAAGGAAACCAAAGCTACTATTCAACCTAATACTGGAAGTCTTAGCCAGATAAATTAGACAGAAAAAGAAATACATGTCATCCAAATAAGACAGAAGTAAAATGTCTCTTTTTGTAGATGACATGACCTTGTACGTAGGAAACTTTATAGACTCCACAAAAATTAATGCAAAAATTAAGTGTTTCTCTACACCAACAATGAACTATCTGAAAAAGAAATCAAGAAAGCATTTCCACTAATAATAGCATCAGAAAGAAAAAAACTTAGATTTAACCAAGGTGAAAAATCTCTACATAAAAGAACTATGAAGCATTTATGAAAAAAAATTGAAGACAAAGAAATGAAAAGACATTGTATGTTCATGGATTACACAAAACAATATTATTAAAATGTCCATACTGCCTAGAGCAGTCTACAGATTCAATAAAATCTCTACCAAAACTTAAATGATATTTTTCATAGAAATAGGAAAAAAATCTTAAAATTCATATGGAACCCCAAAAGACCTTGAATAACCAAAGCAATCTTTAGAAAGGTATTCTCAAGAGGTATCACACTGCTTGATTTCAAATTATACTACAAAACTATATTAATCAAAACAGTATGGAACTGTAACAAAAACAGGCATATAGGTCAGTGGGACAGAATGGAGATTCCAGAAATTAACTCACACATCTACAGTCAACTAATTTTCCATAATACAGACAAGAATACAAAATGGAAAAATGATAGTCTCTTCAATTCACGGTGTTGGGAATACTAAATATCCATATTTGAAAGAATGAAATTGGATCTTTATATCACACACATACATGTACACACAAAAAAAACTCAAAATGGATAAAAGATATAAATGTAAGACCTGCAACTATACAACTCCTAAAAGAAAATGTAAGAAATGAGATTTTCGACATTGGCCTTGGCAATGATTTTTTAGATATGACACCAAAAGCACAGGCAACAAAGGCAAAAGTAGACAAGCGGGACTACAGCAAGCTAAAAAGCTTCTGCACAATAAGAAAACAACCAGGACCAGGAGGAGCCAAGATGGCCGAATAGGAACAGCTCTGGTCTACAGTTCCCAGCGTGAGCGACGCAGAAGACGGGTGATTTCTGCATTTCCATCTGAGGTACCGGGTTCATCTCACTAGGGAGTGCCAGACAGTGGACGCAGGTCAGTGGGTGCGCGCACCATGCGCGAGCCGAAGCAGGGTGAGGCATTGCCTCACTGGGGAAGCACAAGGGGTCAGGGAGTTCCCTTTCCTAGTCAAAGAAAGGGGTGACGGACGGCACCTGGAAAATCGAGTCACTCCCACCCGAATACTGCGCTTTTCCGACAGGCTTAAAAAAGGGGGCACCACGAGATTATATAACGCACCTGGGTCGGAGGGTCCTACGCCCACGGAGTCTGGCTGATTGCTAGCACAGCAGTCTGAGATCAAACTGCAAGGTGGCAGCGAGGCTGGGGGAGGGGCGCCCGCCATTGCCCAGGCTTGCTTAGGTAAACAAAGCAGCCGGGAAGCTCGAACTGGGTGGAGCCCACCACAGCTCAAGGAGGCCTGCCTGCCTCTGTAGGCTCCACCTCTGGGGGCAGGGCACAGACAAACAAAAAGACAGCAGTAACCTCTGCAGACTTAAATGTCCCTGTCTGACAGCTTTGAAGAGAGCAGTGGTTCTTCCAGTACGCAGCTGGAGATCTGAGAACGGGCAGACTGCCTCCTCAAGTGGGTCCCTGACCCCTGACCCCCGAGCAGCCTAACTGGGAGGCACCCCCCAGCAGGGGCACACTGACACCTCACATGGCAGGGTACTCCAACAGACCTGCAGCTGAGGGTCCTGTCTGTTAGAAGGAAAACTAACAAACAGAAAGGACATCCACACCAAAAACCCATCTGTACATCACCATCATCAAAGACCAAAAGTAGATAAAACCACAAAGATGGGGAAAAAACAGAACAGAAAAACTGGAAACTCTAAAAAGCAGAGCGCCTCTCCTCCTCCAAAGGAATGCAGTTCCTCACCAGCAACGGAACAAAGCTGGACGGAGAACGACCTTGACGAGCTGAGAGAAGAAGGCTTCAGACGATCAAATTACTCTGAGCTACGGGAGGACATTCAAACCAAAGGCAAAGAAGTTGAAAACTTTGAAAAAAATTTAGAAGAATGTATAACTAGAATAACCAATACAGAGAAGTGCTGAAAGGAGCTGATGGAGCTGAAAACCAAGACTCAAGAACTACGTGAAGAATGCAGAAGCCTCAGGAGCCAATGCAATCAACTGGAAGAAAGGGTATCAGCAATGGAAGATGAAATGAATGAAATGAAGCAAGAAGGGAAGATTAGAGAAAAAAGAATAAAAAGAAATGAGCAAAGCCTCCAAGAAATATGGGACTATGTGAAAAGACCAAATCTACGTCTGACTGGTGTACCTGAAGGTGACGGGGAGAATGGAACCAAGTTGGAAAACACTGTGCAGGATATTATCCAGGAGAACTTCCCCAATCTAGCAAGGCAGGCCAACGTTCAGATTCAGGAAATACAAAGAACGCCACAAAGATACTCCTCGAGAAGAGCAACTCCAAGACACATAATTGTCAGATTCACCAAAGTTGAAATGAAGGAAAAAATGTTAAGGGCAGCCAGAGAGAAAGGTCGGGTTACCCTCAAAGGGAAGCCCATCAGACTAACAGCGGATCTCTCGGCAGAAACCCTACAAGACAGAAGAGAGTGGGGGCCAATATTCAACATTCTTAAAGAATTTTCAACCCAGAATTTCATATCCAGCCAAACTAAGCTTCATAAGTGAAGGAGAAATAAAATACTTTACAGACAAGCAAATGCTGAGAGATTTTGTCACCACCAGGCCTGCCCTAAAAGAGCTCCTGAAGGAAGCGCTAAACATGGAAAGGAACAATTGGTACCAGCCACTGCAAAATCATGCCAAAATGTAAAGACCATCAAGACTAGGAAGAAACTGCATCAACTAACGAGCAAAACAACCAGCTAACATCATCATGACAGGATCAAATTCACACATAAGAATATTAACTTTAAATGTAAATGGACTAAATGCTCCAATTAAAAGATACAGACTGGCAAATTGGATAAAGAGTCAAGACCCATCAGTGTGCTGTATTCAGGAAGCCCATCTCACATGCAGAGACACACATAGGCTCAAAATAAAAGGATGGAGGAAGATCTACCAAGCAAATGGAAAACAAAAAAAGGCAGGGGTTGCAATCCTAGTCTCTGATAAAACAGACTTTAAACCAACAAAGATCAAAAGAGACAAAGAAGGCCATTACATAATGGTAAAGGGATCAATTCAACAAGAAGAGCTAACTATCCTAAACATATATGCACCCAATACAGGAGCACCCAGATTCATAAAGAAAGTCCTGAGTGACCTACAAAGAGACTTAGACTCCCACACATTAATAATGGGAGACTTTAACACCCCACTGTCAACATTAGACAGATCAATGAGACAGAAAGTCAACAAGGGTACCCAGGAATTGAACTCAGCTCTGCACCAAGCAGACCTAATAGACATCTACAGAACTCTCCACCTCAAATCAACAGCATATACATTTCTTTCAGCACCACACCACACCTATTCCAAAATTGACCACATACTTGGAAGTAAAGCTCTCCTCAGCAAATGTAAAAGAACAGAAATTATAACAAACTATCTCTCAGACCACAGTGCAATCAAACTAGAACTCAGGATTAAGAATCTCACTCAAAACCGCTCAACTACATGGAAACTGAACAACCTGCTCCTGAATGACTACTGGGTACATAACGAAATGAAGGCAGAAATAAAGATGTTCTTTGAAACCAACGAGAACAAAGACACAACATACCAGAATGTCTGGGACGCATTCAAAGCAGTGTGTAGAGGGAAATTTATAGCACTAAATGCCCACAAGAGAAAGCAGGAAAGATCCAAAATTGACACCCTAACATCACAATTAAAAGAACTAGAAAAGCAAGAGCAAACACATTCAAAAGCTAGCAGAAGGCAAGAAATAACTAAAATCAGAGCAGAACTGAAGGAAATAGAGACACAAAAAACCCTTCAAAAAATTAATGAATCCAGGAGCTGGCTTTTTGAAAGGATCAACAAAATACATAGACTGCTAGCAAGACTAATAAAGAAAAAAAGAGAGAAGAATCAAATAGACACAATAAAAAATGATAAAGGGGATATCACCACCGATCCCACAGAAATACAAACTACCATCAGAGAATACTACAAACACCTCTACGCAAATAAACTAGAAAATCTAGAAGAAATGGATAAATTCCTCGACACATACACTCTCCCAAGACTAAACCAGGAAGAAGTTGAATCTCTGAATAGACCAATAACAGGATCTGAAATTGTGGCAATAATCAATAGCTTACCAACCAAAAAGAGTCCAGGACCAGATGGATTCACAGCCCAATTCTACCAGAGGTACAAGGAGGAACTGGTACCATTCCTTCTGAAACTATTCCAATCAATAGAAAAAGAGGGAATCCTCCCTAACTCATTTTATGAGGCCAGCATCATTCTGATACCAAAGCCGGGCAGAGACACAAACAAAAAAGAGAATTTTAGACCAATATCCTTGATGAACATTGATGCAAAAATCCTCAATAAAATACTGGCAAAACGAATCCAGCAGCACATCAAAAAGCTTATCCACCATGATCAAGTGGGCTTCATCCCTGGGATGCAAGGCTGGTTCAATATATGCAAATCAATAAATGTAATCCAGCATATAAACAGAGCCAAAGACAAAAACCACATGATTATCTCAATAGATGCAGAAAAGGCCTTTGACAAAATTCAACAACCCTTCATGCTAAAAACTCTCAATAAATTAGGTATTGATGGGACGTATTTCAAAATAATAAGAGCTATCTATGACAAACCCACAGCCAATATCATACTGAATGGGCAAAAACTGGAAGCATTCCCTTTGAAAACTGGCACAAGACAGGGATGCCCTCTCTCACCACTCCTATTCAACATAGTGTTGGAAGTTCTGGCCAGGGCAATTAGGCAGGACAAGGAAATAAAGGGTATTCAATTAGGAAAAGAGGAAGTCAAATTGTCCCTCTTTGCAGACAACATGATTGTATATCTAGAAAACCCCATTGTCTCAGCCCAAAATCTCCTTAAGCTGAGAAGCAACTTCAGCAAAGTCTCAGGATACAAAATCAATGTACAAAAATCACAAGCATTCTTATACACCAACAACAGACAAACAGAGAGCCAAATCATGAGTGAACTCCCATTCACAATTGCTTCAAAGAGAATAAAATACCTAGGAATCCAACTTACAAGGGACGTGAGGGACCTCTTCAAGGAGAACTACAAACCACTGCTCAATGAAATAAAAGAGGATACAAACAAATGGAAGAACATTCCATGCTCATGGGTAGGAAGAATCAATATCGTGAAAATGGCCATACTGCCCAAGGTAATTTACAGATTCAATGCCATCCCCATCAAGCTACCAATGACTTTCTTCACAGAATTGGAAAAAACTACTTTAAAGTTCATATGGAACCAAAAAAGAGCCCCCATCACCAAGTCAATCCTAAGCCAAAAGAACAAAGCTGGAGGCATCACACTACCTGACTTCAAACTATACTACAAGGCTACAGTAACCAAAACAGCATGGTACTGGCACCAAAACAGAGATATAGATCAATGGAACAGAACAGAGCCCTCAGAAATAATGCCGCATATCTACAACTATCTGATCTTTGACAAACCTGAGAAAAACAAGCAATGGGGAAAGGATTCCCTATTTAATAAATGGTGCTGGGAAAACTGGCTAGCCATATGTAGAAAGCTGAAACTGGATCCCTTCCTTACACCTTATACAAAAATCAATTCAAGATGGATTAAAGACTTAAACATTAGACCTAAAACCATAAAAACCCTAGAAGAAAACCTAGGCAATACCATTCAGGACATAGGCATGGGCTAGGACTTCATGTCTAAAACACCAAAAGCAATGGCAACAAAAGCCAAAATTGACAAATGGGATCTAATTAAACTAAAGAGCTTCTGCACAGCAAAATAAACTACCATCACAGTGAACAGGCAACCTACAAAATGGGAGAAAATTTTCACGACCCACTCATCTGACAAAGGGCTAATATCCAGAATCTACGATAAACTCAAACAAATGTACAAGAAAAAAACAAACAATCCCATCAAAAAGTGGGCAAAGGACATGAACAGACACTTCTCAAAAGAAGACATTTATGCAGCCAAAAAACACATGAAAAAATGCTCATCATCACTGGCCATCAGAGAAATGCAAATCAAAACCACAATGAGATACCATCTCACACCAGTTAGAATGGCAATCATTAAAAAGTCAGGAAATAACAGGTGCTGGAGAGGATGTGGAGAAATAGGAATACTTTTACACTGTTGGTGGGACTGTAAACTAGTTCAACCATTGTGGAAGTCAGTGTGGCAATTCCTCAGGGATCTAGAACTAGAAATACCATTTGACCCAGCCATCCCATTACTGGGTATATATCCAAAGGACTATAAATCATGCTGCTATAAAGACACATGCACACGTATGTTTATTGCGGCACTATTCACAATAGCAAAGACTTGGAACCAACCCAAATGTTCAACAATGTTAGACTGGATTAAGAAAATGTGGCACATATACACCATGGAATACTATGCAGCCATAAAAAATGATGAGTTCATGTCCTTTGTAGGGACATGGATGAAATTGGAAATCATCATTCTCAGTAAACTATCACAAGAACAAAAAACCGAACACCACATATTCTCACTCATAGGTGGGAATTGAACAATGAGAACACATGGACACAGGAAGGGGAACATCACACTCTGGGGACTGTTGTGGGGTGGGGGGAGGGGGGAGGGATAGCATTGGGAGATATACCTAATGCTATATGACGAGTTAGTGGGTGCAGCGCACCAGCATGGCACATGTATACATATGTAACTAACCTGCACAATGTGCACATGTATGCTAAAACTTAAAGTATAATAATAAAAAAAAAGAAAACAACCAATACAATGATAAGGCAATGTATAGAATGGGAGATAATATTTTAATCCATATTACTGATAAGGGGTTAATATCCAAAATATATAAAGAACTGAAACAACTCAATAGCAAAATTACAAATTACCTGATTTAAAAATGCACAGAGGCCCTAAATAGACTTATCTCCAAAGAAGACATAAGATGACCAATATGTATATGAAAAAGTGTTCAACATCACTAATTATCAGAGACATGCAAATCAAAACTATAATGAGATGCAATCAGGATCACTATTATTAAAAATAAAAAATAAGAAGTATTGGAAGGGATATTGAGGAAACAACCTAGTACACTGTTGGTAAGATTGTAAATTGGCATTGCCATTATGGAAAATAATATTGAAGTTCCTCAAATTATTAAAACTAGAGCTACATATTATCTAACAGTCCCTTTTCTGGACATATATATCTAAAGGAAATAAAATTAGTATCTCAAAGAGATATCTGTCTCTGGCCTGGGAGGCAGAGGTTGCAGTGAGCCAAGATCACACCACTGCACTCCAGCCTAGGTGACAGAGTGAGACTCTGTCTCAAAATAAAACAAAGCAAAAAATCTCCTCCACAATATTATTCCAAACCCAAATGATTTCATAGGTGAATTGTGTTCTACCAAATATTAAAATAATTGCTTAAAAATCAACATTATGTTAACAAAAGCATGATCCATAAAAGAACAAATTTGTAAACTGTAATTAGTCAAAATTAAAATGGTTTGCTTTCTTAAAGACACTGTTAAGAAAATGAAAATGACAGGTCATAGACTGAGAGAAAATATTAATAAATTATATACCCCATAAAGCATTTTATCCAGAACATACGAAGAACTTTCAAAATCAATTATGAGAAAATAACCCAACTCAAAAACAATATATAAGACTAACAGATTTAAGCAGACATTTCATCAGAGAGGATACTCATATGGCAAATAAGCAACTAAAGAGATATTCAACATTATTAGTCATTAGGGAAATGCAAATTAAAACCACAATGAAATACCACTATACTTCTTTAATAATAGTTAACAAATTAATAATTTCTTTTAAGAAGCTCAAACTAAGCGTTGTCAAGAATGTGGAAAAATCGAGGCTCTCATAAACTGCTCGTGGGAATGCATAATGGTAAAACCATTTTGAAAACAGTTTGACAATTTCTTAAAAAGTTAAATGTGTATCTACTATATGATTCAACCATAAATACCTCTACTGGGAGGTATTTGCCCAAAAGAAATGAAAGCATATGTGCATTAAAATATTTGTACATGAATGTTTATAGCAGTTCTATTTGTAATGGGCAAAAATTGTAAACAACCCAATGTATATAAAAAGTGACTGGATAAACAAACTGTGGTATATCCATACAATGAAATAAAAAGGATAGAGCTGTTTATATAAACTTAACCTGAATGAATCTCAAAATAATCCTTCTGAATGAAGGAAGTCAGTCAAAGGAGTACCTCCTGGATGATTTCATTTATATGACAATCTAGGAAAGGCAAACTAAGGTATAGTGATAGAAAGCAGATCAGATGTTTGGGGGATAGGGAAGAACAGGAAGAAGCAAGAGTGTAGATAACAAAGGGGCATGAGGAAACTCTGGGGATGATTAATGTGTTCACTATCTTGATTGTGGTAATAATTTCATGGATGTGCATACATGTCAAAAATCATCAATTTGAATAGTTTTAATATGTGTAGTTTATTTAAAGCCAGTTATACTTCAGTAAAGGTGTTAAATTAAGTGACAAAGGAAGCTATGGACTATGATCATTCCCATGCCACAGCTCAAGAAGGTGAAATAAAACTCTCTAGAAAAATCTAGAAATTTTCATTAAGGCAATATTTGAAATTGTAAAATGGCTAAAATAATGTCATCTCTCAAAAATTCTCTGAAAATGCCTTCAAACTCTCTAAGATAAGCCACTCACTCACAGGCAGATGGCATTTAACCTAAAATGCAAATAGTCCTTCAACCTCCTTTTATACCTACAGTGGGCATTGAAATTGATAGAACCTCAGAGATGTATGCCCAGGAATCTCAGGAATTCAAAATGAATAATAAATAAATAAATGCCTAGTTTGGGGTATATCGGTTTGTATTTAGAAAGTGAACAGAAAGTCTCCATCTTCTCTCTCCAACACACTGGGTTCACTCTCAAGTATAATGCAGCAGGTAAGGTGGGTCCACAGATATGCTATATCCCTAGAATAAGTCACAAATTTTAATCTGCATAGTCAACATGAGTTTTTGCTTGGAAAACAGATATAAATGGGAAAATTCCAAACTATTCCACATCAGCAAGTGTAATTTAGCACTGCTGCAATCTGTCTAAAAATCTGTTAATTTAAGTGCATGGGGTAGTCTCTGCCAGTTCTTTCCCCTGCCTGTTTTTTTAACACAATATAATTTTGAAGAACTGCATTCTGAAGTTCCCCTGAACTATAACTTACCATACATTCTCTGCTTTATTTAAGCCATATCTCTTGGTTATTTAAATAATACAAATTGAAATATAACATAAATGAACTATATAACTAAATAGCCAAGAATTTAGTAAGGTTAAAAAAGAAATAGTGCATCGGTTACCTAAATGTTAGGATATTTCCTTGGCTTAGTATTGTCATGAATCAGCTAAGAATTTTTGCATATGCAAAGGGTCACAGGCAGATGGCATTTAACCTAACATGCAAATAGCCCTTCAACCTCCTTTTATACCTACAGTAGGCATTGAAACTGACAGAACCTCAGAGATATATGCCCAGGAATCTCAGGAATTCAAAATGAATAATAAGTAAATAAATGCCTGGTTTGGGATATGTTGGTTTATATTTAGAAAGAAAAGATAATGGTTCCATAAAATGTGGTTATGAAACTTGCTGTTCACTTAGAGATATCCAGTGCTCTGTCGGTAAATGCTTAATAAATTGCTTGTAGGAAAGGAGGCAATTTCTGTGGTGTAAATACTTCCACCGTGGCTGATTTCCAGCTGATTTAACTTAATGTGAAGTTGAGAAGAGAAATGCGCAATCAGCTCTCCTGAGCTTGATGACCAGCTGATACAAACACCCCACCAGTAATATCTCCTGTGTGACTACAGCTAACTCCAATCCTACAACGGAAATAAATTGAGTTTCTAGGATATGTCTGTGTGTTTTATTCCACTCCAAGTCTTCATCTCTGAGGTTTTCTTTTAACTTGTGATAATACATTTACATCTGAAAAAGATGATATTTAGGACATAGGAGACATTACTCAACATCTAGTATTTGAAATATCTTTAGATCAAGGTATTCAATTAATTTCCTTGGTTTTTTTTAAACAGGAATCTTTAACTGTTCAAACTTAATTCAAATTAAGTGCTTATTGTGAGTTCCCCAAAAACTGAAAAGAAAAGTAAAGAAACAAGACCCAATATTTTCATACTGATCTTAGACCAAAGTTAACTTAAGGCAACTTGTTAGTAAAGGGGAGGATGGTGATGATAAAGCCAAACATATCTCCCGCTGCAGAACTTGTGTGCCCCACTTTTAATTAGATGTGTGGGTTTATGTTTGATTTTTGTTTGGGGGAGTGTTGTTTTGCAATAATAGGAATTAATAAGGAGAAATCAAAAGCCATCTTTTTGTGGTGTTTTCCACAAAGAGAGACTTTCTTCAAAGCTTTATAAGGAAAATCAACAGAAGGAAACGAACTTATCAAACTGGAAGTTCAACAAAAGGGGAGAACACAAGAGCAACAACAGCTCCAGCATTTCAACACAACTGTAGCAAAGAAATAATAAAAGGAGTAACAAAAGAGCAGACATATACCCAAGTTCTGAGTCTGACTGCAGCTGGAGCACTGAGGGGTCTGTGTCCCACTGCAGGGTCCTAATTGTGCAGCACAAAGGAAAAAGAACACAGAGAATTAACAAAAGGGGAGGGCAACAAACCAAACCAAACTATGTCATTCATCAAGGCAAGAGCATATACAATACATACACAGAACATGTCCCCCTTCCATCCCCTCCACCCCCAGTGACTATCAAACAAGAGAAATCGAGGAGCCATCCTTTCCTGCAAACATCTGTTTAATATCGGGAGCTATGGCTGCTTTCATGAAAGAAAGTTGAGACCAAGTGTTCAAACTCCACACACACCCCTACCCTTTGTTTTGTTTTGTATTGAAGCCTCATTGATTTGGGCAAGTAAACCACTGCATGTATCTCTGACACCCCAGAGCCCACCCACATCTGGGAACTCCAAGCATCTTCTATGTGGTGAAAAGAACTAAACGCAAGGGTGCAAATGGGTAAGGGCAGGGGTATGACTGCAGGGCCTGGTGAATAACTGCCTTCCTTGGATCAGGTACTACAAATATAATGCATTAGATTTCAAGACTCATGAGTATTTTATGCTTATTTATATATTGTACACCAAGATGGTCACCAACAATATCATTTCTGTCTAAGATGTCAGGGATTGATTATATCTTATATTTTTTAAACATTGCATAAGCAATGGCACAAAGTATCAATAGTTACCAAAGCATCCAATTTCCCTTGTTATTTCTCCTTCTAAATAAGAGGGGATAAATGGCTCTTCTATAAACAGAGCACATGCCAGGACTTTTCTCAGCCAGGCTCTTTAAATATCCTGCACAGTACCGGTTACAGGTGAATCAGGCATGAGGTTATCTCAGAGGCAACTAATGGACAGCACAAACTTTAGGATCAGGCATCTGTGATTCAAATCTTACCTCTGTGACTTACCAGCTGTGTGACATTGAGCGTGCTGTTTAATAAGTTCTCAGCCCCTGCATCCCTTTGTTTACTCTGTGGCCTACAGAGCAGTAGCATCAACATCTCTTGGGAGTTTGTTGGAAATGCAGAAACTCACGTCCCACCCCAGACTTAGTGACTCCATATTACAGTTTAACAAGTTCCCCAGGTGATCCATGGGCACCCTTAATTTGAGAAGCCCTGCTCGGTTTCCTTGTCTATAAATACTTACTGTAGCTTATATGGTAACTTATGAACTGGCCTGCAGTGATCTTCCAAACTTCTCTCTAACCATTCATTCACTCACATGTCAACTCTGCATACTCCTTAATGTTCTTCCTTTAAACATCTGCATGGCTCATGACTTTGCTTCTTTTGTGTCTTGGCTTAAATGTTACCTCCTCAAAGAGGCTCCCCTGCTTCACCACCTGATCTCAGGTAGCACTTCCTTATCACTCTTCATTTCCTTCCTTTCCCCTGCTTTATTTCCTTCATAGCACTCATCTTTACCTATGATTTTCTTGTATATCAGCTTATTTATTTTTGTTTGTTGTCTGACTTTGGAGTTAAGCTTCATAATGGCAGGGGTGGCTACATCTCTAGAATATAGGGATATGCCTAGAACTGTATCGCGCATATGTGCTTATATAATACGATATTTGTTGAATGAATGAATATTTTGCTGGTTTTCTACAAGGATTAAATGCAGGTATACCTATAAAGCACATGGCAACCATATGATAAGCAGCAGCTGCTTTTACTACTGCCACAATCACTCTATCTACTCTTAATGTTTCTTTGAGTCAATGCCCGACCTATTTGACAGATCACATATTAACCCCTCCTGCAGAAGTAGCGGAATACAGATTCACAGCTTCCCTTCTATGCTCTGGCTGTGCTCTTGTCTTTTTACATAGAACCTCTGAAAGATTAAAACTGAAGTCCAATGAGACACTAACTGGCGAGTGTTTCTTAGACCAGTGCTTCTCAAATTTTAATACACATACAGATACCCGGGAATATTGCTAAAATGCAGTCTGACTTAGTAGGTGTGCGGGTGGCCCGAGACTCTGCATTTCAAACACGCTCCAGGACATACAGATGCTGCTGCTCTGTGGAACACACTTTGAGCAGCAATGACTTGACTTACATAAGTGGTTCTCAAGCTTTCATGTTCATCAGAATGACCTGGAGAGCTTTAATAAGCTGATCCCCAACCCTAGAAATTCTGATCAGTAGATCAGTAAATCTGGAGTGGGGCCCTAGAATTTGTAGTTCTAACAAGTTTCCAGGTGATGTTTACAAGGTTAATCATGGGACCACCTTTGGAGAATGACAGAGCTAGACTATTGCTTTCAGTAGTCAGCATGCAGAAAGCATCACTGAAGCTCAAATACATTAGCATCTAAACTTCTGATTTGCTCAAGCCTGGCATCAGATCCAGGCCACCCCTAGACCAATTAAGCCAGAATGTCTGGGGTGGGACCCAGGCATCTGTAGTTTTTTAAAGCTTTCCAGGTGATTCTAATGTGCAGCCAGGGGTGAGAACCCCTGCTCTGAATTCATTCTCTGCTGAAGAAAATTAGCCCTTCTTGCTTCTGGGCACTGATTCTTTAATCTCAGTTCAAATTGTGAAAGTAATGGAATATGTTAACGTAATTCATATTTGCTGTTCACATATCTCTGGGGGTCAAATTTAAGATCATTTCTTCTGCTGTAGACAAAAGAGCAGACTCTGGCTCTTGCTGATTGTAAGAAGCTTTCCTTGCAAGGAGTAGGATCAACTATTTGACCTCCATTTTCCTTGAGGTTTCTGATGGGCTGATTTTTAGTGACCTTTTCCACTTCTCCCAGCAGCTCCCCGATGGTCTGGCTCTTCTGATACTTATTGGACAGATCACCTGAACTCACTATACCCTTAAGAAGTATAAATAGTGATTCTATCAAATCATCCACTTAAAAAGTCCACAGATTAGTACTGGGGAGTTTGCATTTACTCGGCCAGAAAAACCAAGGTAGGAATGTAACACCACAACAGCCTTGCCTCCTGGCACACCTATGTTATTCAGTAACAGAAACCATAGTTATTGTCAGTAACAAGCTGTGGGCTAAGGGGTGAAGCCAAGGATGCTATCAAATGTGCCAGTTGTATTATCTTTTCATTTTTCCCATTATTATCTGTGGGGTGGTTCCCTTCAAGGAATATGCAAATATGCAAATTTTTTGAAAGGAACTTAAAGCCAATATGCAAAATGGGCAAAAGTTGTTTGTGTTTCCAGGGATAGCCTAGAAATATGTATTAAACATTCGCCGAATTCCTTCTGTGTAAACCGTGCAGGACAGCTTCCCCGCAGATGGCAGTATCTTAGAGAGGAGCACTCCTGGCCCCGGGTTGCAGGTCTGTGTCCTGGATATGGCTTCAGTGTGTCATCAGGCAAATCTCCTTTTGTTCCCAGCAAATGAGGGTGCAGGCCTTAAGGCCCTTTAACATTCTTCTCTGCCTGATATTTTAAAATCTAGGATGATTATTCAACTGCCTTTTAGCTTTCTCTTCTCCAGTTAGAATAATTTATTTAACCAATGGGCAGAGATCTTATTTTCCAGCCATTTTACCAAGTAATTGTATCTCTGAAAATAAAATGATGGTGATATAGAAATCACCCTGTTTACTATAATAATTAGTTCTATTTTTTAGTCATTTCTGGCATGGCTCAATCAATGCATGCAGAGGAGAGAAGATTTTGATAAGAACATTCATTTACTTATTCAAAAACCATCTATTAAGAACCTAAAATACAAAATACTGTAACAGAGGGTTGAAAAAATGTTCAAGGAACCTACAGCTCTTATGAGGAGATAAAACCTATACCAATAGGCCTGGCACGGTAACTCATGCCTGTAAGCCCAGCACTTTGGAAGGCCAAGGCAGGCAGATTGCTGAAGCCCACGGGTTCCAAGACCAGCCTGGGCGACACGACGAAACTCTGCATCTACAAAAAAATACAGAAATTAGCCGGGTATGGTGGTGCTCGCCTGTGGTCGCAGCTACTCAGGAGGCTGAGGTGGGAGGACAGCTTGAGCCTGGGAAGTGGAGGTTGCAGTGAGCTGAGATCATGCCACTGCACTCCAGCCTGGGTGACAGTAAGACCCTGCCTCAAAAAAAAAAAAAAAAACAAAAAACCAAAACATATATATATATATATATATATATATAGTTTAGTAGAACAAATCTGAAAGTAAAACTTGCCATATTCCATTTGACCTGGTCTTGGAGGAGGGGTAGGATTTGGGCCTAAATTCATTTTCCGCAGTGCTTAGTTTATTGGACTTAGGTGGCTGAGTTAGTCCACTAGGTCTTATAAGACTGTTATATTTTAGATGCCAACTTAACAATTTGTTGTGAGAACAATAATAACCAGGCAGACAAATATGTAAACCTGACAAAGTCTTCTCTCCTTGAAGCCCCGCTTCCTGGGAAGCCAGATGTCCAGCAGTATCTTTGGGACTAGAGTAGGTGATGCTGAATGTTTAACTATGACAGCTTCCCCTACCCGGCAGTACCACATGTATGCTGAGGGACATGGAACTTGCACTTAAGACTTTTCCATTTTGGTAAAAGAAATGAGACATATGAATATTTATGCCTAATAATATACCGATAACATCTACAAGGAAGAAAGTAGCTCTCATCACTTGCTCAGAGACTGGCACAGTTTAAAGTTTGAATAAATATGAGCTGAAAATATTAATAAATGCCATAGGAAAGACAGATTAAGAATGGTGATTGTTATAATTTCCCTTCACTTAGTGTTTGCTCCGTGCCAGCCAGCCAGGCATTGGACTGCAGTTTCATCATCCTTTGGAAGTCACAGCAGGGAGACACAATTCCACTGAAAAGATTAGAGATTCCATTTGACCTGGTCTTGGAGGAGGGGATAGGATTTGGGCCTAAATTCATTTTCCTCAGTGCTTAGTTTATTGGACTTAGGTGGCTGAGGTAGTCCACTAGGTCTTATAAGACTGCTATATTTTAGATGCCAACTTAGCAATTTGTTGTGAGAACAATAATAACCAGGCAGACAAATATATAAGCCTAACAAAGTCTTCTCTCCTTGAAGCCCAGCTTCCTGGGAAGCCAGATGTCCAGCAGTATCTTTGGGACTAGAGTAGGTGATGCTGAATGTTTAACTACGACAGCTTCCCCTGCCCTCCCCCACCATGACCTTATCTTTCCCCAAGACCAGACATCATCCTCACTGCTACCCAAGTCTCCCCTTTCTGGAATTCCTGGGATGACCAACCTAGCCTTTGTTGTTTGATACAATCTTTCTTTAACTATGTCAGTTAAATTTCCGTCAGTATTCCCCGCTGGGGAACCATCCTGGTGTTGTTTGTTTGCTTATTTTTATGAGTTGCATTTGGCTGCTCTGATTAGTTTCAATTGATTTCTTAGGCTAACTTTCTGAGGTTCTGTCTAGGTGGGATCTCTGATCTCTGTTTCATAGGAGCCCTATTATGTGTTCAGAAGCTAAGTAACCCAATAATTCTGTACCTACTCTGGACCAACAGGCACTGTTACGGTTCTATGGTCCCAGGGTTGGATTGGCTGTTTTGGACATGCCAATTAAGGTCACATTTCCTAACTTCATTTCAAAATACAGAAGCTTCCCAACATGGAAAATACTCACTTATTTAACCTTGAACATATCAAAAACATTGTAGCCTCTGGCACCTTATACAAAAATGCCTACCATGTAGTAGTTAATTTATAATTTGTGGGTCAATTTGTTTTTCAATATTTTTAAAAAAGAATAGGCAAACATCAAAATTCTTCAAACTAGCCGTAACCAACTAAGAGACAAGCAGAATTTCATTTCATATTTTAAACCTTGTACCAATTCATTACTTTTTAATTTCTTATAAAATTCCCCTTTCATTGGCTCAATTTTATTTGCTCAGTTTCAGTTTATGAGACAGAAAGAAGTGAAAATTTTAAAATATCCTTGGCCATCTGTTGAAAGTGTAACTTAGGAGTGAAAGACATAATGTCTGTGTTGCATATACCTTGCACTCTGATGAGTGGTCAATTTCTTCCCATTCAGCTTTTACCAACAACAAGTTGGTGGTTTCCATTCTTCTTTCCATCTTATTAGACCTCAGAGCAGAAAACCTTAGAATTATTTCCTAAAGAGTGTTTTTGTTCTTACCTTTTCTAGTCTTTGGCTATAAGAAAGAGATGTTCAATAAATATTTGGAAGGCAGTAGTTAACAAATTTCTCATTTATAATGCTAACACTCAATGTGGCTAAGGCAGTCTCATACACTGTTGGTAGCATTTAAATTAGTAAAGTTCTTTGGGAAGTAATATGCCAATATATGGCAGGAACATAAAAAATAGAATTACTCCTGGACTAGTTTTGCTCCCAGGACCTCAGCCTATGAAAATAAAACAGCGTCAATAATAATAATAATAATAACAAAAAATGATAATGATGATTATAATGATGACGACAACCACCTCCAAATCATCAAATCCCATGGTCGGTTCTTGTTCCTTATCTTTGCTGTCTCTGATTTTGGTCACTATTGGCTCCTTCTTGGCATAGTCTTTCTTTTAGTTTTCTTGGCCCTGAAAATCTTATTTCTTTTCCTCCCTCTCTCACTGTGTTTTTGGCAGTACCCTTGCTCTTTCCATTCCAATAAAGACAGGCATTCTCCAACCAGGATTCTATCTTCTCCCCTCACCTTTCTACTCTAACCCCAGGCAATCACACAGACGTCCATATATCTTCTGCAAAATAACCCCAAAGTCCTCATTACCATTGAGCTCTTCTCTGAGTATGCATATTTGAGAGCTGTAACTACACAGCAACATTTCCTTAGATTCAAATTAAATGTGTCAATTTACTTGCTCTTTAGAAGTAAGAAGAATATTTATATTCCTTGAAAGTCTAGTATAGTATCTGATAGACAATAAATTCTCAATTGTTTACTGAATGACTTGATGAATGAATGAACAAATGAATATTCTTTACCTGGCTTTTCTGTAGATGGGTGTGACGTGTGAGGGCAAGTTGATTCCAAAAGAAACAGTTTTTACGTTTTTATTAAAAAATGAAATAATAAATCAGGGCATGTCTCCCTAAATCCCTTAATATCCATCAAAGCATTTATGGAAAACTCAGTCTTACTCAGCGTGATGTCACTACATGGCCGCAGGAGAGTTTTCAGACTCACTTCCATACTGAAGAAGGAAAGCATATCTTATCTAATAAAAATGCTGACCACTGGCCGGCCATGATGGCCCATGCCGGTAATCCCAGAGCTTTGGGAGGCCGAGGCAGGAGGATCACTTGAGACCAGGAGTTCAAGACCAGCCTGGGTAACATAGCGAGACCCTGTCTCTATGAATATTATTATTTTTAAAATGCTCAACATATTGCTGATTTGTGGTGAAAAACAAAAGCGGTCCAGCCATCTTCTCTACCAAGTGAATTTAGTAACTTTAATTAGTCCCTGAAGCAACTGCACTGGAACTCAAATTTTCATGTTCTTCCTTTTCTCTCTAAGATGGAGAGAGAGCTCAAGGACAGAATACAGAGATTTCCTGAGTCGCACAGTTTCTCTGAGCTCTTGTTCCACATGTCTTCTCTGTCAAACAAATCACTAGTGATTAATCAGCCAGTGCAAACAGTTTGGGATTATGTAAGCATAGTGCCAAACAGAAAATATCTAGTCAATGCCATCGCTAAATATCTAATTTTTAAAATGCCGTTTCCAAAAGTAATACATGAAATAATAAGGACATTTTAAAATCCATCATATCACTCATCTGTCACATTCATTAAAGTGATGTTAATTAAGAAAGGATGGTATTCAAATAATGAGTTAATGTTTTATTTCCTGGCCTCAATTTTTTCCTTACTTAGGACTGGCAATGATGATAAAGATTTTCTGATGTCAGAAATAAATGTGGAACAGTGAAATACATACTTATATCAGGCTCTTTTTAAAAAGCATTTTTCTTAATTTATGGTGGGAGAATTTTCCATCTGTTGGCTAACACCTGAGCCCTAATATGGAGCTCCAGAGCGAGCCACACTAAGCCACATGGGAAGTCCATCTGAGCTGGATTCAATAAGAAATGTAGGACTTCCCATCATAGAACAAGAGCATGTTTTCCCAAAATCTTACACAAAAGTCCTGCTGTCAAGCAAGCAGTTTCTCTAGAAGAAAGCTCAGCTACCCTTTCCTAAAATAGATGCTTACTGTGTTACTATAACCATATGGGTACATAGAGCACACTTTGCCTGAAGACAATGATATTAAAAATTTTGAACTTATTGTGCTGCATAAAGAGAAAACCCTATAGTGTAAATCTTATTTTAATTTACAAAGAGACTGACTTTTAACCAACCTTGAATTAGCGACTTCAGTCTCCCCAAAGTCGAATTGGCTGGTAGCATCCTGTCAATCTCTCTTTATATAATGATACTTTAAAATTTTTTTGTATAAGCAAAATTTTAATAGTCTTATTAAATTTCCCCCATAATCTTGTATTATTTATTACACTTTTCACCTTTACTAATACTTCCTTTATGACTTCCCTTTAGCCTCTGATTTATCAGAGCATCTTAGAAGATGATGATGCTTTCACCCAAATGGGTCAAGTCCTTTGAGGCCTACATAGTTCCAAAGAATCCTGCAGAATCTGACTGTGGATAAAGGTGAAGGTCCTAAGGATTTCCTTTGAGTATTATGTCCATGTGGCCCCAGAACACATTTTTCTTTCCTGAAGTCACTAAAAAAAAAGTAGTAACTACATGCAGACAGGACAAGTTGCCCACAACGAATTATTGTAGCCCAAAAACAAGTATCTAAATTTAACCAAAGCTTTCTGTCAATAAGAAACTGAATAGTAACTATATGGAGGCCCAGTATCCAAGCTGAAGAGAGAACATTGAAGAAATCTGTCCCTTTGTCCCTGAATTCTAATCTGAAATTCACATGAAGCTGAAAGCCTAAGAGACTTTTAATCCATTCCCTTTGTATCATCATTCTCCTGTGATGTGCTTCAGAAGACATTTCTCCACCTGCTGCATTTGTGGTACCCTTGAGAGGGGCCTCACCTCCCTAGAGAACAATCTACGAATATCAGTGTTTTGGGTTAAGAAATGCTGCTAATTGTGAGCACAGGCATCAGTTTTAAATACTACAGGATTTTATTGGGGCCAATTGGGGAAATTTGAAGATAGTGTAGATACTAGATAAGGTGAAAATACATTGAAATATAAAAATACACTTGATTGAAAAAGCAGGTTCAACAGTTTTCACAGTAAGATGTCATTTATCATTATATATGATGACATACATATAATATAAAAGAATAAGCACTAAGGTGCTAAGAGTGCTACTCTGGTGGTGGAAACATGATGTTTTTATTTTGTTATTTTTGCTCATTTATATTTTCTAGTTGTATAAAATACACAGGTGTTGTTTCTATAATAGTAAGAGATTTTTAGGCTGGGCACAATGGGTCCTGCCTGTAATCTCAGCACTTTGGGAGGGAGAGGCAGGAGGATCCCACCACTTTGGGATGAAGAGGGAGGAGAATCATTTGAGGCCAGAAGTTCAAGACCAGCCTGGGGAATATAGCAATGCTTCGTCTCTACAAAAAAAAAAAAAAAAAAAAATTAAATCAGCTGGGTGTGGTGGTATGCAACTGTACTCCTAGCTATGCAGGAAGCT
Source organism: Homo sapiens (assembly GCF_000001405.40). NCBI lineage: Eukaryota > Metazoa > Chordata > Mammalia > Primates > Hominidae > Homo > Homo sapiens. The sequence goes on along the minus strand of NC_000007.14, from coordinate 95,818,418 downwards.
GAAGTGGGAGAATAGCTTGATCCCGGGAATTCGAGGCTTCATTGAGCTAAGATTGTGCCACCACTGCTGCCTGGGTGACAGAGAGACTTTGTCTTTAAAAAAAAAAAAGATTTAAAAAATAAAATGTTGGAGGAGGGCTTAAATGTCTTGATTGATTGGAAAGTAGAACTTAATGATGGTGTTAAGACCAAAGATGGTCAAAAAAAAAAAAAAGACAAAAATTAATTCTATTACTACCCTCCATGACACTTCTCACCAAAGACAAACATCAGAAATCTCCCCTTCGGACTATTTTGTTAAGGATGTTATGCAATGGGTGTTATTATTGTGACAGGATATTGCACAGTATGTTATCACGTTGAGAGATGTTTTAACTTTGAAAACATTTTCAACATTTCCTTCCATTTGGGACAGGTTGTAGCCTACACTGTGGTGTCCAGCTGAACTTTATGAAGTCAATACACTTTCCTATATTTTTGCAGGCCAGTACACCTTCTAGTTCAGCTCTGTCATTGCGAACCCTAAGGAATTACAACTAAACATGAGAAAAGTCCTAGTGCAAAGTCCCTTGTGAGCCATCCATGTGAATGAGAAGAATAAATGTTGGCTGAATGATTTTCACTTAGATCGATTCACTTCTGGTTGCTATCTGAAGGTTAGTGAGTAAGGAGTGGGCAACCCAGAATGTGGTCTGTAGGGGCATGGATTACAATCTGTCCTTTGCCTTGTCATGTTTAATAATTTTATGTAATTACGTGGATAAAGATACAGGCAATGCTTACTAAAATTGAAAATGACACCAACATGTTCTATGAGAGGATCTAAAAAGATTTTTTCCCATAGGAAAAATGGCTAAATTAAAATATGAAAAAATTATAATAATTGCTAAAACTCACATATAGTTAGTATACACCAGACTCCTTTCTGAGTACTTTATAGAGCATTACTTTGTATAATCCTCACAATAACCTTATGGGGTAGGTTGTGTATCACTCATATCAACTACTGTTAGAGATTATGTAGCATAGAGATATACATTGTGGAAACTTGAATCAACCTGCCTAGGTAAAAACCTAGCACTGTAGCAAAACAACACTCTGTATGAACTTGAGAAAATTACTTATTCTCTCTGCGCATCTCAGTGTCCTCATTGGTAAAAAGCAGAATTATATAGTTCATTCTACAAACTTTTTTTTTTTTTTTTAATCTTGGATGTTATGTTGCCCAGGCTGGTCTTGAACTCCTAGCCTCAAACAATCCTCCTGCCTCAGCCTCCCAAGTAGCTGGTATTACAGTTCTGAGCTACCACACCTCACTCAGCAAACATTTATCAAATACCTACCACATGAGTATCACTTAGTCCCTACTTTCAAGGAATTCACCACTTTCTGAGGATGAGAGACATGTTCAACTAAACAAAAGCCGTTCTTCAGGACTATAAAGTGCTAATGCTTCACTCTTATGTATAAAAAGCGTAAGCTGTTTCAGACAAATATTCTTTACCATATTGAGAAAATATTTTCTATTCCTAGTTTGCTACATTTTAAAATATAGGAATAAGTGTTTAAATTTCTTAAGTATAATTTAAGTACATATTGCAATGATTATTTTTCCTTCTTTGACCTTTTTGTATGCTAAATTATATGGTAAGACATTTTCCTATACTAAAATAACCTTGCATTTTTGAAACAATACTAATTAACCATAGCATAGTATCCTCTTAATATGTTGGATTCCAGTTGCATACAGTATATCAAAGATTTTTCATTTATGTTTATAAGTAAAACTAACCCTTCAAACTAACCTTTTCAACAAGCTCTTAAAATCCAAGAGCGTGTTGCTTGCCAGTATAATTAACTGAGCAATGATTAATTGATTCTACCAAAACCGATCAGGAGAAAGAAGATAAAACCAAAAGTATAAGTTGTAAATGAGAAATGGGATATAACAATGGAAGCATAAATTGCAAAACAAATGGTAACACTTTAAGTGAAATTTAAAAAATTAAATCATTAGTATAACTGAAAACTTACATATTTCTACTCTCTACCCATTTTTTAAAATTTTCTCAACTGCTCTTAAAAATCAGTAAGAGGTGGCTGAGTGCAGTGGCTCACGCCTATAATCCCAGCACTTTGGGAGGCCAAGGCAAAAGGATTGCTTAAGGCCAGGAGTTCCAGACCAGCCTGGACAACATAGTGAGACTCCATCTCTACAAAAAGTAAAAATAAAAATTAGCTGTGCATGGTGGTGCATGGCTGTAGTCCCAGCTACTCAGGAGGCCGAGGCAGGAGGATTGCTTGAGCCCAGGAGTTTGAGGTTGCAGTGAGCTATAATTGCACCACTGTACTCCAGCCTGGGCAATGGAGCAAGACGGTCTCTTTAAAATTAAAAAAAAAAAAAATCAATAAGAGGGATTTTTGTTAAAGCACTATTTTTACTTCTTCTCTATAATAAAGTACATTGAGTAGGCCAATTTGCAGATTAACTAGTTACAAAGATTATAAGAAATGTTTGCTAATTTTGGCTTTCTAAAGAAAATTTTAGCTTTGGTTTGAAATTTTGGCAAATGAATGAGATAATTTATATGTGCCTTTAGCTACGGCCAGATGTGTTAATTTAATTCTTGTTATCTTCTGAAAGATTTACCATTTTTTGAAGAGTTCAAATTCCACATAAACAGGCAAATTTATGAGCATAGAGTTATATTCTTAAGAATAACTGAACTCTTTTCCCAGTCTCCTGTTTTATGAAGTGTTAAAGTTAATATAAATTGTTTTCAAAGATGTGTCTTCTACATAAAAAGACATTCAAAGTGGAATTTAAAAAAACTGAAATATAACATTCTCCTGCAATTTAACTTCATATTTATTTTATTAAAGAAAAAAACATAAATTTGTGTGGAATTTTCCTAAGTTCAAAACAAGGGCAGAATTTACTAAGGCATTCTTAATGTGTTCTCCTCAAGCAAACTTTGTGCTCAGTTTTTCTGAAAACTAGCATTTTTCAATGCAAATTTTCTTGCATTTCTATGAAACCTGCACTTTGCAGGAGGTTTACTAATTGACTTCTAGTTACTCAGTCTTGCAAGAACTTTCCTATAAAGAATTGAAGTTACTATTGTGTTGGGTAGGAGTAAGCTGCACCTCTTCCAAAGTGATTCATAAAGTTAAAAAAAATCACCTAAGAAGGAGAAAGAAATAAAGAGTAATATTCTCTGAGAAGAAATAATTGCTGTTGTCCCCAGAGTACTAACAGCATAGGTCAGCTTTCTTTAGAAAGTTTTCCAAAGGGCTCCTCAACTGTGAAGTCAGTAATAGAATTGAATGCTGCCAACTGCACCCTTGAAGCTAAGCAGTAATGACACGCACCATCATGGTACAGAAATGGTCAAATACATTAACTTAATGATAGGCCAATGGACCCCCCCCAAGAAATGTGATTATATTGTGCCAGCTCTTGAATAAATGTTAGATCTTACACAACTGTGTTGCTATTACTTCCTCCTGCCAAAGACCTTTTGAAGTGTTCAAAGCAAAAGATGAGAGAAGACATGTGCTGCCCCAAATCACAAAAGCGATTTGCTAAAATAAACCAGCTTTATGCCCTCAAAAACCTCTACTTTTTTTTTAATTGAAAGCAGTGTCCACTGGTTTCCAAAGGGCCTACGAAAACAAAATATTCAAGTCTGAAGGACACCAACAGGCAGAAATAGGTAACATAATTCCAGTCTTATATGTTGGTTTCAAAAGCAAAAAAACCCTACAGCTCAGATCAACGCTAGATTATCTTCATGTCCAGATCTTCAGCTACCAAATTAACTATGCCTGTGTGGAAACAGTACACTTTCAGAAGAAAATGCTTATGCTAATGCCTTAGGTGAAAAGAGAAAAATGCAAAATTTTATATCTTTGCCCCAGTAATACATACGGAGGCAAGAAATGCACACAGACAAGGACTGGAAAGGTACACAGACAAGCCAAAAGGCTGACTTCTTAGAACAGCAGTGCTGTAGATGGTTGTTTCTTCTTTTATTTAAAACTTGATTAAAGCATTTTATGATTTTTTTAAATTAAGAGTCAAAGCTAGAGTTCATAAATTGCCACAGGCCAAATCTGGCCCATAACTACTTGGAACAAAAGTCATTAACATTTAACATTCAGGAGATTATCACCTGAATATCTGAATTTGTAGCTTCTCAAGAAAAACTGGAAAATGCGGAAAAATTGGGTCCATCATATCATGTGAGCTCAACCAGCTTGAGCTATGAGGGGGCCATCTGGCCTTTAAGAATTGGGTGCAGTTGCCATACTCACATAAATTCCTGCCTGTGGACCCCGGCATGTGGGAACACTGGTGAAGACAGCTGGATTCGGAGATTTACCATGACTCCATCTACATTTATGAAACTTCTCCTTTCTTCTTTTTACATCTTTACCTTTTGGATACCTCTTCAGTGATTAAATTACAGAATGTCTAGATCTACTTTCAGAAGTTACATAATCTGTGAGTCTACATAGTGTAATACAAATTTGGCAATGAACTCACTAAACAGAAGCAGCCAATCCTGATACTACTACTACCAATAATAATACAATAAAAATACTTAGGTGACTGAGTTTTCAAATTAGTCAACTTTACTAAGCAAATAACTCACTTGAAAAATTAAATTTAGAATTAGAACATCTCAATATTCTATTCACAAAGACTTTCATGGAAACCAAAACCAAAGTAGGATAATAAGAAGCTGGATATATATTCAATTATCTACTAAATAATGAAAAGGCTTCTCCCTGCCTTTTTTAAGCCTAAGCTAATGGATATGTGTGTGTTTGTTAAGCAAGACACATGGTGCTAAATTAGCCCACTCAAAGAAGGATGATATATGTTGATCATTTCTAGTGTTCAAGATCATTGCTATTCCACTAAAAATAGCAAGCCACCATAAATTTAAACATAAGATGTCCAAGTACACATGCAGATACATGCACATTTCACAGTATTCTAACAGTGGTGTTGTTGCTGTTTTTTTTTTTTTTTAATTGACACCCATCATGGCCTTTTAAAGGGACAATTCTTACCTTGTTAATGGCCCCAGATCGCCTGAGTCTTGGCTTCCAGCTTCACTGGGAGTGCTCACTGATTTCGAGGAGGGAGACATAGGGGTTGGGACTAAATAATGAAAATAACAGGTATCCCATGTTAAAAAATGCAGCGGCTGCACTGGTGAAGAGCAGTGTCAGACAAATCAAAACAAATGGGCCCAAATTAAAGTGGTTGTATGGCCAGGAGACATTGAGATGGGATAAAGAAAAAAAAAAAAAAGGAAAGAAAAGGAAAAAAGTCCAGTGAATTTTTTGTATTTTGGAAATTAAAATTTGAAATGATTTAGACAGAATTAACCTAGGGATTCTGAGGCCATGTCCACCCTAACAAAGTAAAATGAAGCATCAAAATAGCTATCCAGATAATTCAAGTCAAATATCTCTCTAACATGAACCATCCAGATAATTCTGATTCTTCACATTATTTTGTTAGTATAGATGTGACCTATTAAAAATAAAACAAGGTGTCTATAAAACTTTAAAAGGTTATTAAATAAGTGATTCTGAATAATTTTAAATGGTCAAGGACAGTCAGAAAAATCTGTTGTATGTCTGCATTGAGAGAGAAATGTACTCTGTGGAATATAAGCTGTTTGCCATGAGAGCCTAAGTGACAGATAGAGAAAGGGTAAATGTTGAAACTGGTAATTAAAAAGTCTCTTTCAAAACAAAGAAAAATGCCAGGCTGCTTTATTTTTACATTTAATTAATAGTTGCATCCCATTGTACTGTTTACTGTCTTTGGGACTTGTTTTGCCTTGCCTCCAGCAGCTCTAGAAGACCCTGCCATGTGCACAGAAGTAAGCTGCCACTCTGAAGACAGGAGACAAGTTCAAAGATCAAGGTCGGCACAAGCTGAAAATCTGAGAGCAGGCATAATAAAAGAAAAAAGCTAAAGCCAATGCAATTTTTTCCCCCTTCCTTCAGATACAAGCCAAATGTCCTTCAGATAGAAGCTGCACCAAATAGCCAAGATGGCTCCAGGCCAGGCAATTCAACGGGTTCTCAATATCACATATGCCAGAGAAGCCATATGGATAGAAAGAAATTTCAGTACGTAAATGTAGATTCCCATTTGGTTTCAATCATGTGCAATTTCCTTTTATTTACTTAATAGGGTAAAGGGCTTAACTGTTTTACCCAAATCCTATAACACAATGGCAGATCTGTCGAGAAGCTAGGAATTTTCATGTGGTCCCACAATTAATTCACTGATTACTTACCCTCTGAGTAAGCTCAGAGGGTAAGTCGAAGAGATGGCTGAAAAATGAAAACAGGGCCCTTGCCAGAGTCCGTTGGCAGTAATGCAAGGATACTTCAAAAGTTGGTCATGGTTTAGAGATGTTAATCTGTTTTGTTCTTAAAGTTTAATTACTGGCTTTATGTAGGGTAGGGGAGACTAGGACATACTATTATTGTATTTAACCAGTGTTCACATTGCAACATAATTTCAAAGGCTATTTTGAGGCACAAATATAATTGATTGCAATGTGTCTAACTCATATCAGATGTCAACTAAGTAGAAAAAAATGTGTATCAGCTCCTAAGTAGAAAAGAAGGTCCATCAGTCAAATATAACGTCCCCTAGGTTACATCTTCCACAACATGAAGAAATTAAACCAAAGAATCTAATCTTATTGGGGCTTATTATAGCATTGTTGAACATACTATTTTTACCTATTACAAATTGAGATTGAGTATAAAATGATTTTTAATAGTGTTTTAGTTTTGTGTGTATTAAATTACATCCAGCAATACTTAATAATTTTTAAGCTTATTATATATTGTTCTTTTTCTTATTCACATTGATATAAACATTTGCCATTTTGTTCTACATGGGATAATTTATATTCTTAGTTTAACTAACTATGGAAATAAATGATAATTTATTTTAATATAAAAGTAAATTATGGAATTAACTTCAGAAGAAAGTATTCTAAACAAAAGATCTGAATACTGTATTTATTTTTATGTATTCTTCCAAAAGGGTTTTTAACTATATTGGATATAATGTAGTTTTATAGACACCCTAGGATTAATCTTAAATGTATGGAAAACAAAAGGATAAAAGAAAAATAAAACTATTACATGAGAGATACATAGGTAAGTGACAGAATAAACAAAATATGCACAAGTTACCTTCAACACAAAGAAAACCAATAATTCAATATCCAAGCTTTAGTGATAAAATGAGGTCACAGACAACCAACTAGGAATGAACGAATTAGAGGAGGAGTATTGTAGTGAAAATGCCAATTAGTAATCAAATCAAAATACAATAAAGTCAAATTAATTTAAACTTGTTAATCGGCTGCTAATCTGCCACCATTTTGTTTTCCTTCAAATTCTCACTGTGCCTTCTATTTTCATCATAGACTAACTCTATGCCTGTGGTAGTTATGAAATTCATAACCCAGATCCACAGTATTTAGATTGGCAAAGAGACACTGGAACTCAGCAATGAAAATGAGGAACAATTTAATAAGACATTCCAAGATTTCTTATATTTACCAAGTGGCAACTCATTTAACAAGTATAAAATAATCTACTAGTAACACGGTGGAGAAGGTTGACCATCTAATCAGTCAGTAAGCCCCAAACTACTGACAATTCTACAACTTTCCTCCCATCTCCTTCCAGCCCCCTCAATTCCAAAAACACATGCAACCTGAACCATAAGCCACAGAATGTCTTTAAAAATAAAAATTAAAAAAAACTAAAGACTTAAAAGAATAGTAAACACTGGACATGGTATATCCCACGCAAGTTGATTTTGAGGAATAGTAACAGGAAGCACTTTTAAGTACCTAGAGGCGGCTCCGGTGAGATACCAATGCTTTGCAGCAAAGCCTCTGTCTCTCGTCGTTTGCGATCCAGATCAGAGTCGTCCTGAACGGGTTCTTTCTTCTGCTGCATATCAGCCTAGAAGTAGACGTCAGTAAGAAAAGTTAATAACATAACTAAATGTATGCTTTTCCTGGCTGAAACTAAAAATGATAAATGCATGGCAGTGAAGACAAGGTGAAAGCCCTAAATAGATATAATCACATGTATAAAGGATGAATAAACACCATAATTGCCCCATTTAATAATTACTGGCCCAGTACTTTCTCTTTTGGCTGAAGGCTTTTTCCTGCTTCTATCACGTGGGATGAAAGTTTCTCTCACAGGTTTTGGAAGAGAAAACATCAAGGCAAAGTATTTCTGGCTGGGGATATAATATAAAAAAAAATTCTGTCTCTTTTTTTAGACTTCCTTGTCCCTTCTGGGATATCAGTTATTGATGACTGTGTGTTTGTAATATTCAGGCCCCATGTTTGGGATTGTGCAAACCAGGTATTGTTGGGATCTTGCTGAAAAGTGAAACTATTTATGAAAATTTTTAACTATAAAACACACTATTTGTATTGCTAAGACAAGTTTGCCATGGTTTAAAATAAACTGGGCTAAAATCTGTATTAAGGCATGTGATCAATATTGATATGTCTTGGTACTTTATTCTAATTTTCACAGCATTCCATTATATATACTAACTGGAAGAAGAAAATTATCATGTAGAAAATATAGTAAAACAAAACATTTACAAGAAATTCCTTTCACAAATTCTGTCTAAAAACACATTATGTTTTTCATACTGGCCTCTTAATGTCAGATCCTATGCCCAGTTGGTGTTTTTACAGATCAGTGACAAATTAAAATGCAGGTAAACAAGATCTGTGGTGGGATTCTAGGGGAAATTTAAAAATTCCAAGTCTCTTCTCTCTTTCATAATACAGTTATTACTTAAGATAAGTTATTTGCCCCACATCTGAAACATGATAACATCACGTTGATGTGTAACTACCTCACAACAAAGCTTTGTAAGCTTACAGAAGTGAGGCTGTCTTAAAGCCTGTCAAAAAACATTTCATTATGAGACATACCTTCTTCCCCAAGGAAAGCTGGGTATGCTAACAAGTACATTACTTTCTTTGGGCATGTAGAATACCTTTCAAAGCAAGTGAAGCATTAGCTACACTGTAGTATCTATAAGCAGAAAGAGTTTATGCAACTTTTGACTTACTCCCAGAGGGTAACCTACACACTGATTATAAACTAAGTGCATCTTTGCATATGTCTCTGTGCTCAACAATTCTGTTATTATTAACTTTGAGCTAAATCACTCATATTTTTGAAGTCTATCTGTCATTAGAGGGAAAACTACCATTTGAAAGCCAATAAGGGCTTATAAGAGTCTTAGAGTCAGACACTCTGCATAACCCAAAATTATGAAATGGCAGTTTAATCTCTTATCAGTGAAGATATCAAAGTTCATGTTCTTTTCCAATTTTAACATTTAAACTACTGAAACAAGTCCCAAAGTTTATGTATACAACAGAGGCAAAGATAGAACTAAGATGAGAAAAAAGATGTTGCAGAGTGAGGATCTGTATCTACTACAGAATCCTACTATGTTTTAATGATTCAACAAGGAGTGATTTTGCAGTATTAGTAATTAAAAATCTTCAAGGTGCCTTTCTCAGCAAGTTATATTTCTGTTGGTGGAGAGTAATCACAGCTGAAACCCAGAGAGGATAATCGAAGAAAGAAAAATTTGTCAGCTGAGAATTGTCAATCACTTTCCTAAAGACATTTCCACATTTATTAGAGAAACATGTGAGGACAGGCCAGGAAACCCCTGGCCATTCTACCTTGCAGCAATTCGGCAGGAAGCCAAGGACAGAATGAAACTTCAGGGTGGCCCCCACTGAGCTCACCTCATTGCATTAAAGCCAATTTTTCATTAAATTGGGCCAGTGTCTTAAATGGTGGCCACTATATTTATTTTAAAATCAGATTTCATCCATAATATCACAGCCAAGAAAGCAGTTGACATCCAAAAGAGCAAAGGGTGGTAATTTTTACACAATATGGACACAGTTTTCTGAATTCTGTGGAGATAATCAACTTGGGTGGTCCTAATTCACACTAGTTTTTATATTCATGGCAAAAAAAGGGCACTTAGTTTAGTATTAAAGAGCATTTCTTTTCTTTTTAATGTTAAATTTATTTGTTTTATTGAAAATATAAGCCTAAAGAAAGTTTATAAAAATCAAGACTATTTAAAGCTATTTCTGATTCTCTATAAACAACACAAAACTAGAAAATCTTAAACTCGGGAGTCAGTGACAGTGGCCAGTCGATATCCCATGGATTCAGGATCAGAAGTTTCCAAAGAAATTTGCAGAATAGAACACCAGATGCTTGGAAAGGATGTCTGGGACGTGCCTCTCAAACCTGCCCTGACTAGTTCATATGTTCATTTATTCACTCATTCATTCATTCTATAACTCCTTTTTGAATGCCTACCATATGTCCAATATATTTGACATTGACTCAATGATTAAAAAACAAACAACAACAACAACAACAAAAGCATATAGCCCTGACCTTGAAAGCTTGCAATCTCTTAAGAGAAAAAGACAAGTGAAGGGGAAAATATAACATCTTGTACTAAACGGTTTGATAATGTCAAGATAGGATGCAGAACTAACCTAGTTATGGGTAAAGGTATCAGAGGCAGCTTTCTGGGAAAGTGACATTTGAGATGAGAACGGAAAGACATGCAGTTAACAGCCAGGTGAAGGACAGCCAGGTAAAGTTAACAGCCAGGCAAAGGATGATAGGAAGAAGTAGGAGATCAGTGAAAGCAGAGGAAAGAGAACATCTTAAGCTCTCTGACAAGAAAGAATGTAGTCCATCAGGGTATATGTAAGCAGCTGCATCTGACTGGAATGTGGATTTTAGGGAGAAAAAAAATGGAGGCAAAAAGAGAGTCCTGCTATGCCTGTCCAGACCTGATGATCACTGCGAATTGGGGTAGGGGGTGGTGAAAGGGTGACTTCAGGTTTCTGATCTGGGAAACTGGCTGTATGAGCCTTAGAGGTAGCCCCCTTTTAACTCCAGACTCCTTCACGTGATTGGAGATAAAGGGGGCCTGGCTCTAAGGCTTAGACCTCTGAAGCCCAGCTTCCCCATGTGAGAAAGGATCAGAATAGATGACTTCCAGATTCCTTTCAGCCACAAAATGCTCCAACCCCATGAAACTGGGGGCCTTGAATTTTAAGACCCTTCCAACAATGGGGCATTTTTATAAAATGGCCTCACCAGCAGAGATCCTAAAAATGTATGTGACCATTCTATGAAGCCCCATTCATCTACTCTGATAGCTGATCTCAGAAGCAGAATGACAGCTGTCTTTTACTGCTCTGGGATCTTCTATTATCCTCTTGAATCTGTGAGGAAGACATCATTCCTTTCTCCATTTTACAGAAGAGGAAACAGGTTTAGAGAGGACCCATACCCACTCAGGGCCATTCTGTGAAGGGCAGATCCAGGTTTCCCAGCCATGTTCAACTCAAAAGCCCCTGTGCATAATCACTGTGTTTATGTCTTCTGTCTTACAGCCTTGGCTGCTCAGAACAAACCAAGTCAGCACAGTTGCAGAGAGTGCATGGACAGAATCAAGGAAAGACCTCTTTGAGGGGAGATGGGTGTGAAGGGAAAAGATTTCAAGCCAGGAGAGACACTACAGATGATGTGGTCCAACGGATCCCAAAATCTGACCCTGCTTCAGATCACTCAAATCAGAAACTTTGAGGATGGAAGACTCGGACTCTGTATTGCCATCTGACTCTGTAGAGCACAGTTCAGTTATCACAAGCTTCAATCACCAAGTCAGTTTAGAAATGAGGAAACTAGAACTTCATATGATGTCAATTCCAGAACAAGGCAACAACCAGGAATGTCTAGAGTCCAGGTGTTCCACACCCTCCACTACCTGCAGCCTCCAACCTCCCAGGGCTCTTCTTGCTTTGAAACCAGCTAAATCCTCACCAGGCAAAAGTGCTTGGTTGTAGAATCAAAAGGGGAGACTGCTTCCATCAGTCTAGTTTGCCTGTAATTTCCCCAAAATGTGTAAAATGAAAAAGATGAAGCAGACAGCATAATTTGGAACCAAATTTCCCATATCACATCACATTTAGTGGTAATTTTATGACATTCAAGTTGGATATTAGAATGTCAGTTTAAAAGGAAACTGGTTATTAGTAAAGGATAGCAGGTGCTTTAAAACTACAGTAAGTGTTGACATTTGAGGGAAAGGAAATATAATAACTTAATGCTTTTTTTGACTTTGCATGGAAATGAATAGCCATTCCTTGTCAATTCTCACCTCTACTTCACTCAAAGACTGAGTATGTAACAGCAAAGATCTCAAAGGGAAAAAACATTATGTGTGATGTCAAGGACAAATAAATGATCACATCAATCAACACGTAATGGTATGGAGAGATGAGAGATGCCAGAAGGCTAAAATGCAACTGCAATCATCTTTTATTTTGTTGGAAAATAATAATTGTTGTAAATCTATTACCTTGGTCTCTCAGCCTTGTAGTATGAAACAACACTTATTTAGATTGTAAGGCATCAAAATAAGTTTTCTTTTTCCTTACAGAAGAACTGCATAGGGAAGCAGCTCTGGTTTCTATACACAAAAGCATATCATACCACACGAAGTTTTCTTCTTAGAAAGCTATTCAAAAATATCTTTGGTATCTGGTTTTTGTATAAGATGTGGGCTATTCCTACACTGCCACGACAAATTAGAGAATTAAAAATAAATTATTTGTTTGATTCACATAGTGGAAGAAAACATGATATGACAACAAGGCATTGGATTGGGCTTATAGAATCCAAGATTCTAGGTCTAGAAAGTAGAAAAGCTACATTTCACCTCTGGGTCTCTGCTGCTTTGTTGGCATAAAGAAAGGCCTCAGTGGAAAGTCTCTGAAATTTCAGCCAGATCTAACATGTAATAATTCTTTGTACTGTACTATCCTATTTACCTTCTCTCTAAGAGAAGAACAGCCTCCCCCTTACCAAACCTAAGATGCTTATTTACCATAAAAAATATATATACCATTTTGGAAACAATAGAAATCCATTGGCATAGTTTTCTAATTTTCTCCTAAAATGTTCCTGCTGGTAGATTTTTCAAAAAACCCTTTTCTTAAAACTAACACTTATAGTTAGAATATACTAACTATATTCTAGATACTGCTAAGTGCAACCCCACAAAATAAATGCATTATTGTTCTCATATTAAAAATAGGAAACTGAGGCACAGAAAGGTTAAGAAGTTTCTAACAATAACAAGATCAGAGACCATCCTTAGAGTTCTCTTCAAGTCTGTGATAAGCCTGGAGTCTGCAGGCCTCTGGAGCCTCTGGACCAAATGTTATCCCCCATTTAGGTGATGGCTGACCAGCACATAGCAGAGGGCAACAACTTTACCATGCAGAATAGGAAGATAATCATTTTATTCAGATATCATAAAAGGATTCTTTTAGGGAGTCCTATTTATCCATTTGACCAGCCCCTCAGAATCAAGTGATTTTCCTTTTTCCCCCACAACACCCCAACACCCAGGATTTACCTCTTTCTTTTTCCTCTCCTCTTCCTTCCGTTTCTTCTCTTCTCTTATCTGTGCTAAGCGCTGCTTTTTGCGCTCTAGCTCAGCTTTTAAGTCACTTTTGTCAGACATGTTGGTTTCCTTGGAGAAAGAGAAAAAAAAAGTGAACATATATATAAATAACTTTTCTGTATATCATTGCAAAAATCATTTTAAAGAAAATGCAACTTAACAATGTGACTTTTGGATGATCAACAAGAGGTTGTATTATTTAGCCTATGTGAAAGAATCAAAGAAACAAATTAAGTTAGATCTGGTCTAAGGATATAAAATATTTCCCTTTTAGGTATATATACATAAATATCTGAAGAAATACAAGGTTATTATGTGGCCTAAGCAAGAATCGCAACTTCCAGATAAGCAACACATTTTCTATACAAGTTTCTTAACAAATAAACAAAAATAAATAAGAGAATCAAAAAAGAACCATCATCATGACTTCCAATTTAGATGATAATGGAGCAATTCATCCCCACACTGAGAAAAGAAAACAGCCTGTCATAAACCCCTAGAGATATGCCCTGCTCAAATTTCTATGGACTCAATAAACATTCCTCCACTGAGCTCGGATGCATGGAGATTTCATTTTGCCTAACATTATTTGCATCAGGGAAGACAGCCGCTGAAGACCGAACATGTTAATCTTCTTTCTCGGTAAAACTCCTGAAGTGTCACAGTTAATTTCATCTCTAACACAACCCTATTTCTATAAAGCTTTCATTTGCATTCTGAATGTAATATTGCTTATTCTGGCACCTTCACTTTCCAAAGCAAAGGGTGTTTGTGAGCACATGAAACGGGAGATAACACCATGGCAAGTTCTTGGGAAAATTTATCCAAACAAGATTTAATTTTAATGTTAATCATGATGACGATGCTGGTAGTGATGGTGCCAGTAACATTTTTAAATAAAATCAGTTTGAAGAAGACTCTTACTAATTACCAATGATTATATATTTGAGTCTTTTGTGCTCCCAAATGAAAACTAACAAAATGGAAACCTTGAGAAATGAAGAGCTGCCCTCGCCCAAATTTCTAAAATAATGGGGAAAAATTGACTAACCGTAAATGTCATGAGTATTCATTCACATACTATTTGTATGCAACTAGGATAAATATATAATGTATCTTGAAGTAGATGACAGAGCAATGGAAGGAAAAAAATACCAAAGAATACAGAACAATGAAAAATTCTCAACTTTTTTGTCGTTGTCCCCAGACGGTAATCATGAATCTACAGTCACTCTGGGACACACTTTCAGACAAATACACAAGTTGGGAAATACACTGTTTTTCTACTATACACATTTCTGCTCACAGTGTGACAGCGGAGATTTGTGAAATAATCAGAATGATTGCAATAACCAATCTGTGCCACTCATGATCACACTGTTTCTTCATTTTTCAACAAATATTTGCTGTATTTAATCTGTGCTAGGCACTTTATAATGAATAGGGATACAAAGATAAGCAAAACCAGATTCTCTCCTTCAAAGAGCGTATAGCTCAAATTTGTGGACATGCAGTGTGGATGGAGATGTTCTCTGAGATCTTGGCTTATTGATCACTCAGTGCCAGGCCTTTGACATTCATTATCACATGTAATCATATCAATCCAAGTACACCATTCTTATTATTAATTCCTTTTCATAATTAAGACAAAGGAGGTTCAGCAAGAACTGAGACTGCCTACCCAATAGATGGCAGAACCTAAATTCAAGCTTGTCCGTGCTCTGACCTACTACAACTTTGTGATACCCAGTGTACAAGTTCAGAGGAATGCAGAGCAAAATGCTAACCAAGGTTTGGTGGAGTATGCCAGGGGAAGCATTGAGGAATAGGTAAAATTGGGACTGGGTATTGAATGAGGTCAGAAACTAGCAAGAGAAGGGCATATTTGGATGTGTGAAGACCTGTCAAAGAGGGAACTGACAGATTGAGTGCAAGAGATGTGGATAAATTCAACTCAAGAAACAGAAAGTTGAGGCCAGGTGTGGTGGTTCATACCTGTAACCCCAGTGCTTTGGGAGGCTGAGGCGGGAGGACAGCTTGACGCCAAGAATTCACGGTTACAATGAGTTATAATCATGCACTGCACTCTAGCCTGGGTGGCAGAGTGAGACTGTTTTAAAAAAGAAAAAAGAAAACAAAGTTTAATTGACAAGAATGGATATGTTGAGGCAACCTGGAAAGCCTGGACAAAACAGAAAATTGAGTTCTATTTGGTGTAATGGGTGATGGGAAATCATAGCAGATTTTTGAAAAGAAAAGTGACAAAATAAAAATGGAATTTGCTTAAGCCTATTCTTGTCCCTGCCTGTATAACAGACTGGAGCAAAAACTAGAAATAAGGCAAGCTGCTGGGAAACTAATGCCAACTTCTCTCTGATTCAACTGTACCTGTACGGGAATGGTAGGCGAATGTGGAGACAGAAGTAGAGAATGTGCATTAGCGAGAGCACAGCCAAGAGGGACCAAGGAACTCTTAGTAGCCTTTAAATATGGAAGCAAAAAAGGAAGGTCCAGTAACAATTTGACTTTGAGAAAGCAAAGGGGATGGCAGTGAAATTAGGAAGAAAAGGCAAAGAGGAAAATGGTGAAAAAACTCCTTGCAGCATGTATGTCATAATTTGGGTATCAGTGGGACTTCTGGGCAGAATGCACAAATACAACACTACAGATGGGGGGAGAAGTGGGATGGGGGACTGAAGTTGAGGAATAGAGTTTGGAGTCATCCCCCTACAAAGGGCTGTTGAAACAGGAGATGCAATTCAAAGTCTTAACAGAGCCAAGGGAGTAATTGAGCAAGCAGAGCCGTGACTGAGGGCCAGCCAGAGAGGAAATGCCCTGTCCTCAGGAGGTAGATCCACCAGGTCCGACTGAGGGTCCACACGGAAGGACACAGACCTATGAAGTTAGATCTTCTGATCTTTTTCTTTCCAAGAGAAGTCGCAGAACTTCACAAAAGTGAAGTTTATCACTGAAATACAGGTTGCCAATAATTTTCAACACCAATGGGTAAAATTCCTGGCAGGAATTCCAGAAGTCATCTGAGAAGTTATAAATGCCCTTGACCAATGAGGGTCCATCTAACTAGTGTGCTGGAAATTTTTTGACAGTCAAAAATGAAATGTATGATCAGAAAAATCACTGTTAAAGCAATAGCTGTTTCATTCTAAGCTGAAAGCAGCCAGGAGAATCTTCTTAGAAAATGTGAGTTTTCCCCTCCTCCACATTTCCCCAGCTTTTACTTGACCTTTCCCCAACATTTATTTACCTTTTTCCAAATCATCAAAACTGTCTCGTGCAACTTCAGCAATATTTATGGTTATTAAGGAGGAAACCATAATATAAGAAAGTCTTGTATTTGTTATGATTTTCTTGCAAAGAATTTCAATCACAAAAGGGAAGTAAAATGTATTCTCAGAAAATTTCTTCAAAGTGCAAAGGCTTTCTTGCAAATAATAAATATGTCTTACAAAGTTGATCATTTAAGTTGGAATTCCCAGCCGGAGAGTCAATATTTTAAAAATAAACAATAAAAACATTGAGGGAACTTAAAAAAAGATTATATTAGGTAGTGATGATCCAAATAATATGTCTTTAAATGCAGTAGGTTACAATGTTAGAAGACACAACTGTAAAGGGCTTTCCATTTATTGATTTTTTGATCCATTCCAAAGCAGATGCTTAGCATCAACCTCTAGGAGAATAAGGAACCTCAAGAGAATGCCTCATAAAGGGTTTGGAAAGTATACATTATAGTGAATGAACGAGACTTTACACATAGTAAAATGGCTTAAATAGTAGCATTAAATGCAGTGTCAGCAGTGAACTCCGTAGGATTTCCTGGGGGGCTTGCTAGTCTGACCCACTAAATCTCCCTGCACATCAAAGAAAGCAAATCGAGGAGCAAAACATGAGGGACATGAGTTATAGAGATTCCTGTGGCTAATGCAGGTTATTGCTAAGGCAATTCTGATGCTCTCAGTCTAAGAAAATAAGAGTCAAAGCTACCTGCTGCTAATTATTGCTCAGTTACTTCATACACATAAAAAACTGCTCTCTCATTTACAAATGGCAAGGGATCAAGTGGGTAAATCAAACCCACCTCTGGGTATAGGGCTCCTCCCTGTCTGATCATCTACATGTTCCACCACACACCAGCCAACTCTCGGCTTCACTCTACCCAGATTTAGGAGCAATCACAGCTCAGTCTCTCCCCAGCCCCATCCACTGCAATCAGTTGCACTTTTGCACCTCCTGCTCAGCATCCTCGGAGCAGAGTCCCATATTCAGAACTCTTTTTCCATCAGTGGCATCTCCCCTTCCTCACTCACTGTCACCCAGCTTCATTGCCAAATTCACACATCTTATCTCCCTCCACCCCCACATCATAGCCCTTGTTCTCCTGCAAACCCTCCAGCTTTACTATCACTGAACACAATCCCCATTTCACCCCTTGTCTTTCTTTGTCAAGCCAAGTTATACTCACCCCAAAACAGATGTCTCAAAGTTCAAATCAGCTACTACATTTACCCTAGACTCCATACACAAATCCCTAGAGCCTGCTACATTTTTTCAAATTTCAGCTCTCTACTACTGATTTTCCTTTTGTTCTTTGATTTACCCTTTATCCTCTGCTTAGTGTTGTCACTACAGCTCATCTCCACTTATCCTCCCAAATGTCTCAGTTTTGATCACTTTGGCTTCAGCACATCTCTGATCTAGTAAGCTGTCATTCTTTTGATCCAAACAAATGAGTCAATATAAGTAAAGAGCTAAACATTATGCCTGGCAAATACTAAATACCCAAGAAAAGTTGTTTCTCCTTCTCCTCCTCCTCCTCTTCCTTTTCTATCATTATTACCATTAGTTTACCCTGCCCACTCTTGCCCACATCACCAATTGCACCCTAATTCAATAACCATGTCATCACTCAAAGTTCACTGCAATCATTTAAAAAGTGTTACTGTGAGAATTACATGAAAGACATGGGACATTACTGATTTAATAGCAATACATTTAAAGTAAGGAAATCCAATCTGTGTTCCTAGCCATTCTAAAACACTTCAGAGCAAGTAGTAGGAGCTTCTCTATCTAAATGGGTTATAAAATGGAAGGCATGTGGGAAAAGGGATGCGACTCAAAAAAAAAAAAACTTTTTAAAAAATTAAGTGTAGTCATTTAACTCAACAGTAAAAAAAAAGAAAACTTCTCAATTTTTTCTTCTGAACATAAGAATTACATATCAAGCTGTCCCCAGCAGGCATCCCCTGCACCTTACCCACTTCCCCCAGAGGATGGGTTGGTATATGAAGACATGGTTTCTTCTCTAGTTAGGAAGTTAGTTACAGGGAAGGTCTCTCCTGCTATTCCATTATACAAATGGCTCACGGTCCTAAGTTTCTTCTTTTTTTTCTGGGACAGAGTCTTGCTCTGTCACCCAGGCTGCAGTGCAGTGGCCCGATCTCGGCTCACTGCAACCTCCACCTCCTGGGTTCAAGCGACTCTCCTGCCTCAGCCTCTCGAGTAGCTGGGACTACAGGTGGGTGCTACTGGGCCCGGCTAATTTTTGTATTTTTTGATAGAGATGGGGTTTCGCCATGTTGGCCAGGCTGGTCTTGAACTCCTGACCTCAGGTAATCCTCCTACCTGGGCCTTCGCTGGGGTTATAAGCATGAGCCACCACACCCGGCCCCTCAGTTTCAATAGAGGAAAAAATGGGGAGAGGAGGGAGGCAGGAAAACATGAGAGAAAGAAATGTGGATACTGAGGAGGGAGGAAATAAAACTAAAATCAATTTCACATCTTCTCTTGCCTTGCCAGGTTCCCCTACATCTCCTTTACATTTCTTATGTCTGCATATATCCATAGAGAAAGGAAAATGTCCAGCTTTTCTCGAACCCAACAATGAGCTCTATCACCTTCATTTTATTTCTGCACATATCATCATGGTATAGTTTGGTCCTATTTAGAACAAAGTGTCTAGCAGAGGAGATGCAAAGGGTTTAGTTCTGTTTACACAGCTGCAGAGTAACAGCACCTCCCAAAGCTTAGCTTTTGAACAATATAGATCTCTATTTCCTTTCGGTTGTCTAAGTTGGCAGCCGTTTGGGATTCCATTCCTAATGCTGGCATATGCAAATGTATTTTTAAGCTTAAAGTCAGAATCCTAGGAGGTTTAAATCACTGCCCAGCTGTTGCCAGACTTATTGAAAAAATACCCAGAAATAAGTTTTCTTTTCCTGCCTGAAAACAATTGCTCTTGTCAGCTCTTCACTATCATATATTGAACTTTTCATCTGCCACAGATACGTGTAAGAAATTTGATCTTTCACAGCCCCATTTCACCTGCTTAGTGTCTCATAAAATGCAGCTGCCTCTTTCCACTTGGATGGGAGGCCAAGGGATGATACAGACGACCACCGTGAGCCCACTTTTACAGCTATAGCTCAGTCAAAAAAAAAGAGGGTGATAGACATCTCAGGAGGGAGTTGGCCAGTGAAAGGAGGGTTATTTTCTAAATTTTTACAGCCATCAGTACACTATGAAAACAAAATTTTAAATAAAATCCACCTTATAGTAGGACGATGCTCAGGACTGTTCTACTAATACCACAGAAGAGCAGTTCTCAAACATTTTTATCTCAGTACCCTGTTATACCCTTAAAAATTATCAAGGACTTCAAAGAGCTTTAGTTTATGTTTTTATGTAGGTTATCTATTAACATTAATCATGTTAAAAATCAAAACTGATAAAACTTTAAGTATTTAATTATTTTAAAATAACAACATACATGTTATTTATTAACATTTTGTGAAAAAAACATACAATTTCCAAGACCAAAAAAAAAGTAAGATGAGTGTAATTCTTTTACATTTTCACATATCTTTTTAACATCTGGTTTAATAGAAGTCAAATGCTTTCTTATAGCTGCTTCTGCATTCAATCTGTTGTGATATGTTATTTTAGTTAAAGTATATGAAGAAAATCTGGCCTCACACAGATATGTAATCTGAAAAAGGAGGAATATTTTAACAGCCTCTTCAGGTAATTGTGGATATTCTTCACTATTATACCAAAAGTCAACAAATAGCAGTTTCTTAAAGGTTAGCGGCAATGTGAATATGAAACCATATCAATCAATGAACTTTTTGTACTCTGTTACATTAAAATCCATTGGTCTATCCTAAACGTTGAATCGATCTTTTACTCATGTATGATTTTATAATGTCATGAATAGGTTACTTGGAAAATGTAACTGGAAAATAATAAATCATGCAGACCTTCCAAATATTGACACATTATATTATATCTGAAAATCAAATTTAGTAACTTCATCGCCAATCTTTTCAGAAGTCTTTAGGTGACATAAAACTGTCAAGCTCAGGATGGCCCAAAATTCTAATTTTTGCTTGAAAGCTCAAACTTTATCATTAGCAACAAATATTGTCAGTTGTGTTCTTGAAGTGACAAACTCACACCATTGATTTTTGAGAAAATGTCTACCAAATACTGAAGTCTGAATCACCCTAGCTTGTCAGTTGTTCATGTAAAAAATAGTGTTTCTTTTTTTTTAAGGCCGCTAGTTTAGCTCACAATTCAAATTACTGTACAAATGTTTTTCCTCAAGACAACTACTTGGTTGGTAGCAGAAGGCTTTGCGTGTTCCCATTTGTCACACAATAAGACATATACCCAAGAGTAGACATTTAATGTAACTAATTTTTTTTCTGCTTTATGAAGGACATTCTTAAGTGAAGCTGAGTTATTTTTTTAAAAACTGTGCATGTAGCAGTGAAATTTGGGCCACTACTAGTACAGTTTGGTGCTACTGCCTCAAATCACGTTAGAATACCAGCAGTTTTACCCATGATTGCTTTAATATCATCATTGCAAATGTCAACACAGTAGAAAAGACAGATAACATTTTAGTGTTATTATGAAAATAGCTTTGACCTTACAGATCCCTAATGTTTCTGGGGAACCCCTAGGGGTTCCCCAGCTTAGGTTAAGTCAACTGTGACTTAACCTAATTCTGATAAGATAGAGTTGATTCTAAAGCCTACAGAGACATTTACTTGACAAAATTTTGCTAAGTGTTTATATAAATAATCTAAACAGAGGGAGTTCAGGCTTTTTTTAGGAAAAGAAATAGTGAAAGGCAGACTAACAAAATCACTCAGCATTAAACATTCAAGTTAGAGTCAAAAATTCCACAAACTATGATTTAAAAATACCTGGGAGATCTGAGTAAGACTTCTAGATACAGCATAAAGAAAACTAGAGTTAGGAGGAAAGTGAGGCCTTAAAGAAAAGACCCTATAGAGCATGGTGGCATGCGCCTGTAATCCCAGCTACTCGGGAAGGCTGAGGCAGGAGAATCACTTGAACCTGGGAGGTGGAGGTTGCAGTGAACCAAGATCGCGCCATTGCACTCCAGCCTGAGCAACAAGAGTGAAACTCCGTCAAGAAAGAAAGAAGGAAAGAAAGAGAGAGAGAGAGACCCCATAGAACAATGTGTGAAAGATTTCTCACTTGCCTAAGCCAGGTAACAGGTAAGGAAGACTAACTGAGAAGCCACTTTTCATTCCCCATTCTCCTTCTCCCCTCACTAAACACACACACACAAATGGGCGTTAGCCTGGTTGTAAAGTGAAGTAAGACAGTTGTTAATGAACTATAGATTTATGTTTGTGTGATTTTTTTTATTCCTTTGTCCTAATTTTGCTGTAGGCTGCTTTTTTTTTGGTCTTAATTATATTTAATTTTACAAGAGAAAACAAAGGGTGATTTTTACAGACCTCAATTATATCTAGTAGGCTTCTTCATATCACTGAGGAGTTTGCAAACCATCATCTTTGTTCACAGAGGCATTTTTAATTCATTTTACTTTTTTAAATTTAACTTTTATTTTTAAGTTCAGGGGTACATGTGCAGGTTTCTTATATAAATTTGTGACATGGGGGCTTGTTTTATGGATTATTTTATCCCCCAGGTATTAAGCCTAATTTCCAGTAGTTATTTTTCTTGATCCTCTCCCTACTCCCACCCTCCACCCTTCAACAGAGCCCAGTGTGTATTGCTCCCCTCTATGTGTCTATGCCTTCTCATCATTTAGCTCCCACTTACAAGTAAGAACATCTGGTATTTGGTTTCCCATTCCTGCGTTAGTTTGCTAAGGATAATGGCCTCCAGCTCCATCCATGTTTCTGCAAAGGACATGATCTCGTTCTTTTTTATGGCTGCATCATATTCCATGGCATACATATACCACATTTTCTTTATCCAGTCTACCATTAATGGGCATTTAGGTTGAGTCGCTGTCTTTGCTATTGTGAATAGCATTAATAGACTGCTTTAATAATTACAATTATACATGTTCATTTCAAAACAAGAACTTCAAGGATTATATAATCCAGTACCAGCATTTTACCCATAAATAGGGAAACAGATATAGTCATACACATTTACAACCATTAAATGGAAGAGTTAAAATGGAAATGTCAGACTTCCTCATTATTGGGCACTTTCATTAAATAATGCTTTCCTTCCAGTGTTTACTTATTCAAGATTTTACTAATTTAAATCCAAAGAAAGCTCTTAAACAAAAAGCCGTTATGATGGATGCTGATCAGTCTACTTCCGGTCCAGTCTTGCTATCCCTCTGTATCACCACCTGGTGGCATCACATGTAAATTGCATGAGAGAGCTGACACCAGAAGGAAAAGCATTCCTCTGAAATTCCCATACACCCCATCAAAGCCAATACTGGGTAGTCCCAAGCACTGCAGGAGTTTCATTTACATAGGAAGGACCTATTTGTGGCTGTAGAGAACTACTATTTTGGAGGAAAAACTATCTCAATCCATACACACAGTTGAAACATTATGTTGATTTTTCTAGGTTCCTCTCAATTTTATTCATATTGGGTAAATTCTTGACTAGGAAATTCAGAAATTTTTCTAAAATTAAGCCTTTAGTATCACTCTTGCTGAATTTGTGACATGTATTTAAGACTGTTGTGTCTACATATTGTCTCTAGTCCTATTTTCACTGTTTTATGATTCTGAGCTACCCAAATTGTACTACTTTAACTGTAACTTGAGCATTGGCAATTGCAGCACATTAAACAGGAGAGGCTCTCGAGCCCTCAGTACAGAGGCCCATTATGCTAGAGAGAAAAATCAATCCATAGGGTATCTGCCCTCTCATCTAGTTAACAGAGTAGAGATGAGAGCTCTTAAATCTTAAAGGACTCAAAAGCCACTGTCGTCTTTGCCAAAAAGTTTGGAAAATTTTTGTTTAATTTCTGACCCCTATGGTGCATTCCACCAATTTAGAGATTCAATATGCTTCTCTTTGGAAAGGAAACTGTTCCCCAATTAACAGAATCAGCCATTCATTTCTTAGAGTATCTTCCTTCAAGAAACACTCAGATGATATCAAGAGTCCTTAGGAAATGAGAATCTCAAGTAGAATCCTTGAAAGAGTATAAAACTAAAGATGGAACAGTTTGGACAACTAGAGAGCAGTATTTTGGAATTGGGTCACTGGAAATTAGGGCAGAAGAGGAACCGGAAAACAGAATCAGAAGAAAGGAGATGGGAGCCCTCTAGGCACTGTCACAAGGATAACTACATGAAGAAAGAAGTAAGGACTTGCAACAGGATCCTCAGGAAACACACAACCTTAGGTCAAAACAGATAGGAAAGATAAATCGTATACTTAGGCCAAGTATCAGGCAAAGAAGCCAAACAAAGAAAGCTACCATGACTGCACTTTATATAACAGGAAATTATGCATCTGTGCGCCTAGAGGTTCTAAAACATTCATTGAGTAGAAAGGAGCTGCTCCATCTCAAGCGGCACTCCCAAGGAGCACATAGAAAGGGGTGGATCCTCCATAGAGCATCACACAGCTTCCTTTGGAACTCACACGGTGGCTCTTCAGCATCACATTGGGCACATAGTAGGCACTGAGTAAACATTGCCTGTTACGTAAACGAGTTAAAGATGGCCCCTGGACATTGGTCCCTATGCTGTTTACTTCTTCACAGCAGGCTGGGACCATTAGCTCATAACCCACTGGCATAAAACACAAATTCTCACACATCCAATTGGTTAAAATAGAGTTCAAATAAGCATATTTTTAGCCATTTAGACTCTGTGTGCAACCAACATCTGCTAGCCATAGATAATACAAACCCTGTGGCTATAGAAATAATTCTAAACTGCTGTTGCTCTTTGGAACTCTCTGACCCAGAGACTCCCCACCTTGCAGCTGAGCAACATCACCTAGACCTATAGGCCGCAACTTCCATTCCCTTCTGCCCTGGGAGTTCCCTTTTCCTCTTCCACTTCTGGGTGGTGGCCTCATGCTGCTGTCTTTGGGAGGTCTGCCACGAGAGACTTCCTCTCATCCAGTCCTGTCCAAGTACCACCCAATAAAGCTGTTTTGTAATGCTGCCATCTTGTCTTTTCCTTGGTCAGCCCCAAATCCTCGAACTCACCACACCCCACAACCAATTTTCAAGTCCTCCCAATTTGACCACCTAATATTTACCAGCTTGCCCTCTCTGATCCATGTCCTTTCACATTGCATGAGGCCAGTCTTCATCATTGCTTCTGACAATTGCAATACTCTCCTAACTCATCTTCCTCTGCTAAACTTGCGCCCTGATGATACGTCCTCCACGCAATATCAGGGTGAGCTTTCTATCACCAAATCTGATGGTAGTGTACCCATCAGATTTGGGTGACAGAACACTGTTTAAAACACTGTTAGAAAATATGTCCCAACTCCTTACCATGGGCACATGAGATGCTCTTATTTCCCACCTCTCCATCCATATATCCTTCCACTCCCTAGTTCACAATTTACTGGCGCATACCAAGTGGTTTTTTTTTGCCTTTGTACCTTTGCAAATTCCAGAAATGTTATTCTCACCATGTTTAACCTGATGCCCCCTATTCATCTTTCTGTCTCAACTCAATCACATCCCCTCCAGAAAGCCTTCCTAGGGCATCCAGTGTGGAGGAGGAAAAATATCTTTTCCTTCTACTTATCTTAGGTTCATTGGCTGAGACTCCTGTAATGAAAGACAGATTAGAAGGAGAAAATCATACAAATTTATTTAATGTAAGTTTTACATGGTATGGGAGGCTTCATAAGGAAATGAAGACCCAAAGAAACAGTTAAACCTGAATGCTTTCGTAGTAGGCTTCATGAAGAATGAAGAGTTGTGGGGAAAACATTGACTGGCCAAAACAAGTATTATCTAAGAGTAGCAACTAGGGGAAGCATAGCCTGGCCTCTTCATTCAGATTCCTCTCTGTATCCTGTGTTTTCAGAGATAAGGATGCACCCTCCCTCTCACATGAGGGTCCTTTGACTTGCTTCAGAGAAGGGGAGGGGACGGTCAGAGAGACCTTCCTGCACATGCCATTTCTCAAGTTCCTTCAGCTTAAAATATTCAATATGCCAAGGTGCCTTATTTTGGGGTACCATGTCTAAATCCCAGCACAAGACTGGATCATGCACCCCTCACCGGTGCTGTTAGAGTACCCTGCACGTAGTTCTGCTGGAACATGTACCATAGTGCATGACTACACTCTGTTAATGTGATTCTTCTCCTCCTGTTAGACTTAAAGCTCTTAAGACAGGGGCCATGTCTAATTTACTTCTGTACCTTAGTGCCTAGCACTGAGTGCTCAATAAATGTCTCTTGAATTGCTAAACAACTATTGGAGACATTATGTCCATATTGTGCATATTTTCACTAAAATTTTGAGAACTTTCCAATCATCAATAAATTGACTCAGCATTCTATGCTTTTAAAGGACGAAAATCAGAGAAATTTTTCCTCATTATGCAACAAATCTTTCTTCCCATAGGGAATGGCGGGGGAGAGTCATTGTCTCACTCATTAGTACAAATGTGCAACAAACACATACTCCTAACATTGTCTCATCCATTCAACTATCTTTTACTAAATCACTACCATTATATATCTATTGATATAATTTTTCCTGCCTGATTTACATTTTTAATCTCTGTTTTCCGACTCTAAAAGGATGATTTAGCAAAATCCATTAATTTATAATTGACAATCTCTATTGATTATCTCAACGAATAAATTCAGCAGTCTTGAATTTATTGCCCCAAATTCCTTGAGGATAAATTATCATGTTGATGGCTGGGCTTTCTCTTTAACAGTGATGTAAAAATAATCTATGCTTTAGAACAGAGCCATCTATTGCGCTTGGAGCTGTTTTCTCTGAGTTGCTAAGATGATAAATGAACATGTCTAAAAATAAACTACTCTCAGGTAACCTGGCAGACTGATCTTTAAAATAACTGATAACAAGCAAATCTTTAGATATGACTAGCTTTAGCTTTGACTCTGAGTCCTTGGCCTGCTGTATGATAAAGGAGCCAGATTCTCTGTGCAACAAAGTTAAATCAAGACAACATGGGCCAGTAGGCCTGCCTGAAATGGGCACTCTCTCTCGATAGAGGATGCAGGCAAATTTAAGCCATCCAGCTGTTTTTGCAACCCCCAAGTGAGCACAAATTTAAACTATCATATTAAAGGAAATTTCTATCAAGATACATTAATCACAATGAAGGAATAATTTTAATTTCAATAATAAATTTAAATATTATTTAATTCAGATAATAAAGTAAAATTAGATTTTCCTAAAATAGATCAGCATTACACATGCTCACAAAAAATCAATTTATTCTAATCTTCTAAAACTATAAATTAAGAATATCTTCACATCTTAAGACCACTTAATTCTCTCTCAAATTTACTACAAAATACGTATGAATTTGTAATTAAGCCTACCTAATTTTAAGGACCACCAATCCCTGTTGGGGTCATGATGAGTGGAAAAGCACATGCAGAGAAGAGGCCTCTAAGGTAATACTCTATCCTCACAACCAAAGCAAACAACTTTGGCATGTGAAGATCCAGGATTCAAACCCAAATTCTCCACAGCACATGCTCTCAGCCACTTAGCCACTGCATAAGCCTGTAGTTGTGTTTTTTTGCATCTTCTCTTGCCCCACTCTGTTGGCCATATCATCTCTATTGATTTATTCTACTTATCTTGTATTCTTTCTTCGCCATAGTCACCCACTTTATGTCAGCAGTTTTCCTTCTAATGTTTGTTCAACAGATGATAAAGAATATAACAGCTGAGGAAAACACAGAGTTACTAAAGATTCCATAAGTCCATGTAGTCTGTGGTTACCACCTTGCTCACAAGAAAGCAGTGAAAGAAAGTTTCCAAAAAGTAGGTTGACTCAACAAATCAGAATGGAGGAAGACCAGACCTGAGGAAAGCACAGGTGAGTGGTGCTCCCAGGCAGAGGGGGAAGCATGGACAAAGGTGGGAGGTAAGAAGAATGACCAGTTTGTGGGACAAGTAATGAGATATGGATGGAACAGTGAGTACAAAATGGGGTGGAGGAAGACGCAAATGGAAAGGCAGTCAGAGACCAGATTCCAAAGACTGAGTGAGCAACCATCTTAGTTTGCACATAAATAAAGAGGTACACAGGACACAGGATGTACAGTGCTAGAACCAGGAAAGTCCCAGGCAAACCTGGCCAAATTGGTCACCCTATAGCCAAAAGTTGGCTATGCCATGCTTTAAGGGGGTCTGAACTTCTCTGTACGCAGAAGGGAAACACAGAAGGATCTGAGCAAGCACAAGACAAGATAATTAATTCCTAGTGTGTAATTCACTCTACATCAGCCTTTTAAAACATGGGTTGCAACCCACTGGTGAGTTACAAAATCAAGTCAGTGGTCACAGGCAGCCATTTCTGTGATGTAACAGCTTAGAATTATTAGAATGTACTGCACATGGTAAGAAACTTGTTTTGGACACACATACATACATTTACTGTTACATACACATATTATTTATAATTGTTACTTGCAGTTAAACTTTTGAAATATATTGAGCTACATCAATTCTTAAACTGAAAAATTTTTAATTCTAAATTTATCTCTACCTTTATCCTTTCTCAGCCAACATTTTGCATGTCATGACACCCACAGATCATGATGACATTTGCAAGGTATGTTAGGGTGAACAGAGAAAGGTGTTCACTACCACAGGAGACTTACCAGGCTCTGATTACCTTGAGTGCTGCCAAGAAATTAACATTGGGTATACATGGAACCTGTAATGTATTCACAGAGCACTGGCAGGAAAACTGTATCACAGAATGACCAAAGCAAACTCCACTCTATTTGTTTAAATCTACCAGACGATTAAAGAGAAAAAAACATAAAATAAGTCCCTCAATACTCCAAAGTACAAACACATCAAAGTGGGTGTTCTCGAAAGATTAATCAACTTTTCCAGCTACCTTACTATGCAGATAAGAGTGTAGAAAATCAATACTGCCTGAAATGCAGGACCATCACATATTCCCTGCAGACCATGTCAACACAAATGCTAAATGCCGCTCTTGGATTTGGATATTTGCTATTTGCCCCATCAGCACAACCTTTATATTCCTTTTAGAAAGCAAATACCCATCTGAAAAGCTTGGCTGCAAATTCCCTACCCTGGCCCAGCACACAGCATTTTGTACACGAATGGATAACTCAGTGGTATGAAGCAGCATTCAGAGCAGATTTCTCAACCAGTTCTAAAAGGCTTAAACCCTTCTGATACTCATGTGTATTTTTTTAAATTCAAGACTTTTTAAAAAATGTAGCTAGAGTCGGTTTCAACCATCTGTCACTTTGAGTGAAAATAGGATGCAGGCATGTATACATTAGCTTTTAAAGAAAACCAATTCTGGAAGAAAGAATTAAAATGGAGGAAGAATTATATCTAAATTTTCAAGACCATGCATGCTAAGGGGTCACAAAATATCCAAAGTATGTAATAATTTACATGAATACATCTGCCTCCTTTTCTACCTGTCAGGTTGCCCCATATTCCAGAACATTCCTTTATTGAATGGTACTGCAATTATACCTTTCCCACCCAATCACAGCCTTGGGAAGTAGCAGAGTGGAGACATAAAAGCTATTTCTCCACCACCACATAATTAGTGGTAATCAACTGCAAAACCTATTACAATAGAAGGAGAACAGAGTCTTAAACCATACAAAAACGGGGATGAAGTTTTCAGGTTTTCCCCAGTGTGTGCCGCGAAAAGGTGTCCCGACCAACTGACATCGCCCTGACCAACTCACATCACCCTTCCTGTGTGTCTGGTAGGAGAGTCACCTCAATGGCGCCAGCACACCACCTGGAAGCACTAGCTGTGACAAATGTTCCCTGGACTCTGGCTTCATGTGCATCCAGCTTTTGATCTTCCCCACTTCAAAGGCAACTGCTTCCAGCTACTCAGGCCAAAAGTCTTGGAGCCATCTCTGATTTCCCTTTCCATCAAACCCACATCCAATCTATCAGCAAATTATCTCTTCCTTCCAAACATTTCCAGGATCTGTCCACTTTTCACCACCTCCCCTGCTATCACCCTGTCAAAGCCACCATCATCTGTCATCCATATTTCTGCAGAAGCCCCCTAATGGGTCTTCTCATTTCTATCTTTGGCCTCCCTTGCAGCCCATTCCCACACAGCTGCTATAGTAATGCATTAAAACACAAGTCAAGTCATGTCACTTCTCTGCAAAAAGTTCTCCAATGGCTCCCATTTCAGAGTAAAAGCCAAATTCCTTGTAATAGCCTCCATGGCCCTACACAACACAACCCTATCACTTTCCTGATCTCATCCCCAGACATTCTGGCCTACTAACTGTTCCTCAAACACATCAGGTACACACCCACCTCAGGGTCTTTGCACCTCCTATTCCCTCTGCCTGTTACGCATTTTCCCCTACATATCTGAATGGCTTGCTTCTTCAAGACTTAGTCCAAATTTCATCTCATTGAGGTCTTACTTGACCATTCTATTTAAAATGCAAACTATTCCCCACCCACTGTCCCTGCATTGCCATCTTCTCTGCTGCCTTAAGTTTTTCTTCATTATATATATTAGACTTAACATTTCAGTATTTTTTGTTGTTTGTCTCTCCTTTTAGACGTTAACCTCCAATGAAGGCATAGATTTTGTCCATATTGTTCACCGATGTATTGGCAATACTTAGGATAGTGACTGGTCAGAGTAGATAATATTTGTTGAATGAATGAATAAATATGGCTGCAAAAAATGTGTCTGAGTGAACTCCTTTCCCTGTTCCTAGCCTTATGTACTATAAAAAGTGTCAACGCTCCATTGGTTTTAGGATTCCCCTAGATCTGTTTCCCCACCCTCCCTCTCAACCCTTTTGCTTTGTTTTGGTGCCCTCAATTGCCATATTATTGCCACACCTAGATTCTGCCTCCCTTCCCAGTCCTTTTGAATGTATTAACATAATTGGACCACCAGCTTGATTTTTCAATGCCCAGGTTGCCTCTAGACTCAGCCTTTAAGATTATCCTTAATAACCTCACACTAGTCCTGTCCCAGCCATGCCTAGCCCAAACCAAGGGCCCAGAAACTCAAGTTCTCAGCAGAGTTCAGAATACTGACCTATAAGCAAGGGCACTGTGATCCAGTGGGAAGTTAGGTTTCTCTTGGCAAAGTTAGTAAGTTGGCATTTTATGTTGGGGACCTAACATATAACATATACTTACATTGGGTTGCATGTTTACCCATCAGTAAGTTGCTAGAGAATGTGGGCTACCTAAGAACAATCTAACATCTAGACACTCAAAAGTAAGATTCAGACCTTAATTCTGCCCATCTGTATAGCTAACTGCTGGTCCTGATCAGCTGCAGTATGATAGCTGACTACAGGTAAGAATGTTGATGCTCAAGAGTGTCACCGGGTTATTTTCAGCACGAGTGTGTACCCACACACATGTCCATATACAGTCACATAACCCCAAACTCCTTTAGCAGATCAGAGCGCATTTCTCCCCACTGCTCCAGTCCCTGCTACACTGTGACACTTTGCAGGAATGGAGTGGTGGGGCCAAGGGGAAGGAGGATGGGATAATTTACCTTGATGGAAGGAAATGGGAGACTACCTTGGGTTTCTGAGCAAGGTCCTCCATATGTTTCTAAAGCAGGGAGAAGCACACTAATCAACCAAAATTTTTAATTTGCTAAGAGTCAGGAAGCCTAAGTAGTTGGCTCCACGATGCTAAATTTATCTTTATGTTAATTCGGTATAATGAGTCTTTTTACTGAGCCCCTACAAAGCACACAGTGCTGTTCTGGGTACTGTGGGACTTACACAAATGATCAACATAGAGTCTGTCTCAAAAAGCATGTAATATGGGAGGGTCTGAAAACACTAACAACATTGCAGGTGAAATGGGATACATGCATGACAAAGGTATAACGTACTAAAGAGTGCTTGCAAGAGCTGGAGCACAGAGGGGGCTTCCTAAAGGAGGAGCAGTGAGAGCCAGACATTGACATGCGAGTAGGATGCGAACTGGGGATCATTTCCTATGGAAGTGGCCGATGTTTGGGGAATAGCACAGTTCAATGGGACTGTAGCATATGGTCAAATGGGTTTGAGGTGGCAGGGCGCAATGGGGAACAAGTTGGAAAGGGGAATGTTTGGTGCCACACTCTCAGGACATAACTGACCCAGGGCTATTTTTTTCTGCCCTTTGGTCCTGCCCTGCTTCAGAAGAAAGTTATTTATTTTTAGAACATGTAAGAGTCTTGAAAAAATATCAAGAATTTCCATGTTAAACCAATTCAGTCTATTCAAATGTGCTAATCAAGGCAAACTACTGGAATTAACACTTTTCTTACATATCACACTTTTGCTGTATAGAATGAGTGAGAAATTAAGTGTTCAAAATAGATACCTTAGCATTTGCAATACATACATTCTTTGCATAAGATATGCATTCAGGGTGAGAACTCCATACCCCTAGTAATCTCTCCATTTTCTGTTCCTCATACTGTTATATATAATATATATATATATATATATATATATATATATATATATATATACACATACACACATATATATACATACACACATATATATATACATACACACACATATATATACAACAGTGTATATATATAAAGTTGCAATGAAGGCATAGATTTTGTTAATTATATACAATATATATGTATATGGTATTGGGGGTTTCTGGCACATACCTTTGAAATGGCATATTTGTCTACTCTCTGTTTTTGGGAAGGAGGATCAGATTATAAAAACCGTCAGAGTACATTAGGAGATTACTGAGTGAATGAATGAATAAAGGATTTGGTGAAAGAATGAGCCATTAAATGCATGGTGGCTTGGTCAAGTTGGAATTAAGTTAGCAACATTTCTTGGTTTTTGCTTGTTTGTTTGTTTGTTTGAGATAGAGTCTCACTGTGTCGCCCAGGCTGGAGTGCAATGGCGCAATCTTGGCTCACTGCAACCTCCGCCTTCCAGACTCAAGTGATCATCCCACCTCAGCCTCCTAAGTAGCTGGGACCACAGATGCGCACCACCATGCCTGGCTAATTTTTTGTATTTTTTGGTAGAGACGGGGTTTTACCATGTTGTCCAGGCTGGTCTCGAACTCCTGAACTCAAGCAATCTACCTGCCTCAGCCTGGGATTACAGGCATGAGCCACTGCTCCAGACCTCTTATTTGTTTTTAATGGCTGTCACAGGCTGTTAAACTCCCTGAAGTTACTATAGCATTCCCATTGTCTGGCAGGAGGAATTTATAAATGTTTTTTGAAGGCACAAATGAATGAATGTTACAATTTAAACAGTCCCATGGGAAAGGAAATAGGCAAAAGTTGTTACATTTTCCCAATTTGGCACCTGCCCCCTTGTTTATGCTGGCCCCAAGTGAATGGCAGAACCTGGCCAAAAGAAAGAATAATACAAAGTTCTGTCTCATTACAAAGGATCAGAGATTCTTAAATTTTGAGGAAAATTATGTAGAAATTACCAGAGCTTCTCTGACCTCTCACTGATAAGTCTGTTTACAGACAATGTTCACAGGAGGTGACATGCTTGAACTTCCCTAGGCATTGGGAACTCCCTACCTCACAGACAGCCCAGCCCATTTTTTGAACAGCTTGAACCAATCAAAGGTTCTCTATTACATGGATATTAACTCTGTTTTTCACAACAAGTTTGGGCTACAGCAGGTAAGTGTCCTCATAACTATTTGCCAAAGACAGAGTCTTCATGCCCACCCCTTCACCAGTTTACAGCCCACAAGCTCTGCAGCATCACCTCAAGTTGCCCCCACTTTGCATTCAAGGAGTGGGTGGGAGAGGCAAAGAAAAAACAGAGGGGAGAGAAGGTGAGCATCTACCAAGATGAGCTTCACGGACTCCCCTCCATCGTACCCAGACTCTAGCTCGTCAGTCCTTTGCTACGGCACTGGCCCCAAGCACATGGACATTTTAACATTCTGGAATCAAACAAGCAGAATGCCTCCATGATTCAGTCACAATTCATTTATACCACATTAAATTTTAATTTAATTTAACATGACTTTGAAGTGCTGGGGTGGGAACAGGGGAGTTAGGAAATGTACCCCCGATAGACCTGAATTACCAGATCTATCAGAATAGAAGCCAGATTGACACTCTAGAGCTCTCTAGACCAGGGAAAATACTGACTGAACATCTGACCCTGAAACACTCCCACGATCCTAATTCAGGAAGGGAAGTCTTCCAGAATCCCAGGAATTACTAAGCCCACATCCATTTGGGGCCCAGACACACAAGACGTGGTACATTTCAGGAAGTCAATGTTTGTACTAAGCATTTCAAAATGATCCAAGGGGAAAAAATTAAATCCTGTAAGAAATGGAAAATTAAGTGGGATTTATTCTTTCAAACCACAGCACAACACTAGGAAGTAGATACTATTATTATGAATCCTGTTTTACAGATGAAGAAAATTAGGTACAGGCAAGCAAAGTTAACTTGTCAAGATTGCATAGCTAGTAAATGGTGAAACTCAGCTTCGAATCTTATTTCCAGAGGTCATGCTTTTATACTACCTCTTAATCATAATCACATTTTTTCTGTTATCAAATCAGGTCCAAAAACAAAAGAGGAGGATGAAGGTAAAACATTAATTGAAATGTTTTTGTCTGTGTAACACTGATGTCTGGTCAGTCTGCAAATTGAAAGAAGTGATTATTCACTTAATTATTAATCACTACCCTTCTTTGAATCCACATTGTACTTTGTTATATCTCTGAGGCATTTATCCCATTTTAACATATGTGATAATCATTTGATATCTGATAACATATAACCACATTGTAGGTAATAAATTATTCTATTTTCCCTCTATTAGACATTGGCCCCTACGATCTGTAACTTTTTCATTTTCATGTGCCCACCAAGCACTCAGTCTCACTCATGGCTGGCATTCCATAAGTTCTAAATGAATATTCTTGACTAGAATTGAACAACTACGGAAGGAAGCTAATTTGCACCCCATATGTATTTCTTTTATTCATTATCAGTAAAATTTATATTTGTAAGCTCAGTTTTCTGGGAACCTGTTATTCCTTATGATGCTAAAATCATGCAAATGCATTTTATATTTTAATGGGCATTCATTCAGGTGTTAGTGATATGGACAGGAGGCAAGGAAATACTGGGTAGAAGAGGGTGGTTCCCAGCAAACGCTCCACCCTCAAGCCTGGAAACCAACGGCCCTAAATGGGAACAGGCATTTCTGTTTTCATGCCCAAATGTCGCCTTTTCTAAAACCACTCTGGTCTGCCATGCCCCCATCCTGTACCCACAAAAACCCCAAACCTCAGGCTCCATGAGCAGAAGAGTGGCAGAGTGGCAGAGAGGAGCACCAGAGAAGGATAGAAGAGAAGGGACATCTGAACATCGAGAGGAGTTCGGCTGGGGAAGGTCAGAGAGCTGACTGGCCACAGGATGGCTGAACTCCAGGGGCAGATCATCTTCCCACTCCATCCCCTTTCCAGCTCCCCATTCATCCCACTGAGAGCAACCTCCACCACTCAATAAAACCACTATGTTCACCATCCTTCAAGTCCATGTGTGACCTGATTCTTCCTGGATGCCGGACAAGTATGCAGGTACCAAGAGGACAGGGTTAAAAGGCTGTCACCTTATCTCTGCACAAGCTGGTTTAATACTTAGCCATCTACGGACAATAACTGCTAAAAGAGCATTAATTACAATGCATCCCTCGATGCTACCATGGGGCTGGGGCCCAAAAGTGCTCATTCTGGCTCCTGCACCTGCCTGTCTGCATGCTCCCCATCCCATACAGGGTTTGAGCATGCAGTGGCTGAGCAAATGAGCAACACCTCTATTGCAAGTCCCACAAATGGCTCAGGGAACTCTCCCAATTAACTTGTAGAGTTGGTGGCTGAAACCACTACATATGTGGTTACATATCAGTCAGTGTCCCTAGGGGTGCCCCATAGAGACTGTAGTTATTAGCAGGAATAGGCAGACTTCATGGAAGTCCTTCCCTTCCATAGTCATTTGAGTTTATTACGAAAATTCCAGTTCCCTTCCCATAGGACTACACTTAAGGATGCCACTGTAGTCAGGAATGGCCACACAACTGCTTTTGGCTCATGAAACATGAGTAGAGGTGTCATATGTCACTTCCAGGAGGTTTAATATGCAGTATGCAATTTACCACAGGGATTGTAAAAGTATATATCAAGAGGAAGCCTCATGCAGCATGGGCCTCTGAGTGAACATGGTGAACACAGACCCTTGTTGACCCACACTGGACATGTAACGTGGCCAAGAAAATTTTTTTGTTGTGTTGGTCCACTGAGGTTGGCAGTTATTTTTTGTTGCATCATGACACAGCCTAGCCTGATCAAATTCACTCCAATGAGTCGGAATTCTGGTTACTTTTCACCTTCCCTGACAGCGTTGACATCTTCAAGCACCCCTCCTTTACCATCCCCATCTTAAAGTGCTATGGAATGCCCCGTGAGGAGGGTGTAAAGAATAAGAAAGTACTAAATGTCATTATTAACCACACAGTCTCCAGAGCATGTGCCCTGGTTAAAGCAACTTTCTGTATTTTCCTCCAGGAAGTTTAGAAAACACTTTTTCCATGTGCTGCCCAGATCTGCCTTTCCAGCATTTGGGAAGGTAGCGGTGGTGTTGACAGTGTTATAGGGTGATGTTTCCAGTACCCTGACCCATCGTCAAAAATGAACTTTTGCCCAATTTACTGAGAAAAATGGCTCAGTCAGGGCAGACTATACCAGGGAAAGGGAGCACTCAAAGATAGTATATCTTCCTCCTCCTCGACAATAGTTTTGTAACCAACTTTTCTATCTACTTTAAGGTCTCTAATTTATTGTCTTAGAATTTTTTGAACTCACATTTCTTCATTTTTAAAAACAAGGGATACTCAAGGAAAATGAGCACAGTTCCCCTGGCTTTAAATTCTCTGGCATAAGATATGGGATTTCACCCTTGCTTGATATGCCAATTACTTTTCAGCAGCATTTGACAAATATTAAAAAGCTTAAAATAGGAGGCAAGAAAATGTGTAAATATTCAAAACCCCAAATCTGGCCTTTTACAGTGTCCCTGGGTGGTCCATATTTGCATTGGGAGATTTAGTTTGGCATTTTTAACTTACCCAAATAGATTCTCATTTTCCTCTGAGCCTGAAGGCATTCAAAGAGGGAGGATCCTCTTTCCAAATCAGCTGTAACCTATACCTTCTGAAAGTGAACAAAGTCACACTTTTCAAGGAAGCCGGCAGAGAAGGTTTTTTTTTTTGTTGTTGTTATTCTTTCTTCCACAAAATACACACCAATTCCCACAACCTCTTGCTATATTGATACTAACGGGCAGATGGTGAAACAGTAGACGCACGGTCGTTTTAAAAGGGAACATTGTGTCAAAACACACATTCCCCACAGGGCCTGCTTCCTTTTCCATCATCCAAACCCACCAACTGACATTCCACAAGTTGGTTCTGAGACAGAGTCTCAGGGTCATCCCCTGCACTCAGGCTCATTTTAACATTCAACAACTTGATAAACATTTAAAGACTTCCACATGGTGTGCTGTAGGATCTAAAACTGCATTCAGAAAGAGAGGACTTCTTTCCATTACAATTAGTGAAGTCTTCATCTTGACAAAGAAATGGGTACTATTTCAGGTCAGAGTAAACAATCTAGCATGTATTCTAAAAGGGAAAGTGAGGCCGGGCGTGGTGGCTCACACCTGTAATCCCAGCACTTTGGGAGGCTGAGGCAGGCGGATCACGAGGTCAGGAGATCGAGACCATCCTGGCTAACATGGTGAAACCCCGTCTCTACTAAAAATACAAAAAAAAAAAAAAAAATTAGCCGGGTGTGGTGGTGGGCGCCTGTAGTCCCAGCTACTCGGGAGGCTGAGGCAGGAGAATAGCATGAACCCTGGAGGCAGAGCTTGCAGTGAGCCAAGATCATGCCACTGCACTCCAGCCTGGGCGACAGAGACTCCGTCTCAAAAGGAAAAAAAAAAAGTGGGGGAAGTGATTAAGTGATTGTAGGCAAAGGATGTATAACATTGTGTCATCATTTATTCATTAGAATGAATGAATATTTCATTTATTCAATGAAAATATACTCATTACTTCGCTTCACTTTGGACATTAGAATAAAATATAAACCTGGTAAGGAATCAAAATGTCCCTTCTACCAGAAAGAAGCCAATGTACTGGACTGCTCATCGGACAGTGTCAGACCAAAGCCAGACGAAAAGGATTAGCCTAAGGGGTTCAAAAAGGAAAACACCAGATTCAAACCATGCTGCCCGTCATTTCTTCAATGAAATATTGTCCTCCTCAAGACTCCCCTTCCCCCAGCAGAAATGCTCTGCATGATCCTGATTCAGGAAAGCAAGACTTCCAGGATTCTAGGTATTACCAAGCACACATTCATCTTGGGCACAGACACAAAATGGGCGCTACATTTCAGGAAGTGAATGTTTTTACTAAACACATTAAAATGCTCCAAGGGGAAAAAGAACTCAGTCTTATAAGAAAAGGAAAATTAAGTAGGATTTATTCTGGCTAATATTTCAGGTCAACAAAAGCTTGTTGAGTATTCACCATGAGTAAGGTTCTCTGCTGGAAGACACAATGATGTCTGAAGGAGCCTAAAGTCTAGGAGAAATACGAACGTCAATGAGTAAATTCAAATCAAGACAATTTTTTGTTATAAAAAAACAAAGCATACCTTTGGTTCAAAGGAAGGCAAGATCACACACATCCCAGATAAACTAGAGAGTGACATAATTGCTGTTTGATCGTAAAAAGAATTATGGTATTTAGCATGTACCATGACTGGGGCCTGTACACTGATTGTCTGCAATCCTCACAATAACTTTGCAAGCCAGGCATCATTTTCCCCATTTTACAGACGAAGAAACTGAGGCTCACACAGTCAGTAAGTGGGATATCTGATCTCTTCTTCTCATTACTTTATCATGCCTCCTAGATGCTCTTAGATGTTGTGCTTTTTACTATCTTGTAAAGACAAAAAAATTGACTTAAATTATTTAAACAGGGAAGATTTCAATGAGAAAACTAGAACTTCTAAAGCAGAGTTTCATAATTTCGGCATCATTGACATTTTGGGTCAGATAATTCTTTGTTGTGGAAGCTGTCTTGTGCTTTGTGGCATGTTCAGCAGCAGTCCCAACCTCTACCCACTAGATGCCAGCCCTTTTCCCCAATTGAGATAATAAAAAATGTCTCCAGACATTGTCAAATGTCCCCTGGAGAAGACAATTGCTCCTGGCTAAGAACAACTGATCTAAAAACTTGCTGGGGTCAGGTGCAATGGCTCACACCTGTAATCCCAACACTTAGGAGGCTGAGGCAGAAGGACTGCTGGAAGCCACAAGTTCAAGACCAGCCTGGGCAACACAGCAAGACTCCATCCCTATGAAAAAAAAAATTTTTTAACCAGCTGGTGTGGTGGGACATGCCTGTAGTCCCAGTTACTTGGAAGGATGAGTTGGGAGAACTGCTTGAGCCCAGGAGTTGGAGTTGCAGTGAGTTATGATCATGCCACTGCTCTCCAGCCTAAGCAACAGAGTAAGACCCTGTTTGTAAATAAATAAATAAATAAATAAATAAAACTAAAAAGAAAAGAAAGCACTGGAATTAGCCCATCTTGTACTGAAAATCATTAAATAGAAGAAAGATAAAAGACAGCTATTCCCAGTCACCACTACTTGAGAGCAGAAAATGGGACCAGCCTCTGTGCAGCTCCTTCTGGCCCTACTCACCTCTAATTTGAGTCCCATACACAAAAGGCAATGGGCCTGACTGCCAGTAGCTGTGCCACACTGACCCATAACACACAGCACCTGTGCTAGATAAATGTGCAATCTTCAAACTGGCATTTGCATACCCCTGGCCTCCACAGTGGCTTTCTAAAGAGCCTGCAGGCAAGGGAAAAGTTAATGGCATTAATTTCCAGATCCGCAGCTTTTGCCTGTATGTTTTCCTAAAACTATCTACCGGAGAATGTGCCTGTGGTTGTAGAATTATTCGGGGCCCCTTTTTCCATCTCCATTTTCACAAAATGCCTTCTGCCATATAAGGTTAAAGACAAATATAAACTAAACAAACAAACAAAACCCCAAGAAATCCCAAATTTTACTGTGGTGCTTAACTGCAAGATATAAAAACATCCCTTTGTGAAAAGAGCTTCTTCACATACATTTTAAATTGAAGTTGGTATTTAGATTTTAATTGGATTCAAAGAATGATGTCACGGTTTTATTTTTAACTGTCAAAGTTTACAACATTCTGAAAATCACATTAATTGTGATTCTATAAATTTATGATGAAAAGCATTAGATGTAACCTTAAATGTGTGGAGGTGATGGAGCTGCAGAATTTTTAAAAAATTCTTGAGGGATTATAAAAGAGAAAAAAAAATGTTGGAAGAGCACTGAGTTAAAGCATAATGAAGCACACTGGAACGGTTACCAGGCAGGTCTGTTGATCAAGTACAATCGTCCTCTATAGTGCTTGAGATTCATTATTTTTATTATGAATACCCTCAACTCTGACCGAAATTTCTGCTTTGTGTGTTTGCCACATTGATGGCATTAGCTGTTCTGAACCCCCAAAATGAAACAGTGGGTTGTTCTATGCGATCATAGCAAGAATATAGGTAAGCGGAAAACTGTTAGCGCTTAAATAATAATTTGGAAGCAAGAACAGCTGCTAAAGAGGATTTCAAGACCAGTATGAACTGAAAACTAAAGAGCACGTAAGTCATCTGGTAAGTAGTGCCCCTCCCAGGATTTAGAAGCAAGTCAGTGTTCCGGATCATGACACAGCTGCTGTATCAGGGAAGCCTCAGAGGACAGAACAGCCTTAAAGTAAATTCATCTTTGCAGTGAATAAAGTTTTGATTTACAGTTACCCCTGCAAGATAGTTTTCAGGCTGTGTTAGGTGGGGGCTGCTGTGCATTTGGTACTCGGCAAGACACCTGGCGATGGGGGAAGCAAAAGTGTGGAGTTTCAACTCACCTTAAGTTAAAGCAGGGCTTGCTTTTCTTCTGCCACTCTGGGAGACATACAACTTGTTGTTGTTCCTTTGATAATATTTTAGGCTTTTCCTATCAGTGTGTGAACATATTTCTTGAGGGACTCTTAGTCCTGCCACAATAAAAAGCTACACTAAACAATACTTTTTTTGGTGTCCCACACAGGCAGAGAAACTATGAGCTATGGTAGGAAGAGAAGAAACAGACTTTGGAATCAGGCCCACCTGCATTTCAAATCCAGCCCTTCCACTATCTGGCTCCATATGGCCTTGACCAAGTGACTTAATCCCTCCAAGCATCTCCTTGTTTGTCAAAGAAAGAGAAAAATGTCCACCTTACAGGGATGTTGGGATGATTCAATGAACTAACACATCTATAAAGCACTGATTATGCACAGGGGAGATTCTCAATGAATGACAAGCCAAGCTAGGACTGCCTGCCACGCCTGGAGGCCTGACTCAGTTGCAGGCCTGACTCAGTGTCAGTTGATGTTTGCTATACCTGCCACCTGGACTCCTGGTGAAATGCCACAAAAATGTCCTGATAGCCAAGAACATTTTATTTTTGGCTGCCACTGGTAGGATAGCTTGGCTTTGTCTTCGATACATTTCAGCAGAGTGACCTCTGCTCCTCTCCCCTTTTTTAAACAGCATATGTAAACCAGTGATTCTTCCTGTATTTTTAGTTAGCAATATCCCCATTTTTTCCCTAGAAAACTACATTTATGCACAAATGCATGAAAATTTGCCTCAATTTTAGTGGGTTCAATGACCATCTGAAAACCATTCGTATGCCTCCCTTTTACAGTATCTATGGGTTTTTGTTTAAGAAGGTTCCTCCAACAAAGAATCAAGGATGTTTTATGAATATGTGAGCTCATGAGGATTAGCACCTAGGCAGAGGTATCTATGTTACGATGGAAACTTCACTCTGAGATTCTGGGGCCAGGCCTCACTCAGAGAGGAATCAAGGAACACAAGTCCAGGATATTGATGAAAAGTCTCTGTCAAGAGGAATAATTTTTTTCTTTTTTAAGACAGGGCCTTGCTCTGTCGCCCAGGCTGGACTGCAGTGGTGCAATCTCGTCTCACTGCAACCTCTGCCTCCTGGGCTCAAGTGATTGTCCTGTCTCAGCCTCCCGAGTAGCCTGGGATTACAGGCACGAGCCTCCAGCCTGGTCTCTAACTCCTGGCCTCAAGTGATTGGTCTGCCTTGGCTTCCCAAAGTGCTGAGATTACAGGTGTAAGCTACTGTGCCCAGTCAAGAGGAATAACTTTTACATGGACCTCGTCAAGGGTTTATACATTGCAAAGAAGAAAAATGAGAGTTGAATTAATTTGAGTTAACTCTCAAAACAAAAAAGTCAACTCTAGAAGTTCCTAGTT
The DNA here is from genome assembly GCF_000001405.40 of Homo sapiens. Lineage (NCBI taxonomy): Eukaryota > Metazoa > Chordata > Mammalia > Primates > Hominidae > Homo > Homo sapiens. Next base: position 95,775,840 of record NC_000007.14, on the reverse strand, counting down.
CCAGCACAGTTCCCAGGAGAATATATGTTCTCACATGCTCTAGGGGATGCAGAAGCCACAAAGATTTCTAGTAAAAGAGATCCCTGATTAAGGTAGCAACTATTTACACAGCATTTGAGATCCACAAAGTATAACAGCTACTTTCATTAAGGAGACAAAAACAATGCCATAATTTATTTTAAGGGGCCATGGGTCTACTTTGAGTGTGCATATATTATTCACAGTTACCAATCAACTGGCAAAAAGTGCGGCTATACTTGTGGCTTTAAGAAAATAACAATGGATCACACTGAAATTGGAGAGCAAACCTGAAAGATACAGACATACACTCGCTTTTTTGTCTCTCACACAGCACAATAGCCAAAATGGATGGGTCCTAGTTTTAGAGTCTTTGGAGAGATCTCATTTGAATCCTACCTCTGCCATTTATTAAATGATGTTGAGTATGTCATTTAACTCATTTAATTATTTGGAAAATATGGATAATAATGTCTACTTCATAGGATTAATATAAGAATTAAAATGAGATAAGAGAAGAGCTTGGTATTCAATATATGAAAATTAACCAGTGTAATTGTTTCATAGTACGGAAGAGAGAGGTTAAAACTCCTGGCCTGGAGTCAGGCCTTGATTCAAATGCTGCCTTGCTCAACTTAGTAGCTGAGCAAAAGTTACTTGACACCTTTGTGTCTTAGTTTCCTCATCTGTAAAACAGGATTACAAACAATATCTGCCTCATAAGATTTTTGTGATGTTTAAATAAGTTAACACCTGTGAAAGTATTTTAAAATGCAATGCCTGGTAAAGTGCTCAATATATTTTAGCTACTGTTATCAATCTTTGTTTCAAGTGTAGGGAGAATAAAGTAATGAAGGAATATATTTGTTTGAAACAGATTTTGAAACAGATGCATGTGACCTTTTCATTTGATGCTACGTTAAACAACAAAGAAACTGGAGAAAACGGTAACAGGATGAAGCCGGTGCACACTGTCTGTACTAAGAGGGGTACCTAGATTTCAGATTTGGCATGCATTTTACAAGACTGGTCTACATCGCTGTTTTTATGGACAGAGCAGCACCCAGGCTGGATCCTTGACTCAGCACTGTCATCAAAGGCAAGGCTCATTTATTAAACGTAGACTCGGGAAGGAGTATTTTTGGAAGCAGAGGGATTGGGAAGAAAGACCCTAGAGCCTTCTCTGAGATATAAAACATGGTGACTGAAATGCCAAGTGACTTCTTACTCTCTTCGAAGTTAGTCAGAAACTGAAGACCATGGACCACTACTTTAAGAACTCTGCCCCTTTTCCTGCGGGTCGAGTTTATTTTCTCTGCTCATATCCCTACTGGTGATTTACCTAAAGCTTTAACAGTAAAACAATCATGCATGTTTTCAATAGCAAAGAGGGAGGAAAGGCTGGGGGTGGGGAAGGACTGCAAGCCAGCCCCTCCTCCTCCAGGGGACTGTGCACCAGCGGCTGCAGCATCTCAGAGGTCCAAAGAAGGAGGAAGCAAGTGCATTTGTATCTGAGGCCTGAGACAAGGAAGACAAAGTAAAATGCTGAGATGCTGTGGGCCAGAAACAGGGCTAAGAGCTTGACAGGCTGGAAAAGCCTGCATTCGACCCCCAACTGTATTCTAAAAACTTCCCAAGGATGGTGCTAGAGGTTTTAAGAGGAATGGGTCTTGGAGCACTGGATCCTCAGACCTAAACAAATATTCGAGAGTTAGTTCTTATGAAGAGAACATGTGGTAACTCAGTGGCAGGTGTTTCAGATTTTATTTTATTGAGAAATATGATCAAAAGAGCTGAGTTAGGACCCCTTTTTCCACACCAAACCTTTTTGAACAAACTTGGCATTTTAAATAATTAGAGGTAGTATTACATTCTCACCAGTACCCTCAGCTTGCAAATTGCACTGAATATTCCCTTTTCAAATTTACTAACACTGATCAACGTATATCTCTATAATTTCCACAATTAAAGTATGTACACAGACTGGTTACCCATGTCTGTGTTAACATCAGGCGTTGGGTTGTCACCTGCAGTTGCCTATGCCTTACTGTTAGCTATACTTTTTGCTAATCTGGAATATTTGGAAGCAATTCTTCACAACTCTGAACTACAATAAGTCTACAATGCCCACTTGAAAGGCATTCCAAGCAAGAAAATGGCTGGCTACTTGTTCCTGCCCCTTACCTAGGATTAGTAGAGGCCAGAATAGCGAATATATTCCATCTTCTGCATGTTGTTGAGTCTCTGATCTCCTATGTAATTTCCTGTCCTGATCCTGGGCTTCTGTTTAATCTTATTAGCCAAGGTACAAGTCATGAGACTCCCGCACACTCAGTTCCCATCAGCGCTGCCAGGATCACTGCCCTTATGATGACGACGCACGGATTTATAAGGCCAGAGCGATTCCGAATGGGAGCGGGGGAAGGAGAGCCAGGCGGCCGTGAAGGTGTTTACCAAAACAACATCCCCCAGCCACACTTTTTCGCAGCAGAGAGAAACTGGCATCTTCTCGCTTTGAAGTGTTTAATTAATGCCCTGCTGGAAGTGAATTCGCTCCCTCCGACTTGCAGGGTAGTGACAGCATCTAAGAGCTTTGCAGACAGCTCGAAATGTAATCAAACAGCATCCTTTCCCCTCCCTCTGCAGCTTTCCCCCTCCTCCAGGGGCAGTCAGCCGGTGGCCCAGAGGGGTGCAGATTTCAGCGCCGCTCGCCCACTGCTCCCCCGGGGAAGACCGAGGCGGGGCGCACTGGGACGCCCTTCCCAGCCCACAAGGTGGGCGACCAGGTGGTGACACCACGACCCTTCCTTCTCTGCCCTAGTCTCTCGGCTCTGCCGAGAGGGGGGTGTCACTGGGGGGCTTTGGCCGCCTTCGGGCTCAGCGGAGCACGCAGGAGCCTGGGCAGGGGGCCAGGACAAGGGTCCGGCTGCGGCTGCAGGGGCCTCGGCTCCAGCCTGGTTCCCAGCGCAGACGACACCGGGGTGGGGAGGGTTGGGGAGAGGTGCGGAGGCGGCCGTCCGGGGAGCGGCGACATCCCGCTCCAGTTTACCTGGACGCGCTCGGCAGCGGCGGAACTGGGCTCCCCGAGCCGGCGGCGGCTCCTGGGCGGCGGCAGCGTTGGTGCAGGCGGCTCCCGAAGGTGGCGGGGCCGGCGCGGGCAGGATGTGCTGTCTCACGCTGCGCCGGCCGCTCGGCTCGCGCTCCTCCGGGAGCGATCACTTCCTCTCTCCCAGAGCCTGACACTGACAGCTCCCCGGAGCACTCAGTCTGCGGGGCTCGCCCCGCCCCCTGCCCACGCCCTCCACGCCCGCGCCCCTCCTGAGGGAGGGCCTCCGCTCCGCGTCTTCCGCGCCCGGTCTCGCCAGGAGGGGGTGGCGCCGCTCCGTAGGCTGGTGGCGAGCAGAGGACCTGGAAAGGTCAATTCGTCTATCCCTCTAACGTCGGTAGGACTTAGACCTCAGTTGCTGCAAAGAGAAGAGCTTCAATATTCTGGGAGCTCCTGCTGAAATGCCACCATTGAACAACTTTCACTCCCAGGCAACTACACTTCTTAAGGTCATTTAAATAGAAATAAAGCTCAGATCTACCTGTTGTACACAATGACTTATAGGTCTGATTGATCCCAATTTTTCTAGAAGAAAAAAGAATTAAGTGTGTGTGTCTGTGTGTGTGTGTGTGTGTGTGTGTGTGTGTGTGGTGTGGTGTGTGTGTAGCTTGTCTTCACATTGCTTCTTAAAGTCCCAGCTTTTAAAAATCTGGGTAACTGGCCAGACGCGGTGGCTCACGCCTGTAATCCAAGCACTTTGGGAGGCCGAGGAGGGCGGATCACCTGAGGTCGAGAGTTGGGGGACCAGCCTGACCAACATGAAAAAACCCCGTCTCTACTAAAAATACAAAATTAGCCGGGCGTGGTGGTGCATGCCAGTAATCCCAGCTACTCGGGAGGCTAAGGCAGGAGAATGGTTGAACCCGGGAGGCGGAGGTTGTGGTGAACCGAGATCCCGCCACTGCACTCAAAGCCTGGGCAACAAGAGCGAAACTCCGTCTCGGGGAAACAAAAAAAAATCTGGGTAACTATTATTGGACTCTGCAAAAAACAAGCTTGCCACAACAGCTAAGTTATAAGGCCAAAAAATTGAGTTTGGGATGTTAGGGGGTTTGGTATCATTTTATAGATGAGCTTTTCATCATATTTCTTGCACATCTGTGGTGTATTTTTACACATTAGAATGTAAATTAGTGGAGGGCAGGGACGCTATCTTGTTCACTGCTGTATTCTTAGTATCTAGAACAGCATTCTGATATATAATGGGTACTCAGTAAATATTTATGAACTTATTAATTCACAAGTACTACAGTAATTTCAAAATAAATACAGATTCTAGTATGAATACAGTATGAATACATACTCATCTGTAAATGGCCATCCTTATTCTAAAACTTTGGCCTCCCTGGCTAATCTACTGCGATTGTAACTATGGCTAGAAATGAAGAGGTTAAATGTCTAGGTAGAAGGTATTCAAGGTATTCCAGAAGGAAAAATCTAGGAAATAAATATTTGCCACTACCGTGACTGAATATTTAATACATGTCAATTCTACATACATTTTTCTTTAACTTTTCTATAACATTATGTAGTACATATAACGAATGCCATGCCTCCAGAAAAGGAACTTGAGTCAAAGAAGTTAACTCCCTTGCCCAAGTTCCATAACCACTGAGTGATCTAGCTGAGATTTGAATTCCCATTCATCTGCAGCTTGTACTTTAACTACTTTGTATTTTGGTCTTTCCAACATGGCATTGCTTTTGTTGTTGTTGTTGTTTTGTTTGTTTGTTTGTTTGTTTTTTGAGACAGAGTCTCCCTCTGATGCCCAGGCTGGAATGCAGTGGCACAATCTCGGCTCACTGAAACCTCCATCTCCTGGGTTCAAGCGATTCTCCTTCCTCAGCTTCCTGAGTAGCTAAGATTACAGGTGCACACCACCTAGCCCGGCTAATTTTTGTATTTTTAGTAGAGATGGCATTTCTCCATGTTGGCCAGGCTGGTCTCGAACTCCTGACCTCAAGTGATCTGCCTGCCTCAGCCTCCCAAAGTGCTGGGATTACAGGTGTGAGCCACCATGCCTGGCCTCAACATGGCATTGTTGAGTGCCCACGAAGTAGGAGCTGGGACTTAGACACTGGACCAAATTGAAGACTAGCTAAAACAGGGATGGGGCGGAGGCAGCTTTCCATAAGAGATGCTCACCAGTGTGCCATGTCAATTTACCACTGCCGTGGCAAAACCCAGGAGTTACCACTCCCTTCCATGGCAATGACCCCATGACCCAGAAGTTACTACCCTTTCCCTAAAAATTCTGCATAAACTACCCCTTGATCTACAAGTAATTAAAGTAGGTACAAATATGACTGCAAAACTACCCTGAGCTGTTACTTTCTGCCTGTGGGGTAGCCTTGCTCTGCAGGAACAGTCACAGAGCTGTAACACCATCAGAGCTGTAACACTGCCACTTCAACAAAGCTGTACTTTTCAACCCTACCACTGGCTCACCCTTAAATTCTTTCCTGGGCAAAGCCAAGAACCTTTGCGAGCTAAGCTCCAATTAATTTGGGGGCTCCCCTGTACTGCATCGCACACAACCTGCAAAGCATTGTGCTTGGAGCTTCACATGATTTAAAAAAGAGAATATAATCCCTCTTCTTGAAGGGGTTAAAATCCAGTTGGAGGTGCAAGGATAGGTAAAGGCAACATAATTAAGGACAAACAATAAGGAAATACCCAAAGCAGTACAATGGTTTGGGTGGATGAGATGGAAGGAGGAAATTAGAATTATGACAATAGATAGTATTGAAATAGGTAGGGTTTTAGAGCAGAAATGAAGAGCAGAGAACATTTTCAGGCGTAAACAAAGCTCCAAAGAAGAGAAAGAACAAAGTGTACTCAGCAAATAGTGAGTGGGCCAGCTTTTTGGATCATGACAGACTCATGGGAGAGCCAACTGGGGCCTTGAGAAGGGCTGTAGAGCAGATAATGGAGAATCATTAAAGGCCTTTGAGTAGAGAATGACACTTGGGAAGAGTCATCTGGGGCTATCTTCGGGTAGAGGATTGAACAAGCAAAAGCTTAAGAGACAAGTTTAAAGTTCATTCAAAGAATCCAGGTCAGGATTTAAAAGGCCTGAGTTTGCCAAGTTGTATTCATGACAAATAGCCTGTAATGTATGCCCACAGCAAATTAAGCCCTCAATTTCAAAGTTAGTTATAATATTATCACTTCTCAGTATTTAACCAAAATAATTCAAAGTAGGATTTCAGAGAGATATTTGCACATTCATGTTCAATGCAACATTATTCACAATAGCCAAGAGGTGGAAGCAACCCAAATGTTCATGAACAGATGAATAAGTAAAGAAAATTTGGAATATATATGCATACAGTAAAATTTTATATTTAAAAAGGAAGAAAATCCTGTCACATGCTACAGTGTGGATGAACTTGAAGGACACTGTCGTAAGTGAAATAAGTCAGTTACAAAAAGTAAAATAGTGTATGATTCCACTCATATGAAGTATCTAAAGTAGTCAAAATTGTAGAAAAAGAAAATGCAGGCATACTACGGAGATATTGTGAGCTCAGTTTCACATCACCAAATATCACAATAAAAGTGAGTCATACACATTTTTTTGTTTCCTAGTGTATATAATAGTTATGTTTACACTATACTGTGGCCTATTAAGTGTGCAATAGCATTATGTCTAAAACATATACATGTCTTAATTTAAAAATACTTTATTGCTAACAAATGCTAATAATCATTTGAGCCATCAGTGAGTTGTAATCTTTTTGCTGGTGGAGAGTCTTGCCTCAATGTTGATGGCTGTTGACTGATCAGGGTGGTTGTTGCTGAAGGTGGGGTAGCTGTGGTAATGTCTTAAAATAAGACAACAATGATGTTTGCCTCATCCATTGATTCTTCTTTTCATGAAAGATTTCTCTGTAGCATGTCATGCTCTTTGATAGCATTTAAACAAATTTATGGGCACATAGAAGGTATTTAGTATTTATGAGGTACAGGAGACATTTTGATACAGGCATGCAGTGTGTGTTTGGTAGCCCTTTATCCACAGAACCTTCAAAACTGAAGTGAACTATGTCAAACCCTGCCACTGCTTTATCAAATACGTTTATGTAATATTCGAAATCCTTTGTCATCATTTCAACAATGTTCATAGCATTTTCACCAGCAGTAGTTCCCATCTCAGTATATCACTTTCTTTGCTCTTCCATAAGAAGCAACTTCTCATTCATTGAAGTTTTATTATGAGATTGCAGCAATTCAGTCACATCTTCAGACTCTACTTCTAATTCTAGTTCTCCTGCTATTTTTATTACATCTTCAGTGATTTCCTTCACTTAAGTTTTGAGCCCCTCAAAGTCATCCATGAGGGTTTGTATTAGTCCATTTGCATTGATATAAAGGAACCCCAGAGGCTGGGTAATTTATAAAGAAAAGAAGTTTACTGTGGCTCATGGTTCTGCAGGCTGTACAAGAAGCATGGTACTGGCATCTGCTTCTGGTGAGGGCCTCAACAACCTTACAATTATGGCAGAAAGCAAAGGGGGAGCTGATGCATCACATGAATAGAGTGGGAGCAAGAGAGAGAAGGAAAGTGCCACAGTCTTTTAAACAACCAGATCTCCTGTGAATTCAGAGTGAGAACTCACTCATTACCATGGGGAGGGCACCAAGCCATTCATAAAAGATCTGCCCTCATGATCCAAACACCTCCCACCCGGCCCTACCTCCAACATTGGAGATTACAATTTAACATGAGATTTAGAGGGGACAAATAAACAAACCATAACAGGGTTGGAATTAACTTCTTCCAAACTCCTGTTAATGTTGATATTTTGACATCCTCCCATGAGTCATGAATGTTCTTAATGGCATCTAGAATGGTGAACTCTTTCCAGAAAGTTTTCATCTTACTTTGCCCAGATACATCAGAATTCCTATCTATGGCAGCTGTAGCCTTACAAAATATATGTCTTATGTAATATAACTTGAAAGTCAAAATGACTCCTTGATCCATGGGCTGCAGAATGAATGTAGTGTTAACAGGCATAAAAACAATATTAATCTCCTCGTACATCTCATTGGAGCTCTTGGGTGACTAGGTACATTGTCAATAAGCAGTATATTTTGAAAGGAATCCTTTTTTCTGAGCAGTAGTTCTCAATAGTGGGATCAAAATATGCAGTGAACCATTGACCATGTACTGTCATCTAGGCTTAGTTATTCCATTTATGCAGCATAGGCAGAGTAAATTTAGCATAATTCTAGGGACCTTAGTATTTTCAAATAGTAAATGAGCACTGGCTTCAATTTAAAGCCACCAGCTGCATTAACCCCTAACAAGAGAATCACCCTGTCCTTCGAAGCTTTGAAGACAGGCATTGACTTCTCTCTAGCTGTACAAGTTCTAGATGGCATCTTCTTCCAATACAATGCTGTTTGTCTACATTAAAAATCTGTTGTTTAGTATAGCCACCTTATCATTTATCTTTATAACTTCTGAATAACTTGCTGCAACTTCTACTTTAGCACTTGCTGCTTCACCTTGCACTTTTATGTGATGGAGACAGCTTCTTTCCTTAAACCTCCTGAACCAACCTCTGCTAATTTCCAACTTTTCTTCTGCAGCTTCCTCACCTCTCTCAGCCTTCGTAGGGCCTTGATCTGGATTGGGATAAAGGGAATGTTGTGGCTGGTCTGATTTTCTATCCAGACCACTAAAACTTTCTCCATATCAGCAATAAGGCTATTTCACTTCCTTGTCATTCTTGTATTTATTGGCGTAGCACTATTAATTTCCTTTAAGAACTTTTCCTTTGCATTCACACTTGCCTATTTGGTGTAAAGAGGCCTAGCTTTCAGTCTGTCTTAGCTTTCAACATAGCTTCCTCACTAAGGTTAATCATTTCTAGCTTTTGATTTAAAGTGAGATATGTGACTCTTCCTTTCACTTGAACACTTAGAGGCCACTGTAGGTTTATTAGTTCACCTAATTTCAATATTGTTGTATCTCAGGAAATAGGAAGGCCCAAGGAGAGGGAAAAACATAGTAGAATGACTGGTCAGTGGAACAGTCAGAATGCACACAATATTTATCGATTAAGTTCACCCTCTTTTGTGGGCATGGTTCATGGTACCCCAAAAGAATTGTAACAGCAAAGACCACTGATAATATATCAATATAACATAAAATAATAGTGAAAAATTTTGAAAAATTATGAAAATTTTTTCAAAGTATTAAATTACTAAATGTGACACAGAGACACAAAGAAAGCACATGTTTTTAGAAAAATGGCACCAACTGACTCCCTCAATGCAGGGTTGCCACTAACCTTCAATTTGTAGGGGAAAAAAGCCAGTCTCTGGTAAGCACAGTAAAATGAAGTACGCCTGTATAAAGGTAATTTCCAAGGACTGGGGGTAAAGGGATGGAGGAATTAGTGATTAATGGGTATAGAATTTCAGTTTTGCAAGGTGAACAATTCTAGAGGTTTGTTGCACAACAATGTGAATGTACTTAAAGTTACTGCACCATACACTTTAAAATGATTAAGTTGGTAAACTTAGTGTTATGTTTTTATGACAATAAATAAGTTTTAAATTATTTTAATTTTTGTGTACACAGGCATGGTACAAATATTGACTACGGGCCTAGAAATGAATAAGAAATGGATGTTCTCTATCTTCCAGAGGCTCAAAATCTAATGAAAACACGTAATTGCCTTTTAATACCAAGCAGACTAACAAAGGTACAATAATGGCAGACATTTGCCATGAAAGATTGAAAAAGGAAAAGTAAATTCCAATTAAGAATGCTTTCAGGCCGGGCGCAGTGGCTCATACCTGTAATCCCAACACTTTGTGAGGCCAAGGTGGGCAGATCACGAGGTCAGGAGTTTGAGACCAGCCTGACCAACATGGTGAAACCCTGTCTTTACTAAAAATACAAAAATTAACCAGGCATAGTGGCGGGCACCTGTAATCCCAGCTACTCAGGAGGCTGAGGCAGGAGAATCACTTGAACCTGGGAAGCAGAGGTTGCAGTGAGCCAAGATCGCACCACTGCACTCCAGCCTGGGCAACAGAGTGAGACTCCATCTCAAAAAAAAAAAAAATGCTTTCAGTTTTCAGTCTGGAATGGAAGGCCTTGTTGAAGAGATTCTGAGGGTGTGTGTATAGTTAGCTATGTTTCAACAAATGATGATGGTATTTGAGAATGGGGTTAGAGATCAAGCAGAAAAAGAGGCATATACTTCTCTCTCTCTCTTTTTTGATAGGCCTTATTTTTTGGAGCAGTTCTAGGTTTACAGAAAATTGAACAGAAAGTACAGAGAGTTCCCATACACTACCCTCTCTCTAACCCTCCTCCCTCTTAGTTTCCAGTATTATTAACATCTTGTATTAGTGTGGTATATTTGTTATAATTTATGCGCCATTATTGACACATTATTATTAACTAAGGTCCATGGTTTACATTACGGTTCACAGTTTGTGTTGTACAGTTATGTGAGTTTTTGACAGACACATAATATCATGTATCCATCACTACAATAACACACACAACAGTTTCACTACCCTAGAAATCCTCTGTGCTCTACCCATTTGTCCCTCTCTTTCTCCTTCCGATCCTCTGGAATCTACTGATTTTTATACTGTCTCTGGAGGTTTGCCTTTTCCAGAATGTTATATGGTTGGAATCATATTGCATACAGTCTAGTTGGTCCTGTGTATCCACAGGTTATGCATCCTCAGATTCAATCAACTGCTTATAGAAAATATTTGGAAAAAATAATAATATAACAGTAAAAAAAGAATACAAAAATCCCCACAGTATAACAACTATTTACATAGCATTTGCAATGTATTAGGTAAGTAATCTAGAGATGACTTTAAGTATAGTAATCACAGGGATACATCCTGAGACGTGTATCTTTGGGCAACTTTATCACTATGTGAATATCAGAGTGTAGTTCCACAAACCTAGGTAGTATAACCTACTACATACCTAGATTAGATGGTATAGCCTATTGCTCCTAGGTTGTGATCCTGTAAGCAGGCCAGTTGTGGTGGCTCACATCTGTATTTCTAATGCTTTCAAAGGCCAAGGCGGGAGGATTGCTTGAGGCCAGGAGTTTGAGATCAGCCTGGGCAACATAGCGAGACCTCATCTCTACAAAAAACATTTAAAAATTAGCTGGGCAGAGTGGAGTGCTATGATAGTACCAGCTATCCAGGAGGCTGAGGTAGGAGAATTACTTGAGCCCAGGAGTTGGAGGTTACAGTGAGCTATGAGTGTGCCACTGAAGCTACCTAGCTTTTGGGGTACAGGTGGTTTTTGTTTACATGGATGAAATGTACGGTGGTGAAGTCTGAGATTTTAGTGCACCCGTCACCTGAGTAGTGTAGATTGTACCCAATATTGTGTTTTTCTTCCCTCACTTCCCTTCCCATCATCTCCACTTCTGAATGACTTCAATGACCATTATACCACTCTGTATGCCTTTGAGTACCCATAGTTTAGCTCCCACTTATAAATGAGAACATATGGTATTTCATTTTCCATTCTTGAGTTACTACACTTAGAGCAATGGCCTCTAGCTCCATCCAAGTTGCTGCAAAAGACATTATCTTGTTCCTTTTAATGGCTGAGTAGTGTTCCATATTGTACATATACCATTTTTTTTTACCCACTCATTGGTTGATGGGCACTTAGGTTGGTTCCATATCTTTGTAATTGTGAATTATGCTGCAATAAACATATACATGCAGGTGTCTTTATATAATGACTTCTTTTACTTTGAGTAAATACCCAGTAGTGGGATTGCTGGATTTAATGGTAGTTCTAATGGTAGGTCTACTTTTAGTTCTTTGAGAAATCTCCATACTGTTTTCCATAGAGGTTTTACTAATTTATATTCCCACTAACAGTATATAAGCATTCTCTTTTCACCACATCCATGCCCACATCTATCGTTTTTTTGATTTTTTAGTAATGGCCATTCTGACTGGGGTAAGATGGTATCTCATTGTGGTTTTATTTTGCATTTCCCTGATGATTGGTGATGTTGAGCATTTTTTCATGTGTTTGTTGCTCACTTGTATATCCTCTTTTGAGAGCTGTCTATTCGTGTCATTTGCCTTTTGATGGCATCTTTTTTCTCGCTGATGTATTTGGGTTTCTTGTTGATTCTAGATATTAGTCCTTTGACAGATGCATAGTTTGTAAATATTTTCTCTCATTCTGTGTGTTGTCTGTTTACTCTGATAATTTTTTTTCTGTGTGGAAGCTTTTTAGTTTAATTAGGTCCCATTTATTTATTTTCATTTTGTTGCATTTGCTTTTGGAGTCTTGGTCATAAATTCTTTCCCTAGGCCAATGTCCAGAAGAGTTTTTTCTTGGCTTTCTTCTAGAATTTTTATGGCTTCAGATCTTAGATTTAAGTCAAGATTAAACCACCTTGAGTTGATTTGTTTGTGTGGTGAGCATTAAGGATCCAGTTTAATTCTTCTACATGTGGCTATCGAGCTTTCCCAGCACCATTTATTGAGTAAGGTGTCCTTTCACCAATTTATTTTTCTGTATGCTTTGTCAAGGATCAGTTGGTTGTATTTGGCTTTATTTCTGGTTTTCTCTTCTGTTCCATTGTTCTGTGTATCACTGTTATACCAGTACCATGCTGTTTTGGTTACTATAGCCTTGTAGTATAATTTGAAGTCAGGTAATGTGATGCCCCCAGCTTTGTTCTTTTTTCTTAGGATTGCTTTGGCTATTTTGGTCTTTTTTTTGGTAACGTGAATTTTAGAATTTTTTTCTAGTTCTGTGAAAAATGATGTTGGTATTTTGATAGGAATTGAATTGAATCTGTAGATTGCCTTGGGCAGTATGGTCATTTTCAACATAATGATCCTTCCAACCCATGAGCGTGGGATGTATTTCCATTTGTTTGTATCACCTGTGATCTCTTTCAGCAGTGTTTTATAGTTAGTCATATAGAGAGCTTTCACCTCGTTGGTTAAGAATATTCCTAGAGGTTTTTTTCTTTGCAGCTATTATAAAAGGGATTGAGTTCTTGATTTGATTCTCAGCTTGGTTGTTGGTGGTGTATAGCAGTGCTACTTATTTGTGTATATTGATTTTGTAACCAGAAACTTGACTGAATTCTTTTATCAAATCTAGAAGTCTTTTAGAGGAGTGTTTAGGATTTTCTAGGTATAGGATCATATCATTGGCAAACAGATAGTTTGACTTCCTCTTTTCCAATTTTAATGGGCTTTATTTCTTTCTCTTGCCTGATTGATCTCGCTAGGATTTCCAGTACTTTGTTGAGTAGAAGTGATGAAGGTGGACATCTTTGTCTTGTTCCAGTTTTTAAAGAGAATGCTTTCAACTTTTCCCCACTCAGTATAATGTTGGGTTTGCTATATATGGCTTTTATTATTTTGAGGTATGTCCCTTTTATTCACAGTTTGTTGAGGGTTTTTATCATAAAGGGATACTAGATTTTATCAAATACATTTTTCTGCATCTACTGAGATGATCATATAATTTTTGTTTTCAATTCTGTTTATGAGGTGAATCACACTTATTGACTTGTGTATGTTGAACCATCCCTGCATCCCTGGGAGGAAATCCACTTGAACATGGTGGATTATCTTTCTGATGTGCTGTTGGGTTTGGTTTGCTAGTATTTTGTTGAGGATTTTTGCATCTATTTTCATCAGGGATATTGGTGTGTAGTTTTCTTTGTTTGCTATGTCCTTTCCTGGCTTTGGTATTACAGTGGTACTGGCTTCATAGAATGAACTACACAGGATTTCCTCTTTCTCAATCTTTTGGAATCGTTTCAGAAGAAATGGTAACAATTCTTCTTTGAATGCCAGGTAGAATTTAGTTGTGAATCCATTTGGTCCTGAGCTTTTTCTTCTTAGCAATTTTGCATTACTGATTCAATCTTACTTCATGTTATTGTCCTGTTAAGGATTTCTCTTTCTTCCTGATTCAAGCAGGAAGGAAGGAAGGGATACAACAAAGGAGGGTTGTATGTCTCCAGGAATTTATCCATTTCTTCTATATTTTCTAGCTTGTGTATATCGAAGTGTTCATAGTAGTCTCTAATAATCTCTTATATTTCTGTGATTTTAGTTGTAATGTGTCCATTTCCATTTCTAATTGAGCGCATTTGAATATTTGCTCTGCTTTTCTTGGTTGATCTAGCTAATGTTTTATTTATTTTCTTTATCTTTTCAAAGAACCAACTTTTTGTTTCATTGATCTTTTGTATATTTTTTTGTTTCAATTTCATTTAGTTCTTCTTTGACCTTTGTTATTTCTTTTTGTCTGCTAGCTTTGGGTTTGATTTGCTCTTGTTTCTCTAGTTCCTTGAGGTGTGACATTAGATTGTCAATTTGTGAACTTTCAGACTTTCTGATGTAAGAATTTGGTGCTATAACCTTTCCTCTTAGCACTGCTTTCACTGTATCTCAGAGGTTTTGATAGCTTGTGCCACTGTTATCATTCATTTCAAAGAATTTTTAAATTTCCATGTTGATTTTATTGTTAACCCAAAAATCATCCAGGAACAGGTTGTTTAATTTCCACATATTTGTATACTGTTGAAGGTTCCTTTTAGAGTTGATTGTTAGTTTTATTCCACTGTGGTCTGAGAAAATATTTAATAAGGTTTTGATTTTTAAAAATTCATCACTGTTTCTTGAAAAGACTATCTGAAACATATATTTTTCCTTTGATTTGATATTCAATTGGAGAGGTTTTAAAAGCACTATCATGTGGTGCTGGCCAATCTAGTTGTTTACAACTACACACCTCTAGTCTTACAACCCAAAGTGGCCTTTGCACTAGGTTGGGGAGTAGTGCATTAAAAATAGTGGATCTTGCTTTATTTAACAACCTGGAAAGTTCAATCTAATCGTATTTTGATTACATAAATTGATGTACAATGCTGATAATCTACAATTCTGTGATGAATCCTTGTGTATTATAAATAATTACCCACCAACTTGCATGTTAGATTTTCAAATACTAAATTTCCCATAAATGATGGACACTTTGATGCGGTGAAAAGGGACATGAGAATGAGAAAGAGAGGAATTCTCCCATGCAAATTGACATTTCTCAATCCTAGCATCAGCCCCTTTACTCCTATAAGAAAGCGTGTCGAATCTGAAATGCTATGTACCATCACTCAGTCTCAAGCCTACCTCAGAGACAGCAGTTACATTGAGGTTAAAATGAAAAGATCTTTGATAAGTTTTTAATAAAATATGTACTAAGAGCTATTTACAAATTAAATACTGCTCATTGCAAATGTACCCGTTTTACCTCTTAATCTAGTCATTGCTCTTAAAGTCAAAAGAAAAGCTCAAAGAAGAGGTTAAATAGCTATGACAAAATATGCTGGCCAAATTCCTAACTTACTATCCATTAACTGGTGCTTTAACACACACACACACACACACACACACACACACACACACACACACACACACACATTGTCTTCAGTTTTGAAAGAGGAAAGTAAGAAGTATCTACGTGGTTTTAGATTTTTCTAAATGCTTGTTAGATAATTTCCAAATACAATTCTAGTTATGCTATAACTACCTATCTTTGAAATACAATTGTATTCTAATTACCCTATTTCCATCCTCTTCACTTTTGCCTCCATATGTCTTCACCTTCTCTTCTCTCCCCTCATCCTTATGTTTCCTTCCAGCAGCTTTTCTTTCAAGGATAATGCTAAGCCAAAATGCATGCTTTTAACAATTGATAATAAAATACAACCAGGAAAATAACCTAAGCAACAAAACCAAAAATCTTTACATCTTTGAAAAATCAATTTAAATACTTAAACTTATAGGGAGAAATCTAATGATTATAAATATAAATTCTTCATGTAGTTTTCAATTCATTTTTCATCATTGTCTAAATATAAACGTTTATTTTTCTGAGCTGTGAAATCAGTGTGTATAACTTTCTTTATGTTATACCTTGATATTTATTATTTCACATTTATATTTCTAGAAATCAAATAAACCTACCTTGTCGAAAAATAAACCACAATTTTGGTACATTACTTCTCTAGATTATAGCCTAGAAACATACTTTATAGTTCTTGTAACTGCTCCTTGGAATGATTAATCCTAATAGAAGAGTGATACACCTGTCTGCCATAGTTCTCCCAACACCTTTTTAAAAAGTGGAAAAGCATGTAAGTCATCTGCATTTATTTACAGATAATTTAACATATATATAGGTACTGTGTATGTGCCTTTAATCAGGAAGTTTGAGAATTTTTCTGTAGTGCTTCACTATTTGTTATTCCTTGTGAGCTAACTTTTAATGTCATTTGACTATTTGATAAGTGAAATCCAGATATGTCTTGTGTTTTAGAATATATATTTTATACATTATGTGCTTCCATTTAATTCTCTCCCTTCTTATGCCTGCTTCATTATAGAGTTATATTTTAAGAAGAATTATAAAACAGCTTGTATAAAATAACAAACTGTATTTTCTAGCATTAAAGGAATTTATAAATCAGAGATATTACATAGGGGTTAACAACTCAAGCTTTGGAGTCATGCATACCTGGATTAAAACTAGTTCCTATGATTAACTAGCTGTGTGATTCTGTGCAAATTGCTTAAACTCTTTAAGCCTCAATATCTTTATTTGTAAAATCTGCATAATAGTGCCCATCGGTTGAGATTGTAATAAGAATTAAATGAAATTATGTTCATAAAGAACTTGGTATAGTGATTGGAACCAAGTAAACTCTAAATGAATATTAGATATTGTTATTAGTATATAGGTGTGGATAGAAACAAAGACTGAAAAGTTGCCCCAGAACATTAATGGTGGATATTTTGAGTGATTACATGATAACATTTTTTCTTTTGAATGTAACCTTATTTTTAATGGCTCTATGATGAATATTTGTTATGTGTTGCAACACATCTGCCAGATACCCAGAATAGTTCAGTGACAGCAATAAGTCATTGAAAAACAACAGAAGTTTCTCTTATAAGCGTTTTCCTTTTGAAAACTCCTCAAATATACACTAAATCTTATCCGTTGACAGTGGTTATGGTATTAGGAACGATAGTGGATATTAAGAACAATAAGCTTCGAATGGGTAAGGTGCTGCACCTCCTTGTTATAAGGCACACAAAGGATAAGGATGAAGCCAGGATGAATGACGATAATTGTGCCCTCTTCCTCTCTGGATAAATACCATGTATTGTGTTCTTCTCCTGAACACTACATCCAGCACAGACCACTTAGGGCTCCACTGAGATGCAATGAGCCATGAAGAAATCCCTCCCCAGGGATCTTATAATAATATACTACAGTCTTCCCTGGAACTCATCTGGGGCAGTATAACCTCCAAGTATATCCTCCGGGGAGATGCTTTCCTGCTAATGATGAGGGGGTAGAGCCAGGTCGCCAGTGGTGCCCTTGCCACCCCCAGTCCTTTTTCTTCTACTTTTACTAGGTATTAAGGTGAAATTCTTTGTGGAGGATGATACAATTCACATTATTGACCAGATGATATTAAAAATATGTGGCCTAACTGTAAAATATGTTTAAATAGTTTATGAGAGGATACTGAAAGAAAGAGATCCTCTTTTCATTTAAGTTTTTATCATGAAAACCAATTTGCACACAAGGAAGACTTTAATGTCCTAATGGTCTCATTTAAGAAAAGAACCATTTCTTTGCCTCTTGGATGTGTCTGCCAAATCTTGAAAGATGTCCAAATTGATATTTTAGATTGGACCCTTTATTGTTGCAAATATGTATGTATGTGTGTGTGAATTTTGAATAATGGTCTGAAGTTGATAAAGGATAATTCATAAACATTTTAAAAAATTTGTGTATTTCCATTTGTCATTGGTCTTGCAGTCACTTTTTGCTTTTCTTTTTTCAGCTTGCATAAAACTATTTAATACCAGTGAATAAATGATTGTTCAGAGTACTTTTAAAACTCAATTTTAATTTTTTATATTTTGTTAGTGAATTTATAATTAAGTTTCTTTTTAACTAGACTGTTTTTTACTAAAATTTTCTTACCATATGGACTAAAAGTCATAGAAGATTAAATATCACAGGCTGTTTAAAACTGATGTCTTTTATCACTTTGATCTTCTTAATATTCATCATTTTCAAGTTAAACTTCCCCTCGCACCTATAAAAGGCTCATGTTGATGGAGATAAATTGCTGAACTGTTCAAATATTTTCTTAACATTCTAACTTGTCAAATATAAATAAGGTCATAGAGAATCATGTTAAATCGGGTGAATTATCATCAAGAGTCTAAAAGTCTTTTTTTCTTTACAGTAAAAGAACTATAAATAAAAATACATTTGTGTATTTTGAGAAAAATCATTTCTGAAACATTTCAGGTCAACAAATTAGTAGAATCCAAGTTTCGTTCAACAAATCCAATGAGCAGAGGCCGGGCGCGGTGGCTCACGCCTGTAATCCCAGCACTTTGGGAGGCCGAGGCGGGCGGATCACGAGGTCAGGAGATCGAGACCATCCCGGCTAAAAAAACGGTGAAACCCCGTCTCTACTAAAAATACAAAAATTAGCCGGGCGTAGTGGCGGGCGCCTGTAGTCCCAGCTACTTGGGAGGCTGAGGCAGGAGAATGGCGTGAACCCGGGAGGCGGAGCTTGCAATGAGCCGAGATCGCGCCACTGCACTCCAGCCTGGGCGACAGAGCGAGACTCCGTCTCAAAAAAAAAAACAAAAAAAAACAAAAAAAAACAAATCCAATGAGTATATTTTATATTTTATTTCTATGATAGAGTGGAGGGGGAGAGAGAGATGGAGAGAGAGAGAGAGAGAGAGAGAGAGAGAAAGTGTCCTGGGAAGAAGTTCCAAATAAACAGAAAACAAACAGAAAAGGGACAGGTAGTCAGGAAACTCTAAAATTAGCATAAATACTGATGAAGCACCTACTATATGCCAGACAACAGAGATACAGCTTTCTAGTACTGCTAAGCTCTTCCTGGTGTATTAGAGACCATTATCGTTATTTCATGGCTGATACAGAGGAAAGCTGAGGCTCAGAGAGGTTAAGTGACTTGCTCAAAATTGCACAGATTGTAATAAGTAAAGCCAGAACCTAACTCAGATGTTTGATAAAAGAGCTCAAATGCTTCACTTGCTATACAACCATCATGGAACGAACTTTGGGGTTTTATCAGGTCTGCTAAAGCCAAGAAACAGAGCTGTGTTTCATGCACAAACTTATCAGAATTGTAATTTGGGCCACAATAAATATTTACTTGACCTCAGTCAGATTAGTTTTTTTGTGCCTCAAGTTCCTCATTTGTAAAATGGGGATGTTAACAGAACCCACCTCACTAGATTGGCCTGAAAATTAAATGTGTTAGCACATAAGAAGCACTTAGAAAACATTCACATACACTATGAGCACTATCATTAAATTTTGTGAAGACTTTATTATTTAGAACTGTGTTCTAATAGATTTTCATTTCACCAGGGGGTATTTTTTTTTAATTCTCTGTTTCTGATTTTGGAGGACGGTAAGACAAAATAGTAACAGCTGTTCAGCTGTTAGTGTTAAAGGAAGAAAGCTGCACAAAAAGGCAGTGGAGAAACATAATTACTTCAAGAGACACTAAAAGGAAGAAAAAATATATATATAATATTCTATGTCAGAAGGAGTCTCTAAAAGCTACCCCATAGTAACACAAACACACCTCTTGATAGCCGTCTCTCTAGAAATCAAAACCTGGGGCACTGACAGTAAAAACCAGCACATTAAACCCAAGACGATAAGTACAGCGAGGGGGTAAAATGAGCAGGACACAATGATACAATTACATCTTCAGAGTGCCCCCCGACATTCACTTTCAGCCATTTTCTCCCTGCCACCTACTCTTGTCCTGGATGATTAGCCTAGGTCTCTGGCCTCCCACTAACCATGATACTGTGCCTTTTGTATTTGTCCTCCCTCCCGTGGTTTCACTCCACCCACTGCACTGCATCCCCAGCCTCTGCTATATGCACTGGCCCTTTTTAAGACATTAGTCAGGCATCAATGTCGAAGTTTGTATTCCTACCAATGGTGGTCTTCAAAATTATACCAGCTTTGAATCTGAAACATGGTCAGACTCACAAACAATGTTTATGGACTCCTTTGTAGCAGTGGGTGGTAAGGAAGAAAAACATATCAGTTCTAGCAGCAAGCTGCCTGACAGTAGTTATGAATGATTAACAATTACAAAGCCAATGGAGAATGGAGTTTCTAGAGTCAGTGGAAACTACACTTACTAAAAATGACCTCTTAGGATAGAGCTTCTTTTAACTTCAGTCTACACTTTTTTTTTTTCAGTTTTCATTTTTTTTTCATTTGTGTAATAACCTTTGGCCTTCTCTTTGTGGAAAGTTTTGACCTTTCCTAAATGGCGGAGAGGAGGGGCTTTTTTCTGTGAAGAAGTGAGAAAGATAAAGTGTGTGTGTGTGTGTTCACACAAGCACACACACATGCCCACACAAGTGCACCTGGTAGGTAGGAAGGTGCACCTGGGTGGGTAGGAAGATACTATCACTTTTAATATTTATTTTTGAGCAAATTTTTGAGACATTGGCCAAGTCACCTCCTCACTGAGGACACTACACTTCTTTAGTCACTTCCAGCAACAAGATTATAAAATTTGATGGTTCTATGATTTGACAAGAATGGATATCATGAAAAAGACTTTCCCAGACAAACAAAAGCTGAGGGAGTTCATCATTACTAGACCTGCCTTACAAGAAATACTAAAGGGAATTCTTCAAGCCAAGAAAAAAAGGTACTAATTAGTAATATACCACCATATGAAAGTATAAAAACAAGTAGAGTTGGCACTTTGTATCCAGGAGTTCCGCATTCATGGACTCAACTAACTGTGGATCAACAATGGTTAGGGAAAAAAAAGCATCTGTACTGAGCATGAACAGACGTTTTTCTTTGTCATTATTCCAAAAATAATCAGTACAACAGCTATTTACATAGTGTTTACCTTGTATTATGTGTTATAAGTATCATAAGGATGATTTAAAGTATATGTGATGATGTTCATAGGTAATAAGCAAATAATACACCATTTTTTGTAAGGAACTTGAGCATCCATGGATTCTGATATCCATGGGGAGTCCTGAAAAACAATCCACCACAGATACTGAGGGACAACTGTACTCAGTCAAATTCAGAATACTCCAATATTTTAGTGTTGGTATATAAATCATTTACATCTTTAGTATGAAGGTTAAAAGACAAAACTATTAAAATAATAATAGATATAATAATTTGTTAAGGAATACACAATATAAAAAGATGTGTATTATGACATCAAAAGCACAAATGTGGAAGAGAAGAGTAAGAGTGCAAAGTTTTCATATGCAAGAGATATTTAGTTGTCATCAGCTTGAAATATCATAAATGAAAGGTGTTTTATGTAAGCCTCATATAACCATGAAGCAAAAATCTATATTACATACACAAAAGATAAAAAGTAAGGAATCAAAGCATATCATTAACAAAAAATCATCTAATCACAATCACAAAGGAAGACAGCAGAGAGGAAGAGAGGAACAAAGTATCTACAAAACAACCAGAAAACAATTCACAAAATGGCAGTAGGGAGTCCTTACCTATCAATAATTATCTTGAATGTAAATAGGTTAAATTTTTAAAATCAAAATATATGCTGCCTATAAAAGACTCACCTTACCTATAAGGACATACATAGATTGAAAGTGAAGGGATGGAAAAGGATATTCCATGCAAATGGAAACTGAAAGAGAATGAGATAGCTATACTGATATCAGATAAAAAGACTTTAAGTCAAAAACTGTAAAAAGAGACAAAGTCCATATATAATAAGATGATCAATTCCTTGATAAGATAAAATAATTTCAAATATATATACATTCAACCAACATGCACCTAAATATAATAAGCAAATATCTCTCTGAAGGGAGAGATGGACTGCAATACAATAATAGTAGGAGACCTCAGTATTCTACTTGCAACAATGGACAGATCATTCAGACAGAAAATCAATAAATAAACATTGGACTTGAACTGTACTTTAGACCAAAAAGACCTAACAGACATATGCAGAACCTTCCATTGAACAGCAGTAGAATTCATATTCTTCTAGAGTTCACACAAAACATTCTGCAGGATAGATTACATGTTAGGCCACAAAAATACTCTTAATAAATTTAAGAAGATTGAAATCATATCAAATATTTTTTCCAACTATAACAGATTAAGCTAAAAATTAGTAATAGGAAGAATTTCTGAAAATTCATAAATGCATAGAAATTAAACATGTTCTTGAACAACCAATGGGTCAAAGAAGAAACAAAAAGAGAAATTAAAGAAATATCCTGAGGCAAGTAAAAACGGAAACACAACTTACCAAAACTTATGGATTGCAGCAAAAGCAATACTAAGAGGGAATTTATAGCAATAAATGTCTCCATCTAAAAAGAAGAAAGATCTCAAATAAACAACCTAACATTACACCTCAAATAATTAGAAAAAGAAGAACACACTAAGCCCAAAGTTAACAGAAGGAAGTAAATAACAAAGATTGAGCCAGAAATAAATGAAATAGAGACTAGAAAAACAACAGAAAAGATCAATGAAACTAAAAGTTGCTTAAAAACAAAAAAGATAAAATCAACAAATCTTTAACTAAACCAAGAGAAAAAGAGAGAGGACTCAAACAAATAAAACCAGAAATTAAAGAGGACACATTACAACTGATACCACAGAAATACAAAGGACCGTAAGATACTGCTATGAACAATTATACACCAATTAATTGGGTAACCTAGAAGAAATGGATAAATTTCTGGAAATATACCCTTTACCGAGACTGAATCACGAAGAAATAGAAAACCTGAGTAGACCAATAATTAGTAAGAAGATTGAATTAGTTATAGAAAGTATTCCATCAAGGCCAGGCGCGGTGGCTCACGCCTGTAATCCCAGCACTTTGGCAGGCCGAGGTGGGCGGATCACGAGGTCAAGAGATGGAGACCATCCCGGCTAACACGGTTAAAACCCGTCTCTACTAAAAATACAAAAAAAATTAGCCAGGCGTGGGGGCGGGCGCCTGTAGTCCCAGCTACTAGGGAGGCTGAGGCAGGAGAATGGCACGAACCTGGGAGGTGGAGCTTGCAGTGAGCCGAGATCGTGCCACTGCACTCCAGCCTGGGCGACAGAGTGAGACTCCATCTCAAAAAGAAAAACAAACAAACAAAAAAAGTATTCCATCCAAAAAAAGAGAAAAAAAGCTCAGGACCTGATGTGATGGCTTTGCTGCTGAATTCTGCCAAACACTTAAAGAAATATTACTGATATTTCTCAAACTCTTTCAAAAAATTGAAGATGCATATTTCCAAATTCATATTACAAGGCCAGGATTTCCCTGATACCAAAGCCAGACAAGGACATTACAAGAAAAGAAAATAGACGAACATCTCTAATAAACACAGATGCAAAACCCTCAACAAAATACTAGCAAACTGAATGCAAATGCCATAGCACATTTTAAAAATCATTCACCATGATCAACTGGGATTTACGGGATGCAAGTATGCTTCAACAAACATACATCAATAAATGTGATATACCACATTAACTTAATGAAGAACAAACACTATATGATATCTCGATAAATACAGAAGAATACCTGACAAATTCAACACCCTTTTGTGATAAAAACTCTTAACACATTAAGTATAGAAGGAATGTACCTCAATGCAATAGAGGCCATGTATGACAAGCCCACAGCTAACATCATACTCAACAGGTAAAAATTGAAAGTTTTTCCTGTAAGACCTGGTATGAAGCAAGGATACCCGCTCTCATCACTTCTATTCAATAACGTACTGGAAGCCCTGGCCTGAGCAGTTGGGCAAGAGAAAGAAATATAGCCATCCCAAATGAAAAGAAAGAAGTTAAATTGTTTCTGTTTGCAGATGACATAATCTTACACATAAGAGACCCTAAAGACTCTAACAAAAAACTGATAGAACTAATAAAAGAATTCAGTAAAGTTGCAGGATACAAAATCAACATACAAAATGAGTAGCCTTTCTGCATACTAACAATGAACTATTCAAAAAAGAAATAAAAAAACCCATTTACGAGAGCTACAAAATAAATAAATTACTTAGGAATAAGTATAACCAAGAAGATGAAATACTGTACACTAAAAACTATAAAGCATTGATGAAAGAAATTAAAGAAGACACAAATAAATGGAAAGATATCTCATGTTCATAGATTGGAAGAGTTAATATTGTTAAAATGTCCATATTATCCAAAGTGATCTACAAATTCGATGCAATCTCTTTCAAAATTTCAATGACGTTTTCACAGAAATAGAAGAACATAATCCTAAAATTTGTGTGGAATCATAAAAGATTCTGAATAGTCAAAGCAATCTTGAGCAAAAAGAACAAAGCTGGAGGCATCACACTACTTTATTTCAAAATCTACTACAAAACTATAGTAACCAAAATAGCATGGTATGGGCATAAAAATAGACACATGGACCAATGAAACAGAATAGAGAACCTAAAAATAAATCCACAAATTTATGGCCAATTGATTTTCAACAAAGATGTCAAGAACGCGCAGTGAGGAATGGACAGTCTCTTCAATAAATGGTGTTGGAAAAACTGGATATCGACATGCAGAAGAATTAAATTAGACTCTTCTCCCACAATATGCAAAAATAGACTCAAAATGGATTAAAGACTTAAATAAATACTGCTAATTAAATATATTTACTTATATATGTGTATACATATGTACACACAATAAAATCAGTATGTTGAAGAGATATCAGCATTATCATGTTCATTACAGCACTATTTACAATAGTCAACATATGGAAACAATGTAAATGTTCATCAGTGGATGAATGAGTAAAGAAAATGTGGCTTATATACACAATGGAATACAATTCATCCTTTAAAAAGAAAAAAATTCTGTCATTTGTTACCACATAGATGAATCTGAAGGACATTGTGTTAAATGAAATAAGCCAGACACAGAAAAACAAATGGTGCATGATTTTACTTATATGCAGAATCTAAAAAAAGATGAACTCATACTAGCACAGAGTAAAAAAAAAAAAAAAAAAAGAAAAATGATGGTTGCCAGGGGTTGGAGGGATAGAGGAGGAGATTGGGAAGACATTGCTCAAAGGGTAAAAAATTTCAGTTTATCAGGAGGATTACATTCAAGAGATCTATTTTACAACACGGTAACTATATTTAATAACTGTTTCTCATATACTTGAAAATTGCTAAGGAAATAGATTTTTAAATGATTCGCTACAAAAAAGGATAAGTATGTGAAGTAATACATTGGTTAATTAGCTTAATTAAAGCATTTCATAATATATACATATATCCAAACATCATGTTATGTACAATAAACATATACAATTTTCCTTTGTCATTTAGAATTTTTTTAAAAAGAACTAATCTCATGATTCCAAGAGGTGCTAAGAAGCACTTCTATTCCATTTTGAACTGTGAAAAATTATGATGCCTTTGTTAATTTGAAAAAAAAAGAGTTAATCATTTAGGTTATTAATTTACTAAATGGAAAATCAGAAAAAAGTAAAACTCTCACACCTGCCAAGTCACTCTACTTTTACTAAAATTTGCTTTATAAGTTTGGTCAAAGGTTGGAACACTATAATCAAATGGTTCCAAAATACAGTGGATTAAAGGCAACAGAGGCACATTCCTCTCATGCTATATGGCTGAGGTGAGCAGTCAGGCTAGTGGACAACAGGGACCTGTGCTCAAGGTGTGCACTCCCTCAGGTTCCTTGCAACCTCTGGTTTTGTCAGAGCCCAGTCTTCCTATGTGTGGTAGAAGCTGGGTCACATGAAAGGAGTGTGCAAGCTCAGTGTCTTATCACCTAGATGTTGAAGCAGAACATGTCTCTTCTATACACACTTCACTAGGGAACTTGGTCATGTGACCACATC
The DNA here is from genome assembly GCF_000001405.40 of Homo sapiens. Classification (NCBI taxonomy): domain Eukaryota; kingdom Metazoa; phylum Chordata; class Mammalia; order Primates; family Hominidae; genus Homo; species Homo sapiens. The sequence goes on along the minus strand of NC_000007.14, from coordinate 95,749,677 downwards.
TAGCTGAAAGAGGGGCCAGGAAATGTCATTTCTAGCAGAGCAGCCAGGACCCAGGTGCAAGTCAATCATACAGAAAGGGATCTGTGTTCTGATGGACAACTGGCTGTCTCTGCCACAATGTTTTAATTCCTAAATCTAGAGTCTGGAAAAGTTCCAGATATTACTGATCCAAAAGTAGGGTCAATAACTTGTTTTAAAAATACAATAATAATGCTGAGCATAGAATGTAAGATGGCAGGAAGTTGATAAACACACAGTCTCGTATGCTGTCAAGGATATTAGTTATTTTTAGGAGATATTTAGTAATTAGTCTAATACAACATCTTTAATAGTGGAAGTAGGGGTGGTATAGTAAATTATTAAGCAAGTATTAAATAATTATTAACTGACTTCTTGTTCAGTTGACAAGCACACACACGAGTCCAATAGAATGTAAACAAATGTTCTTTATTTCAGATTAAGCCATATCTTCCAACACTAAATGAATCTAGAGGAGTGTAGGGATTTGGAAGTGGTACCTTTGCTCTCTTCAGTTTGTCCTCACAGCTACTTGGTATGTGTGTGTCCTTTTATCCAGGCTGACAAGACTATCCCAAACGTCCAAGCCTTAGTCAGCCTTGAGGAAAAAATCTTCCTTCTTCTTTACTCAATCAAGAATGTGTAATTTTTTATTTTTCATCCTTTTCCCCAGAATCTGGCTCCTTTTCCTTAATCTGCAGATTGTTACTCATTTGGGGCCAATGGAATCTGCATGAAAACTCAATACCTTCATACTGCCATATTGACCTCATTTAGCGTAACTTTTGTCAGGGTTCTGCTAAGAAGACAAAGAAGAAAAAAGCCCCTTTTCCTTCTCAGCCTGAAGCCCTACTCAAGGCTAAGAAATAAGTGGGTGAGGGATGGGGGAGAGCAGGATATGCGGTGAGCCCCATAGGCTCATCCCGCTCATCACAGGTCAGATAAGATCTTGGTTAGATTTCCCTCTACCGTCTGCAAAGAACTGTTCTTTGGTCCTCTGCTTCAGAATCTGGACCACCCACTCATCTCTAACAACACCGCACCTTCTTCTTAGTGCTTTTTCTCATCACACTGATTAAGTTCACCACGCTTAAATTTTACCAGCTTGAAATTTAAATCTGTGCAAGTGGCCTGGTCTCCCCCTCTTCTTAGGGCGGTAGTTACACCATCCTTATCCAAGGTTGAGGATTCCTGGGCTCCCATGTCACTTTCCTCTTTCTCTTCTTTATCATTCATCTCCAATTTCTCCTCACAGAGAGAAGGGGGGCTCTTTTTCTGCCCCACGTGGAGTATATGAATTCTGTCATGGGTCCTGGTGTCAGTGTACTGAAGCCAGGTGTTTCCCCTCCATATCGTCTCCTTAGGAGCACAAACCTTCCCGACAACAGACCACACCTCAGTCTTTATTTGGTGACATGGCTTCTAATTTGTCTATAACAGGGTTCTCTCCTAGCCGTCAGTTATGTTATGCCTAGCTGAGCGCTTGGCAGTTTTGGGGTGACTATGTATTTGATTTTCAGTCTCATATGGTCCTACAGCAGCACGCAAACTTTAAGATTTTTCAAGTTTTTTTTCAGTGTAGTTATACTATTTATGGGAACGAATCTAGGGAAATAGATTCTTAATGGCACTGTTTTTGTGGATTAGAAAGTATATTTATGTGTTTGTCTTTTTTGTCTGAATGAAGAAATACTAGAGATTTTTGAATAATGCTCTCTTTTGAATAATGAAGTCTAGCCCTAGTTTTTTTTGATGGTCCATAAATTAGAAGATAGTCTAAATGATTTCAGTTCTTTAAATGTATTGACATTTGTTTTGTGGCCCAGTGTATGGTGCATCCTTGTGAATTCCATACTACTTCCAAATAATATATATTCTGCTATTGTTGGTTGTAGTATTATATAAATATCAATTAGATTATGTTCATTGTTAATGTGGTTCAAACCTTCTATATTCTTACTGATTTTTTGTATAATTCCTCCTTCAATTATTGTAATCTCCAACTACAATTTTGAATGTGTCTGTTTCTCCATTCAATATGACCAATTTTTGCTTCATGGATTTTGAGCTCTGTTATTAAGTGCTTGCATATTAATTATTATTATAAATTATTAGTGAATTTATTTATTTATCATTAAGAAATGTCCCTTTTTTTCATAGTAATATGCAGTGTTCTGGATGATTATTTATCTTACATTAATATAGCTACTCCAGCTTACTTGTGATTAATATTTACACCATAAATCTCTTTCTAGCCTTTTGCTTTTAAGTGACACGTCTTTATATCTAAAGTAAGATACTGTAAGAAAATAAAATTACAGACCAATATATTTTATTAACATAGAAACAAGATTCCTTTAAAAAATATTTGCAAGTAGAATCAAGCAATCTGTAAAGATGATGCATCATAAATAAGTTGGGTTTATCTCAAGAATAGAAAGTCGGTTTGACATTTAAAAGTCAATGACTATAATTCATCATATTAACAAACTATAAAAGAAATACTATATGATCTTTCTAATAGATACAGAAAAGCATTTCACAAAAAATTCTACATTCATTCATAATAAAAACACTCAAAATAGTAATAGAGGGAAACTTCCTTCAACCTGATAAAGGGCATCTATGAAAAATCTGTAGTTAACATCATATTTAATGCTGAAAGACTGAATGCCTTCCTCATAATGTGAGAATGGCTTCTATCACCATTTCTATTTAATATTATACTGGAGGTCCTAGCCAGTGCAATAAGACTTAAACAAAATAAAAGGCAAAGAGATTGGAACAGAAAAATTGCCTTTCCTTGCAGAAAACATGATTGCCTATGAATCATCACCTAAAGAATCTACAAAAAAAACCCTACTAGGACTAATACGTGAGTTTAGTGGGGTCACAGGTACAAGGTCAATATACAAAAGTCAACTCTATTTCTATATATTAATAATAGTAATGAACAATTAGAAATAAAAACAAATGTAGTGCCATATATAATAGCGTCAACAAACCTGGAATATTTAAATATACATTTAGCAAAGTATGTTTATAAACTGTATACTAAAAATTACACAGCATTGATGAGAGGAATTAAAGATGGCCTAAATAGATAACTATTTTGTAAAGATTGCAAAGGATCTAGAATAATAGAAACAATTTTGAAAAAGAACAATGTTGGAAGACTTACTTCACTTGAATTCATGACATAAAGTTACAGTAATGAAAATATGATATTGGTGTATGGATAGCTTCGATTAAGGGAACAGAATAGAGAGCAGAAGTAAACTCACAAATATATGGACAATTGATTTTTGACAACATTGTCAAAGTAATTTCATAGAGAAAAAATTCTTGTTAATAAACTGTGCTAGATCAATTAAATATCCTTATGAAGAAAATAAATGAATCCCAACCTTTATTGCACACTGTATAAAAAATAACTGGAAATTGAATATGGACCTAAAAATAAGCAATAACACAAAAAACTTCAAGATAACTTGATTAGCATATGTCTTAAAGAAAATAAATTGATAATTAATTACTTTCTCAGAAGGAAAACTCCTGGTTCAGATGGTTTAATTGGTGAATTCTATCAAACAAATTTTAAGGAAGAAGCAGAAGCAATTTTAAGCAATGTCTTTCTAAAAATAGAGAAGAACAGAGCATGAGATAACCAGTTAGTTACACATCATCTTCCCAAGAGGTAGCAGCACTAAGAGAGTAAAAATGAAAACCATAGAGTGGGTTAAGATATTTACAACACATACAACAGATAAAAGGCTCTTGTTCAATATAGAAAGATTTTTGATAAGGAAAAGACAACAACAACAACAAAAATGGTCAAAAGATTCAAATGAGCATTTCCCAACTAGGATATCCAAATGCTCTTAAACACGAAAATCTGTTCAATTCAGTAGTCTTCAAAGTAAAGCCATAATAAGATAACATTACTTACCACCAGAATGGCTGAAACAGACTGAAAATAACAAATGCAGTCCTGTGCTGCCTTTTGATGTTTGCATGTACAATGATGATTCCATCAGATTATAACACCCTATTTTTACTATATCTCTTCTATGTTTAGATACACAAATACTTAACATTGTCTTGCAATTGCCTGCAGTATTCAGTACAGTAATACGCTGCACAGGTTTGCAGCCTAGGAGCAGTAGGCTGTACCATATAACCTAGATGTGTAGTAGGCTATATTATCTAGATTTGTGCAAGTACATTCCGTGATGTTTGCACAATAACAAAATCACCTAACAATGCATTTCTCAGAATGTATCCCCATTGTTAAGCATCGCATGACCAGATAGGTGAACAAGCAAACAAGAATGCTTGTCACTACCAATGAAAGTGTTAATTGATACAAACACTTTGGAAAACTGGCATTGTTTATTAAAACTCACTATGTTTATCTTATGACCCATCAATTTCCCTACCAAATGTATACGTAACAGAAATGTAGGTAATTGGGCACCAAAGTCATATGCAAGAATATTCACAGTAGCATTATTTGTAATAGTTTGTAATAGCTCCAAACTGGAAATAACCCAAATGTCCGAAAACCATAGAAAGGCTAAATGATCTTTGGCATAGCCATAGAAAGAACTACTACACAGCCATACAAATAAATGAAATACACTATCTATGACAACATAGATTAACATAGCAAACAGCAAGCAAAAGAAACAAGACACAAAGTAATATATGATGTATAATTACTTTATATAAAGTTAAAAGAAATAAGCAAATCTATCCTATGATGATAGAAGTGAGAATAGCAGTTACCTTTTGGGAGAAGAAAAAAGTTAGTGATTAAAAGCCAGCTTCCGAAATGGTGAGTAATGTTTTCTTCCTTTCTTTTTTCTTCCAAAAACAATACGTATTTAATTTTTTAAAATTTTAATATTTTAGAATTCCAACTTTTATTTTAGTTTCAGGGGATACACGTGCAGGTTTGTTACATGGGTATATTACATGATGCTGAGGTTTGGGGTACAAATGATTCCATCACCCAGGTAATGAGCATAGTAGCCAGTGGTTAGCCGCTCTCTCCCTTCCCCCCTAGTTGTCCCCAGTGTCTATTGTTGCCATCTTTATGCCCATGAATACCCAATGTTTAGTTTCCACTTATAAATGAGAACATGTGGTATTTGGTTTTCTGTTCCTCTGTTAATTCACTTAGGAAAATGGCCTCCAGCTTCATCCATGTTGCTGCAAAGGATATGATTTTATTGTCTTTTATGATTACATAGTATTCCATCATGTTTATGTACCAGGTTTGCTTTATCCTATCAACAATTGATGGGCACCTAAATGACTTCCATGTCTTTGCTACTGTGAATAGTGCTGCAATAAACTTACGAGTGCATATGTGTTTTTAGTAGAATAATGTATATTCTTTGGGTATATACCCAGTAATGGAATTTCTGGGTCGAATGGTAGTTCTAAGCTCTTTAAGAAATCTCCATACTGCTTTCCACAGAAACTAAACTAATTTACATTTACACCAGCAGTGTATAAGTGTTCCCTTTTCTCCGCAGCCTCAACAGCATCGGTTGTTTTTTGACTTTTTCATAATAGCCATTCTGATTGGTGTGAGATAGTTTTGATTTTCATTTTTCTAATAATTAGTTATGTTGAGCATTTTTCATATGTTTGTTGGATGCTTGTATACCTATGTTTGAGAAGTATCTGCTAATGTCTTTTGTTCACTTTTTAATGGGGTTATTTGGTTTTTGTTTGTTGAATTATTTAAGTTCCTTGTAGACTCTGGATATTAGATCTTTGTTGGATACATAGTTTATAAATATTTTCTCCCATTTTGTTTACTCTGTTGATAGTTTCTGTTGTTGTGCAGAAACTTTAATTTAATTAGGTACCATTTGTCAATTTTTGATTTTGTTGCAATTGCTTTTGAGGACTTAATCATAAATTATTTCCCATGGCCAATGTCCAGAATGGTGTTTTCTAGGTTTTCTTCTAGGACTCTTATAGTTTGAGATCTTATATTTAAATTTTTAATCCATCTTGAATTAATTTTTGTATATGGTGAAAGGCAGGTGTATTAGTCCTTTCTCACACTGCTATGAAATACCTCCCGAGACTGCATCATTTATGAAGAAAAGAGTTTTAATTGATTCACAGTTCTGTATGACTGAGGAGGCCTCAGGAAACTTACAATTATGGTGGAAGGGGAAGAGGCACGTCTTACATGGCATCAGGCAAGAGAGAGCACGTATAGGAAGTGAAGGGAGAAGAGACCCTTGTAAAACCATCAGATCACGTGAGAACTCACTCACTATCACAAGAATATCATGGGAGAAACCACCCTCATGATCCAGTCACCTCCCAGCAGGTCTCTCCCTCAACACCTGGGGTTACAATTCAAGATGAGAATTTGGGTGGGGACACAAAGCCTGACCATATCAGTAGAGACCCAGTTTCATTATTCTGTATATGGCTAGGCAGCTATTCCAGCACCAATTATTGAATAGAGGGTCCTTTCACCATTGCTTATTTTTGTTGACTCTGTCAAAGATCCAGTGGAAGTAGGTGTGTGACTTTATTTCTGGATTCTCTATTCTGTCTCATTGGCCTGTGTCTATGTTTGTACTAGTACGATGCTGTTTTGGTTACTGTAGCCTTATAGTATAGCTTGAAGATGGGTAATGTGAGGCCTCCAGCTTTGTTCTTTTTGCTTACGGTTGCTTTGGCTATTTGGGCTCTTTTTCATTTCCATATAATTTTTAGAATAGTTTTTTCTAATTTTGTGAAAAACATCATTGATAGTTTGATAGGAATAGCATTGAATCTGTAGATTGCTTTGGGCAGTATGGTCATTTTAATGGTATTGATTCTTCCAAGCCATGAGCATGGAAGTTTTTTCATTTCTTTGTGTCATCTATGATTTCCTTCAGCAGTGTTTCATAGTTATCCTTACAGAAATCTTTCACCTCCTTGATTAGATGTATTCCTAGGTATTGTGTGTGTGTGTTTGTGTGTGTGTGTGGCTACTGTAAATGGGATTGTGTCCTTGATTCTTGATTTAGCTCTCAGCTTGAATGTTATTGGTGTATAGTAATGCTACTGATTTTTGGACATTGATACTGTATCCTGAAATTTTACCAAAATTATTTATCAGTTCTGGGAGCCTTTTGCTGGAGTCTTTAGGGTTTTCTAGGTATACAATTGTATAATCAGTGAATAAAGATAGTTTGACTTCTTCTTTTCATATTTTGATACCTTACATGTCTTTCTCTTGCCTGATTGCTCTGGCTATATGGATTTTAATTTTAATTTTGCTTACATGGTAAATCACATTTATTAATTTGCATTTATTGAATCAACCTTGCATCTCTGGAATGAAGCCAATTTGATCATGCTGAATTAACTTTTCGATGTGCTGCTGGATTCAGTTTGCTAGCATTTTTTTGAGGTTTTTTGCATCTATATTCATCAAGAATATTGGCCTATCTTTTTTTTGTTGTGGCTTTGCCAGGTTTTGGTATCAGGGCAATGCAGGCTTTGTACAATGAGTTAGGAAAGAGTCCCTCTTCCTCAATTTTCTGAAATATCTTCAGTAGGATTGTATGCTCTTCTTTGTATGTCTAATATAATTTGGCTGTAAATCCATCTGGTCCAAGGCTTTTTTGTTTAAGTTTTTTATTACTGATTTAATTTCAGAACTCGACATTGATCTGTTTAGGGTTTTGATTTCTTCCTGATTCAATCTTCGGAGGTTGCGTTTCCAGGAATGTATCTATTTCCTTTAGATTTTCTAGTTTGTATACATAGAGGTGTTCAAAATAGTCTCTGAGAATCTTTTGTATTTCTGTGGCATTGGTTGTCATGTCACCTTTGTCATTTCAGATTGTGATAATTTGGATCTTCTCTCTTTTTTCTTTATTAATCTAGCTAGTTGTCTATGGATCTTGCTTACCCTCTCAAAAAACCAACTTTTGGTTTCACGGATTCTTTGTATGGATTTTGGGGTCTCGGTTTCATTCAGTTCTGCTCTGATTTTAGTTATTTATTTTCTTCTGCTAGTTTTGAAGTTAGTTTGTTCTTGTTTTTCTGATTTTTCTAAATGTGACATTAGATTATTTGTTTGAGCTCTTCCTAACTTTTTGAGCTAGGTGTTTATTGCTATAAAGTTTCCTCCTAGCATGTCATTGTATGGTTTTGGGAGATCATCTCAGTATTGATTTCTATTTTTATTGTTACTCTACTCTGGTTTGAGAGTATGGTTGGTACGAGTTCTATTTTTTAAAAATTTATTGACACTTGCTTTGTGGCTGAGAATGTTATTGATCTTGGAGTATGTTCCATGTGCAGGCAAGAAGAATGTACATTCTGTGGTTGATGGTGTTTTCTATAGATGGCTATTAGATCCGGTTGGTCAAGTGTCTAATTCAAGTACAGAATTTGTTTTCTGCCTTAATGATCTGTCTAACACTGTTCATGGGGTGTTGAAATCTCCAGCTATTATTGTGCGGTTTTTAAAACTCTTCTCATAGGTCTAGAAGTGGTTATATTATGAATCTGCATGCTCTAATGTTGGATGTATATATTTAGAATAGTTAAGACTTCTTGTTGAATTGAACCCTTTCTAATTATGTAATGCCCTTCTTTGTCCTATTTACTGTTATTGGTTTAAAATCTGCTTCATCTGATATAAGAATAGTGACCCATTGGCCAGGCGCAGTGGCTCTCGCCTGTAATCCCAGCACTTTGGGAGGCCGAGGCGGGCAGATCACCTGAGGTCGGGATCAGCCTGACCAACATGGGGAAACCCCGTCTCTACTAAAAACACAAAAAATTAGCTGGGCATGGTGGTGCATGCCTGTAATTCCAGCTTCTTGGGAGGCTGAGGCAGGAGAATCACTTGAACTCAGGAAGCGGAGGTTGCAGTGAGCCGAGATTGTGCCATTGCACTCCAGCCTGGGCAACAAGAGCGAAACTCTGTCTCAAAAATAAATAACTAAATAAATAAAAAAAAAGAATAGTGACCCATTATATATTTTTTTGTTTATCATTTGCTTGCTACATCTTTCTCCAGCCCTTTACTTTGAGCTTATGGGTGTGAGAGATGGGTCTCTCAAAGACAGTAGATGAATGGCTCTTGTTTTTGTCTGACTTGCAACCCTTTGCCTTTAAGTGCAATCTTTTGCCTTACATTTAAGGCTAATATTGAAATGTGAGGTCTTGATCCTATCATGAAATTATTACTTGGTTGTTTTGTAATTTCTATTGTGTGGTTGCTTTAAAGTGTCTGTGGGCTGTGTACTTAATTGTGTTTTTGTGGTAGCAGATATTGTGCTTTTGTTTCCATATTTAGTACTACCTTAAGGATCTCTTATAAGGCCAGTCTACTGGTAACAAATTTCCTTAGCACTTGCTTGTCTGGCAAAAGATTTTGTTTCTCCTTTGCTTATGAAGCTTATTTCAGTGGGATATGAAATTCTTGGGATCCCCATTCTTTAAAAGTGCTGAAAATGGGCCCCCAGTCTCTCCTGGCTTGCAAGGTTTCTGCTGAGAAGTCCACTGTTAGCTTGATGGGGCTCCCTTTGTACATGATCTGGCCTTTTTCTGCAGCTGCGTTTAAGATATTTTTATTTAGTGTTGACATTGGACATTCTGGTGACTATATGCCTTGGAGATGTTCATTTTGTATAGATCTGGCAGGTGTTCTCTGGATTTCTGGTATCTGGATGTCTACCTCTTGAGCAAGATTAGAGAAATTTTCTTGAATTATTCCCTTAAATTTGTTTTCAAGGTTTTATTTTTTCTCTTTCTCTCTCAGGAATGTCAATAATTTGTAGGTTTTGTTGCTTTACATAATCCCACATTTCTCAAGACGTTTTTCATTTTTCCTAATTCTTTCTTTTTATTTTTGTCTGACTTGGTTAGTTCAAAAGACCAGTCTTTAAGGAGTGAAATTTTTTCTTCTGCTTGCTCTAGTCTATTGATAAAGCTATTAATTTTGCTTTAAAATTTCTTATGCAAGTTTTTCAATTCCAGAAGCTCTGGTTGGTTTCTTTTTAAGGTGTTTATTGCTTCCTTAATTTCCTGGATTCATTTAGAAGTTTCTTTGTGTAGATTTTCAATCAGGTCTCGGGTCTCATTGAGCTTCTTTGCAATCCATGTTTTGAATTTTTTATTTGTCATTTCTAAGTTTCTATTTTGGTTAGGGACCATTGCTGGAGAGCTAGTGTAATCCTTTGGTCTTGTAACTATATTCATATATTTCATAGCGCCAGAATTTTTATGCTGATTTCTTCTCATCTGGAGATGCTGGCATTTCTAATTGTTGTAATTATTTTCTTGTGGGTAGGATATTTTCTTTTTCTTTCTTTCCTATATTATTGTGGAGGGTTTTCTTCTTTCCTTTTCCCTTTTCCCCTCTCCCTGGGGGATATGAATGTAGAAAATGTTGGTCAAGGTCTTTTGCCTTCACTTCTATAGCCCTATGTGTTTCTTTCAGCAGATTTTATATTGAGCTGTGCAGTTTGACCTACAAGCCAGTAGATGATTCTTACAGGTAACAGCTGGCTGCAGTCAATGTGGCTGGGTATATACTTGATCTTGGTTTACCAGGAGAGGCTCTCTGTTGCCTCAGGCAATGGACTGAACTGTGGAGTACACAGTAGTGTGAGCTCCCTGCTCAGCCCCAGGAAGGTAGGGGAAAAGATGGCTGAGGACAGACTGGGCAGGCCCACCTACAAGTCCCTTGATGGCAGGCACAAACACCAGTTCTGAGGGAGAATTCAGTGCATAGCCACCAAGCACCCAGAAGTGTGCCTTGGCATGGAGCTGGGAAAGCTCCTTGGCCCCAAGTTCACCACACAGGAAGGAGGTACAACCTAAACTCCTAATCTAGGAAAGTGGGTGCTCCAGAATCCTAAAGATCAGCCTGGGCACGGATTGTCGAGGGACCCACTGCACCACAATCTCTACACAGGAAGGGTGGTGCAGCCCAGGCTGCTAATCAAGGTTATTCAGTGCTCTGACTGCCTGGAGATCTGCCTGGATGTGGCGCAGAGAGGGCCCTACTGCACCATGATCTTTGTGCAGGAAGTAGGGGTGACTTAGGCTGCTGGACCAGGCAAGTGGGTGCTCCTACTATACAGAGATCTGCCTGAGTGTGCAATTGAGAAGGGCTCCTTGCATGCTGATCACTGCACAAGAAGGCTGGAGTGAGTCAGGATGCCAATCTGGGCAAGCAGGTGCTCCAAATGACTGGAGATCTACCAGCATGTGGACTGGAGAGGGCCCTGCTGCACCATATTCGTTGTGCAGGAAGGGTGGGTGACTCAGGCTGCTGAACCAGGAGAGCAGGTGCTCCTACTGCCTGGAGATCTGCCTGGGTGTGCAGCTGAGAGGTGCCCCCTACATGCCAATGTCTGCACAGGAAGGGTGGGGTGACTGGTGCTGGGTGAGCAGGTGCTCTGAATGTCATGAGTTCTGCCTAGGCATAGAGTGGAGAGGGCCTGCTTTACCCCGATCTCTTCACAGAAAGGGTGGGGTGACTGAGGCTTCTGGTCCAGGAAAGTATGTACTCTAAATTCCTGGAGTTCTGCCTAGGAGTGGATCAGAGAGGCCCCCCTGCACCACAATTTCAGGGGAGCAGGCTGGGGCACCCAGCAATGACACATGCAGAACAGTGCCAGGTTGTCAAGCTGGCCCCGGCTGCAAGTCTCCTCAGCCAGAAGAAACCACAGCTGTAGCAGCTCTCCTCCTGTCCCAGGCTTGCAATTAGGGAGAGTGTGCAATTCCAGCCATACTGCTAAGGTGCTTTCCACAATTATGGCTTTGGAGGTCCCTACTCTCCTCAAGAGCAAGCCCTCTAGTCTTTGGCTTGAGAATAAAATGCCTGCAGAGCCACACTTCTGGGTCATCAAAGAATGACTGACTTTATATGCACCCAGATTAAAACTGGCATGATGTTCTTGGTCCCAGTTCTGGGAAAATGCCTGCAGCTTTTCCCGGTGTCTTTCCCTCACAGCATCTCCAAGACTCTCCCCAAATTACCTCAAGGGCTTGGGAGAAGCAAAGTGCTATCCCTAGGCCTGGGTTGCTTGGATCTCCAATAGAATGGTGAGTCACAGAGGGAGGCTCTCTGCCTCTCTCACATACTGAGGCTTCACTCACTTTTATCACCTAGATGCCACCACAGGGCTAACTGCCCACATACTCCTCCCTGGGATCTGGGATGTCCTTAATGATTCTGGTGGATTCCCATATTCCTTCTTGAATTAAAGCTCACAGAGAGATTTGGAATGAGTAGATGGAGCAAGATGACCAAATCATCCAGCAATCATCCCTCCCACAAGAACACCAAATTGAACAGCTATGCACACAAAAAAGCACCTTCATAAGAATCAAAACACCAGGTGAGCAATCACAGTGCCTGGTTTTAACATCATATTAAGGAAAGATGCACTGAGAGGGTAGGAAAGACACTCTTGAAATGCCTATCCACCCCTCCCTAATCACCTGGTAGCAGCTATATAGTATGGAGAGAAAATTTGTGCCCTTGGGGGAAGGAGAACCCAGTGACTGTGGGACTTTGCATTGCAACTCAAATTTCTCTGTCACGGAGGAAAGCAACATGGGGCAGAATTCAGCCAGCACCCACGAGGGAGCATTCAGATCTGCCTTACCCCAGAGGCAAGTCACCTGTTTTAGTGGTCAGAACCCGAGTTCCAGCAAGCCCTTCCACCATGGGCTAAAGTGCTCTGAGGTCCTAAATAAACTTCAAAGGCAGTCTAGGCAACGAGGACTCCAATTCCTGGCTAAGTCCTGGTTGGTGCTGTGTTGGGCTGGGCTCAAAGCCAGAGGATTTGGGTGCACACAACCTAGTGAGATATCAGCTGGAGTGGCCAAGGGAGTACTGTTGTCACCCCTTTCCCAACCCTGGGCAGCTTAGCTCACAACTCTGGGAGAGACTCCTTCCCTCTGCTTGAATAGAGGAGAGGGGAAAGTAAAGAGGACTTTGCTTGTAGCTGGGGTACAAATTCAGCCACAGTGGAGTAGGGCACCCCAAATCCTCTGGCTCCTGGGGTTCTCAATTCTAGGCCTAGGCTCCTGGATGGCATTTCTGGACTTGCCCTAGGCCAGAGCAGAGCCCACTGCCCTGAAGGGAGAGACCTAGGTCTGGCAGCATTCACCACAAGCAGACTGAAGAGCCCTTGGGGCTTGAATGAACATCAGCAGTAGCCAGGCAGTACTTGCTGTGAGCCTGGGGTGGTGGTAGCCATGGGGAGAGACTCCTCTGCTTGAGGAAAAGGGAGGAAAGAGGGAAAAATACTTTGTCTTGCAGCTTGGGTGCTAGCTCAGCCACAGTAGAATAGAGCACCAGTTAGATTCTTAAGGTTTCCCCCTCCAGGCCCTGGCTCCCAGACCAGCATCTCTGAACCTGAGTGGGGCTAGAGCAACTCACTGCACTGAAGGGGGAAGAACACAAGCTTGGTTGGATTTGCCACTGATGACTGCAGAGCCCTTGGGCCTTGAGTGAACATAAGTGGTAGCCAGGCAGTGATGACAGTAGGCTTTGGGTGAGACCCAGAGCTGCCATACAATCCAGCAATCCCACTCCTAGGTATATACCCAAAAGAAAGGAAATCTGTCTATCTAAAAAATATCTGCACTCCCATGTTAATTCCAGCACTATTCACAATAGCCAAGATTTGGAGACAACCTAAGTGTCCATCAACAGACAAATGGGCCAGGCACAGTGGCTCACTTCTGTAATCCCAGCACTTTGGGAAGCCAAGGGGAGCAGATTGCTTGAGCCCAGGTATTTGGAGTTAGCCTGGGCAACATAGTGAGACCCCATCTCTAAAAATAAAATTAAAAATTAAAAAAATTAGCCAGGCATGGTGGCATGAGTCTGTGGTTTTAGCTTCTCAGCAGGCTGATGTAGGAGGATTGCTTGAGCCTGGAAGTTTGAAGCTCCTGTGAGCCATGAACATGCCTAGGGGACAGAGTGAGATCCTGTCTGAAAAACAAACAAAAAGCCAAACAGAGTAATGGAAAAAGAAAATGTGGTACATATACACAATGGAGTACTGTTTAGCTATTAAAGGGAATGAGATTTTGTTATTTGCAACATGGATGGAAGACATTATGTTATGTTAAATAAGCCAAGCAAAGAAAGGCAAACTTCACATGCCCTCATTTATTTGTGGAAGCTCAAAATTCAAACAATTGAATTGATGGAGATAGAGAGTAGAATGATGGTTACTAGAGGCTGAGAAAGGTGGGGTTGGGGTAAGTGGGGATGGTTAATAGGCAAAAGAATATCGTTGGAATGAATAAGATCTAGTATTTGATAGCACAACAGGGTGACTGCAGTCAACAGTAATTTATCGTACATTTAAAAATAACTAAAAGAGTATAACTGGATTCTTTATAGCACAAAAAAGTATAAGTGCTTGAGGTGATGGATACCCCATTGACCCTGATGTGATTATTCTGCATTTTATGCCGGTATCAAAATATCTCATGTACCCCCAATATATATACACCTACTATGTACCCACAAAAAATAAAAAGCTCAAATGTTGAGCTTTATGCACTATCTTGCTATTTCCACATGTCTGAGGCACACTAAAAGTGTCTAACCCACCATCTGGGTATGCTCAAATATAGTTGAAAGAATATACAGACACTTGCCTTTATATAGCTTCTATCATATAGTTGCCATCAGAATTTTTCCTTTGTCACTTTCTCTCCTGTGTATATAAGATGAAATCACAAGTAACTTCCTCACTGATGCAGTCTGGTCAGCCTTTAGGCAGGGGCAAGGAGAGCTGCTGGGTTCTCCTCAGAGTCTAGCACTCTCCATTCCAGTACAGCTGAGGTGCCATTTTTGTGGTGGAGAGGGAAACTTTCTTTACAGAATTTTTTTCAATGTCACCATGTCACTAGACTTGGGACCTTCCAGATTCGATTCCCTCCCATTTGGTGCTCTCTGTCTGCTCCCTCCTCTTCCAAATCCACTGAATCCAAAACTTATAATGTTGTAATTATTGATCTGGGTGGTGGTTATACAAGAGTGTTTACGCTGAGATGATTTATTGAGTTCTGCCCTTATGGTCTGTGCAATGCTCTGTGTACATTTTTAAAGTGTAAAATGAAAATATAAAATTGTTAGCAGTTGCTAATTATGGTGGTGAGAACATATGTGTTTGTCATATTATTCTTTGTACTTTTCTATATCTTTTAAAGTTGCCAAAAGGAAAATTAAAACTCTCTTTCTATATATATTTCCAGATATATGTGGATAACTTTTTAGGAAAATATAATTTTTATGTGACCTTTGTAGCAATAAAAATATAAACAGCCCATATGCCTTAGAAGAAACAGAGACATTTTCAAAGTGCCCTCACAAAGAAAGCATCCACCCCAGATGATTCCTCTAGAAAATTTCACAAAATGTTAAAGATTAGATAGTCCCAATACCACCTAAACTACTACTAAACATAGAAAAGTAAGTAAACTTTTACCTTCTTAATGAAGTAAGTATAATGGGTGATAACTAAGCCTCTTACATATTGTCTACTTTTTTAAATTAGTGTCCTGAATATATTAAGTTCTTGAACATAAATTAATTGTAATTTTCAATTCCCTGATAATTCCTTTTAAAAAAAGCTTTAAAATTGACAGACAAAGTTGAATGTATCTACCACATACAACATGATGTTTTAAATTATATATACATTGTGAAATGACTAAATCTAGCTAATTAACATATATGCATTATGTTACATAGTTATTATTTTTGTGGTGAGAACACTTTACATCCACTCTCAGCATTTTTCAAGAATGCAATATATTATTAACTATAGTCACTATGTTGTACAATAAAGCTCTTGAATTTATTCCTCCTATCTAACTAAAATTTTGTGTCCTTTGACTAATTCCTTGTTCCCACCCCACCCCAAGTCTGATAATTCTAACATCTGTGTCATAGCTGAGTCTGGTTCTAATGAATGCCTGTCACTGCCACTGTGATTTTTTCTTGCCTTTTGTCATGCCTTATAATTTTCTTTGGAAAGCTAGACATGTTGTATTGGGTTATAGGATCTGGAGTAAACTGACCTTCAGTGTGTGGATTTGGGATTTGTGTTCATCTGGCTAGGAGCTGAGCTATGTTTAATGCTTGCTGTAACTATAGGTGCCAGAGCCTTTGAGTTCCTTTAGTTTCCTTGTTTTTGTATTCCCTTTGCACTTTGGGCTTCCCAAAGTACTCTTCCTCAGAAAGTCTGTGTCTTGTAGCTCCTAACAATTGCCGTCTGCTGTTATTCTACCTCAGCCCTGTTGGTAGGGTGGTAACGTGTAGGGAGGGGAAGCCTTCTATAATCTTATGATTAAATCTCAGTCTTTTAGTGGATGTATGTCTCAAAGCTATGACTTTCACAAGTACTTCTCTAGTGGTAAGGCTTCTTTTTTCCCTCTGCTCCTTACTTCCTTCTCTGGCTATGATGTTCTAGTTTATTTCCCTGAAGCCCAGCCCCCTTAGGTAAGGCAAGAAGGCTGAAGGAAGAATGCCCTTTTCTTAGATGGGATGAGGCTCTGGCAAATTCCCTCCCCTGCAGAGAACTATCTTGTGATGGAGAAGCATGTGAGGATAATTCACAACGAAGAGAATCTTTCCTGGATCTTTGCTATGAGAACCTGATGAAGTTCTGGAGGTAAAACCAATGACAGTGTAGGACACCCCCTAAGACTTTGGCCCCCAAGAGATTTTCACTATTACACTAGTCCACACTCAGCCTCTAGCAATGAGTCAAAATTATCATTTAAGTGTTTCTGACTTTAACGGCCTCTGCTTCACCTAAGCAGATCTCAGCTGTGACTCCCCAGATACACTTGTCTCTCCAGATGTTGGGGTGGCAGTTTGCCACCCATGGTCTTCACTCTAGATGGGTCCAGGAAAAGTGAATGATTTCCAGTGTGTCCGATTTTTTTCTTGAGTTAAGAATGGGGGGCCGGGCGCGGTGGCTCACGCCTGTAATCCCAGCACTTTGGGAGGCCGAGGCGGGTGGATCATGAGGTCAGGAGATCGAGACCATCCTGGCTAACAAGGTGAAACCCCGTCTCTACTAAAAATACAAAAAATTAGCCGGGCGCGGTGGCGGGCGCCTGTAGTCCCAGCTACTCGGGAGGCTGAGGCAGGAGAATGGCGTGAACCCGGGAAGCGGAGCTTGCAGTGAGCCGAGATTGCGCCACTGCAGTCCGCAGTCCGACCTGGGCGACAGAGCGAGACTCCGTCTCAAAAAAAAAAAAAAAAAAAAAGAATGGGAGTGACAACCTCCACGCTCTTTACTTGGTATAGCTAAACCAGAAGTCTCAAAAAGTTATGACAAAAACCTGCAAAATCAACCTCAATGCGCAAGAAAGGAAATAAGAAAAATAAGGGCAGAAATTAGTGAAGTAGACAATGAGTCTCTGACAACTAAAATCAACAAAAAAGGTGGTTTGTTGAAAATTGATAACATCTAATAAGACTAATCAATAAAAGGGAGAAGGCACAAATATAAGAGTATCAGAGCTGGAAAAGGTGGCGTCACTGGAGATTTTCAAGGCAATATAACAGTAAATAAGACTATATCAACATATTAGAAACAATTTTATGCCAATACATATGAACATATAGAAGATATGACCATACTTTTATTAAATACGACTTAACAAAATGGACAGGAGAAATAGATATCTAAACAGACCTACATGGTTAAATATTTACAATTTCTATAATGCAAACTAAATATTAAAGAAACTAAATCACTAATATAAAACCTTCCCCACAAAGAAAACTCCAAACTCTGACAGATATCTAAACAAATTCTGTTTTTAAAAAACAAATAATAAATAGCTTCAATATTTTATAAGTTTTTTCAGTGACATGCAATTAGAGGAGGAAGAATGCATGTCAGATATTGGGCAGCCAGTGGCACGGACAGGATTGACATTTGACAGTCATCTTTGGTTGCCCAGCAAACAGATCCCATTTATATTGTTAAAACCAAACAAGACCGGGCACAGTGGCTCATGCCTGTAATCCCAGCACTTTGGAAGGCTGAAGTGGAAGGATTGCTTAAACCTGGAGTTTGAGACCAGCCTAGGCAACAAAGAGAAACTCAAAAAATAGAAAATAATTAGCTCGGCATGGTGGCACGTACCTATGGTGCCAGCTACTCAGGAGGCTGAGGTGAGGGGATCACTTGAGCCCTGGAGTTTAAGGCTGCAGTGAGCTGTGTTTGCACCACTGCACTCCAGCCTAGGCAACAGAATGAGACCCTCATCTCTAAAAAAATTTAAAAATTTAAATAATAAATAAATAAAAACAAAACGCCACAGCACATGAGTGTTTGTGAGAAGCAGAAATTTAATCCCACTATGAAAATTTAAAGGACACCAGATGTTCTCCTCCTTAACTGGGATTTTGAATGTGGAAGAAGAAACCTGAAAACACAGAGAAAGTTAGAGATAGTTCATGGTGGCGGAGTCAATATGGCACCAGGCACTGGAGTGGGATTCTAACAGATATTCCTGTGGCACAACAGTGGATATGCTGTCTGCTTCCCATACTCCCTGGAGTCTGCCCATTATCTGAGCTAAGGTCTTTAACTTTCCTGTCAAACCTGTGAGCTGCATAATAGCATTGTAATACATTCATTTTCTGGTTAGTTTAGCCAGAGTTCAATGGTACAATCGTCATACATATCCTTAGTACCCAGAGGTGATGTAGCTGAGAAAGTATTAGCTCTTTCCACAACCCGTTTATGAGGTATAACAGAACCTTCTGGAAACCCTCATTAGTTAGTGTTAGTTTCTGCCATTTCTGGAGCAAGGTTCTGGCCTTTAGAAAAGACTCATTTTTTCCTTACTTGAAGCCTCCACTATTTTCTGTCACCTTGAATCTTTCCACTGGGCTCTTTGCCAGACTTCCAGTCTCATGTGGAATGACTGTGAAAGTTTTAGGTTACATAACTCATGGCTGCCGATAGGTAGTACAGCCTTCAGGATGTAAGTCTTTTTCATCCCAAATGACAAGAGACTTGAGACTGGTAATGCAATGAAACATTTACATTTCTGTTTCTCAGGCCTGACCAATCATAAATGCAAAGATGATAGTTTCTAGAGCTGCTATCCATTGCTGCCTATTTATGCTCAATTTAGCAGTGGTAAGGACACTAGTGAGCATTTTATGTTTGTCTATACTATTAGGTCGGTGCAAAAGTAATTGCGATTTTTGCCATTAATTTTAATGGCAAACTTTTAACGGCAAAGTTACTGGCATTAACTTTTAATGGCAAAAACTGCAATCACTTTTGCACAAACCTAGTATAAAAGAGTACTGCATTTCATATAAATCTGAAAATTTAACCCACATATCCTTCTTGACAGCTAAGAATTTTAATTTATGATCTCATTGTCAGACTGAATCAACCTAACTGATGCTATGGTCTCCTTTACTTGGGGGTACTCCTGTTATGATACCACTTCAAGCCTTCCAAGTTGAAATTTATGTGAAATATTATGAGGGCTGAGAAAATCCAATATCCAACACGAGTTCTCAGTATGGTTGCTCACAGGTTTCTTCCCACCTCTCTCTCTCTTAAAGGATCCATAGGACTTCAACACTCTAACCTCAGAAATATTTCCAGGCTGTGGGCTCATCCCCAGTTAAGACACAATGTGTTCCTCATATGTCACAAAGTTGCAGCAGTGCCAACCCTTACAAGGTCAGTTCCAACCCTGCCTTCTTCAGTAGTCTATATACTCTACTCTCCAACATCCTTCTGAGGATATCAGTACTTCCAAACACTTCATTTCTTTCTTCTGCTGAGGGACCTTGGAAATACCCTGAGTCACTGTCTGAGACTGGAAAAATCCTACCAGGCATGATATCTTTCTTCTCATTATTATCTGTATTCATGAGTGGCTGACAACAAACACATATAACACCACTGATTCTAATCTGACAATCTAAATTTGTGTTTTCAATATTCTAAATTAAAAGTACAATTTACTGGTTAAACTTTTGTTCAGTTCATGATAGATTAAAAACAAATCCTAATTTTTCCAGAGTTCATGCATACCGTGATGATCAACTATACCTAAGGGCTCTAAGACATGATTTTTCTGGCCTTAATTAATAATTTTTAAATATGGTCTCCAAAATAATTTATCTCAGGATGATTTTTTTCCAATCTTTTTACTTTTTTGAGCCCGAGTCTCACTATGTTGCCCAGGCGGGAGTGCAGTGGCAAAATCCTGGCTCACTGTAGCTTCGACCTTCCAGGCTCAAGCAATCCTCCCACCTCAACCTCCCAGGTAGCTAGGACTACAGGCACACACCACCATTCCTGGCTGATTTATTTTATTTTATTTTTATTTTTTGTAGAGATGGGGCCTTCCTATGTTGCCCAGGCTAGTCTTGAACTCCTGGGCTCAAGCGAACCTCCTGCTGTGGCCTCCACAAAGTGTCAGGCATGAACCACCACGCCTGACCCTTTTTTCTTTTCATTTCTTTTTAGTTGACAAATAATAATTGTTTATATTTATTGGGTAAATATTTTTATGTCAACTTTTATTTTAGATTCAGAGGGTATATTGCAGGTTTTTCATGTGAGTATATTGTGTGACACTGAGATTTCTGGGGTACAAATTATCCTATCACTGAAGCAGTGAACATAGTACATTGGGCAAACTTTGATGTTATGCTACATGTACACTTAGTGGAGTGATTAAATCAGACTAATTAACAAATCCACCAAGTCACATATTTGTTATTTCTTTGTGGTGAGAACATTCACAATTTTTTTTATTTTAACAATTTTGAAATATACAATATATTACCATTAACTATATTTCACCATACTGTGTAATAGATCACTGGAATTGATTCATCCTGTCTAACTGAAAACTTTGTATCCTTTGACTAACATCTCTCCTTTCCCTATCTACTCTCCTTCCACACTTATCCCCTGGGAACCATCATCCTACTCTCTATCTCTATGAGACCAACTTCTATAGGTTTCACATATAAATGAGTTCGTATAGTATTTGTCTTTCTATGCCTGACTTTTTTCACTTAGCATAATGTCCTCTACATTCATCTATGCTGTTACAAATGACAGAATTTCCTTTTTTAATGAAATAGTGAATAGTATTCCATTGTGTATATACACCACATTTTAAAAATCAGTTTACCATTGATAGACACTTAGATTGATTTCATATCTTAGCTATTGTGAATAAAGTTGCAATGATCATGAAAGTGCAGGCATCTCTTTCACACACTGATTTCAATTCCTTTGGATATATATTCAAAATGATTTTCTAAAATGTATTCCCTATTGTTTTGCCCCTTCTGCAAAGTAATAAACTTTTTCTCCTAGATTATTGATTTACCTTTTGTAATTCACTATGTGCTTCAGGCCCTGAGGAATCACCAAGAACACATTAAACTAATGTTGGAACCTCCTCCCCAGCTTCCCAGCTTCTATCTCACCTTCCTGACAAGGGGCACTAGTACACAAAGCATGTTCTGAGATTATGGCGAGCAACCATAAGAGGCTAACACGCAATTACACCTGTCTTGACCTAGGTTTCTCAAATAGCAGAGCCTGAGAAAAAAGCTCATGTGCCAATATCTTATTAAAGAGTGTGATCCATGGAGCAAGCATGAGAAACAATGGTAGTGAAGCAGGGAAGGCCAGAACAATGATGTGTTATGAAGTTGGCTGTCCATATGTGTGACTGATTGCTTAATCCCATGGGATCACTGAAATTATGAAATTTATCATAATCTAATCTAACTTAAAAATAAATATTGAATTCTTAGGGCATATGTTTTCTGACCACAATGATATTAAATTAAAACTCAATAACAAAAAAATGGAAACAACTCAAATGTCATTCAGTGGGTAAATGGCTGAGCAAACTGCAGCACATTCATACCATGAAATACTATTCAGCAGTAAAATGAAACAAATTATTGGTACACACAACATCTCAGCTGAATCTCTAGATAATTACACTGAGTCAGAAAAAATCTCCAATTTTACATTCCATGTGATTCAATTTATGTAGTGTTCTTAAAAGAACAAAATTATAGAAATGGAAAACAGATTAGTGGGTGTCAGGGGATAAAGCATCTGGGAGTTCCGGAGAAATTAATGTGACTATAAGAAAGCAACATGAGGGATCCTTGTGATGATGGAAATCTTCCGTAACTTGACTGTATGAATGTCAATGTTTTGGTTGCGATATTGTACTATAGTTTTATTAGGTATTATCATTGGGGGATAAAAGGTACACAGTATCTCTCTGTATTTCTTTATGCCTGTCTATGGATCTACAATTATCTCAAAAGAAAAAAATGTTCAATTTTTAAGATGAAAGAAGAGCCCTGTCCACAATTTATAGGATTATCATTATTCCAGTATCATTCAAGTGCCATAAGCAGAGTGTAACCTACAATCTTATTTGCCACCTGTATCTCACTGCATCAAACCACAGGTGAGAACTTCGGTAATTGAAATGCCAGAGGTTATGCCATGCTGCTGCATGACTTCAGGAATGGGTCCCTTATGGCCATCTGACTTGTGAGCAAACCAGTTTCAGAATCCCATCCTGAAGCCTACTCTAAAGGTCCACTACAAGTACTATAGACAGGTTCCCCAATATGCAGAGCCTGAGACAAAGCTCAAACTCCAACACTTTATTGGCAGCTATGATCTAGGAAGTAAAGGTAAGAGATAGTGAAAGCAAAGCAGGAAAGCATAGAAAGCTAATACAAAGACGGGTTGTCAAGTTGGCTACCACCATGGATGACTGGTTATGTGATAGTCAGAATTCTAAAGATCTCCCCGAAGATACTCATCACCTGGTTATTTAACCAAACTCAAATATAGGCACTACTATGAAAGGGCTTTGCAGATGTAATTAAGGTGACTAAAAAGCTGATCTTAAAATAGGGAGATTATCTGAAATTAATAGATGAGCCAGCCCAATCTAATCACATATGCTCTTAGAGGCAGAGAACTTCCCTAACTGGAGACAAGAGCAGTCTTGGAGACATGGCATGGATTCTTCCAGCAACACAAATAAGCTTGGAATTGGATTCTCCTCAGAGCATTCAGCAAAGAATCTAAGCCAGCAGATACCTTGACTTTAGTCTTCTGAAACCCAGAGCAGAGAAACCCATCAAGCCAACCTAGACTTGTGACCTAAAGTACTGGAGATAAAAAATTTGCATTATTCTAAGTCACTAAGTTTGTGGCAATTTGTTACAGCAGCAACAGAAAATGAATACAGCTTGATGCCTAAAAGTAACTCAGGACTGTACATCCAGGGAAAGAAAGGAGTGAAAATTTACTCATTGACTCTCACCTCACATTAGTGAAGGTTATTGCACAGGGCAATAACTGCCTTGATTATTCAGGGTTCTTCAGAGAACACACCACATGCACACACACACACACACACACACACTCACACACACATCTCTCTAGGTAGACGGAGAGAGAGAGAGATTTATTTTGAGGAATTGACTCAGGCAATTGGGAAGCTGGAAAGTCCAAAATCCCAGGGAAGACTTAATGCTTCAGTTTGAGTCCAAAGTTTATCTGCTGGCAGAATTCCCTCTTTTATGGGGGAGGTTAGTTTTTTTCTATTAAGGTCTTCAACTGATTGGATGATACCCTCCCTCATTATGGAAGGCAATCTCCTTTACTCAAAGTCTACAGATTTAAACGCTAACCTTATCTTAAACAGTATCTTCACAGAAACAGAATTTTACGTTGTGTGACCAGATATCTGGATACAGTGGCCTGGGCAAGTTAACACATATAATTAACCATCACACTGACCTACGTTTTTGAGTTATACATACATGAGTGCTCAGCAGTTTCCCATCCAGTTTACTATGATAATAGACCAATTAAAAAAAGCCTTGGGCAGGAAATAATCCAGTGTGAGGGGCAGGCCTGAGGCAAAGTGCTGCCAGGCTGCACATAAAGGAGCTGGCCAAAATGCAAGGTTGTTTTCATGCTCATCCCATAAAAAGAAAGACCAAGGAGCAGAGAAAGGAACAGCTTCATTTTTCTGGATCCCAGACCTACGGCACATCCAGCTGTGACTCTAATTTGCACAAAGGCACCATATGTGCTAGCAGCAGTCCAACTGAGGTGGCATAATGAAGGTCAGTGGGGTCAAGAAGGCAAGATTTGTCTGAGAGAGTTAGCAGAGAGATACCAGAGCAACAAGGCTGATGATGGAACATGGCAGAAGAGAAACCTGAGGCAAGAGGTGCCATCTTTTGGCCTTGGTGTGAAGTACAAAATAAAGATAATGATAAAAAGCTGGTCTCCTTAAAAAGAGTGGCTGCTTGTAGCCTGGGATGCTTTCTTCCACCACATCCACTTCTCTCAATAGATGAGTTGTGAGGTTGGGCAGATTCCCTAGGTACTCTGAGGCATTTAATTTCTTGTTTTACTTTGAATCTCAGCGTGTTCCATTCTGAGAGGTTATTTTCCTCTCTTCTTTGACACAACCTCACACATCTACATCCAGACCCATGGACTGGGTCCTGAAATCTGGAAATCCCCAGGCTAGAGGGACAGTATCTTTGGAAGATAGATCATCCTCTCCTGTGTGGTGGTGGGAGGCAGTCCATGGCTTCCCATCCTGAACCCCACCCTCATCTGAAGAATCACAGGGCACCAACCCTCAAGTATTGCTAACTCCCTGTCTTCTCTCATTTGCTATTCTGGATCCACCACTTACTGGCTGGGTGATCTTGGGCCAATTGTCTGACTTTTCCTTGCCTTTTTCTCTTCATCTATCAAATGATGATAATAAAAATGCATACAGTCAGGCATTGTTTAATCATGAGGATACATTCTGAAGAGAAATGCATTGCTAGGTGACTTAGTTGTTGTGCAAACATCACAGAGTGGTACCTACTAATAGGTATAGCCTATTACACACTTAAGCTGTATGGTAGAGCCTATTGCTCCTCGGCTACAAACCTGTAAACCATGTTACTGTAGTGAATACTGTAGGCAATTGTAATACGATGGTAAGTATTTGTGTATCTAAACATAGAAGAGGTACAGTAAAAATACAGTATTATAATCATATGGGACTACCATCCTATATGCGGTCTGCCATTGACAGAATGTTGTTATGCAGTGCTTGATGGTACTTTATAGAATTGTGGTTTAGCTTAAATGGGCTAATACAAGTAAAGTGTTGGGAACGGTGCCAGACCAGAGATTAAAATCAACCTAAAATATAGAGTACTGATTAAACGAATTATAATTTGGCCATATAATAAAATACCATGCAGTTGTTTAAAAATAAAGATTTATAAGATATATTAATGTTGAGAAGTTGCAAAACAGCTTGTATAATATTCGTGTAGAACAATATGGCAAAGCAATATATATTTATATTTGGTTGTATATGCATAAAATTACTCAGGGAAGATACACAAGAAACTAATAATAGTCGTTTTTCTATTTGGGTCATAAAAACTAGGCAAATGGGTGACAGTGGTAGAAGAGAGTTTTTTCCACTGTATATTTTTATATGTTTTGAATTAAGAACCATATAAATGTATTATCTACTCAAAAATAGATCAAATACTTTAAAAACAAAATATAAAAAAGGAATAATTCTAATTAATTATTGGATCTAGGAAACTGTAAATCCATATGTGAGGGTCATGATCCTGAAACGTAGGTTTCATACATTAGATGATTAGGCTTCTTTCTTCTTTGAGAATTTCTGATCAATTGCAGTCCTGAGTCATGAATGCCTGAGCACTCAGGGGACCTATCTCATGGCAAGGGTGGCACCTGCAGGACAAACTGAGAATTTGTTAGTTTATTTGCTGAGCAGAAGAGCACTATAGCTGGAACATAGCTGGAGGTGGGTGATCATGGATTTCCCATTAGAGTTGTTAGACAAAGAAGTTCCATAAACACTGATGGAACTACTGCAAGCAAAGGTATGTTTAATTTAGGGCATCCAGGAAAAGTGCTTCCCACTTACTAGTTGTATTTTTCAGTGAAGGCATTTAATAGCCTCTGGAATATTATTCTTTCAGGTGTGAAATATGGATCATGAAGCCCATTTTTTAGAGTTGTATGGATTTGAAATGAAGTATCTGAAGTTCATCATCCAGCTCCTAGCACACTCCCCAAGTTCGATAACTACTAGCTATCAGTATTGTTAATGGCCACTGTCTGCCCACTGCTTCTGTTTCAGCCAGATACTCAGCTTGGTACCAATCAGCCCCTTCACCACTTTCCAGATGAAATCCAGTTACCCCATGCACGACATGATTTTTGAGGTTACACTTCAGAGTCATGCAGAAGGGTCACCTGAGCAGTCATCAGAATCCCTTCCAGGGACCTTCTCCGTTGTCGCATTCAGCTCCTGAGACTCCTGTGTCCTTGCTCCAAGGCTCTCCCTGCCTTGTCAACTCCCTGCCTGCGCCCCTTCTCTGACTTCTTACTTATTCAGAGCGACGTCTCTCTCCCACTTTAGACTTCTGTCAAATGAAAAAACACATCTGGACCTAAGTCAGCAGTGACTTTATTCAAAAAGACTATTGCAATAGGAAGAGGAGAACTATTGAAATCAATGGAGAAAATGCTTAACTGTAAGGTCCATATGCCTCTCGATGGTCAGGCAGAAAGGGCTTTTGTTTTATAAGGAAGAGTAAACAAGGCTACAAAGAACTGGGAGAAGGGGAATAGGACAAGCAGGTGTCGTGATCAGAGAGGTGAGCTGGAAGTATCAATTCTCTGAGGTCCAGAGGGGTTGTTATATGGAATTGTTCCAAATTCCAATGCTTGCTTAACCTCCCAGGGGACAAAGTTTAGAGGTCTGCAGGAAGGAGAGAAGCCTGACTAAACTTTCCTTGGTCAAAGTAAGTTAGCAGCACTTTGCTCAGTTGATCAAATCAGAAAATCATATGATGCAGAAAGTTGGTCAGTGGGGAAAACAGTTCAGCTATTATATCTTTTATAAGATTAAAAATGGGAATATGGAGAACTTGTGTCTTGTCATAGGTAAGCAAGGGAGTCTTATCTAAGTTTGGGGAAGGGTAATTCTTTGCAGTAAGCCTTTTTCTGGAACTTGGAGGATGGGGGCAGTTCTCAGCTGTTGCAGTGTTCTAGGAACACTTGGATCATGAAGAATTCAAAATCGTCATTTCCAAAGTAGCACCTTACACTACACCTCCAACTACTGGTTATTTGGAGCCATTTACTTATCATTCTCTGCCTCTGTTTCTTCACTTCTTTGTATTTAGGAAAAAATAATTACTAAATTAATTATGCATTTTTAAACTAACTGACAGCAAGAGGAATTTATCTTTACAGTTATAGAAAGTTGCATACATCAGAATGTATTTCTCTTTTTTTTTTTCTTGCTTTGTTTTTTTGAGATGGAGTCTCACTCTGTTGCCCAGGCTGGAGTGCAGTGGTATGATCTCTGCTCATTGCAACCTCCGCCCCCTGGGTTCAAAAGATTCTCCTGCCTCAGACTCCTGAGTAGCTGGGATTACAGGCTCCTGTCACTGCCCCCGGCTAATTTTTGTATTTTTAGTAGAGACAGGATTTCACCATCTAGGCCAGGCTGGTCTTGAACTCCTGACCTCATGATCCAGCTGCCTCGGCCTCCCAAAGTGCTGGGATTATAGGCCTGAGCCACTGTGCCCAGTTGGGAGAATATATTTCTTAAAAAGAACATTCTTGTATAGAATCATAGTAATATTATCCCCCAAAATTAATGTTATGATATTTTATAATGTCCAGTCCACATTCTAACTTTTCTATTATAATTGTCCTCCAAATGACTTTTATTGCTTTATTCTCCCTCTTGAAACAATAAACAATCTAAGTTCACGCATTGCATTTGGGTTTTATGTCTCTTCAGCTTCCTTGGATTTTGCTACTCAAAGTGTGATTCGTGAATCAATATTATCAACACCAAGTGGAAATTGATTTGAAATGCAGAATTTGAGGCCCTCCCCAAACCTATTGAATCAAAATCAACTTTTGAACCAAATCTCAAGGTGATCTCTATGCACTTTAAGGACAGAAGAACATGGCTCTGGCACATTGCTCCCACATTTTCCCCCAGGATACTGAATTTTTGGAAAGTTGAGAACAGTTATCTTTTTTTTCACAACTACTTTTACAGTCACTTACCTGAATATAAAAGTCACTTACATCCATTTTTGGACATTTGGAAAATGGCAATTTTATGTTCTACTTTGTTTTTCTGTTTCTGGGTGTGCTTTAGTATCTTTAAAACATCCTTTTCCTTTTTTCTCATTTTTTCTTTTGATCATGTAGGTAATATATAAGTACTGCTCAAAGAAAAACCTTAGCCAGATTAAACTTGACAGAGTTCAATTAACCAAAGAGCGATTTGAGAATCGGGCAGCCTCAGGAGCTAGAGTAGGCTCAGAGACTCCAGGGCAGCCATGTGGTGGAAGAAGATTTATAGACAGGTAAAGGAAAAGTGAGATACAGAAACAGTCGGATTGATTATAGCTTAGCGTTTACCTTATTTGAACACGGTTTGAACGATTGGTCCCCTTTGATTGGCCAAAACTCAGTGATTGGCATAAGAGTAGGTTACAGTCTCCATTTAAGTTATAGTTTACTATATACAGAAAAACCTTTAGGCTGAACTTAAGATATGTAAGGAGAAGCATTAGACTAAACTTGATTTAATAGTACATTTTTTATTGTAAAACTTCAAATAATTTAGAAATCTACAAAGAAAAGTCTGCAGCCTTCTTTATGGTTTTTTTTTTAATCACTTTTATTTCCGTTTTCAGAGGTAACTACTGTTGACTGATTGATACTTATCTGTATCATCCAGGATTCAGTGAAAGAAGCAGAATCATGATAAGAATTATGGAAAGAGGAATTTTTTTTTAGTAGGAATTAGATCTTACAAAAATGTGGGCAGTACTGGAGAAGCAAAAGTCTGGAAGAGGAGTCAGATAGCAAAGTCCCTAGCCAGAGTGCCTAGGAGCAGTGGTGTAGGCAAGCCAAACCCTAGGCTCGCACGGAAATTTGAGCAGCAGGCATGTTCAACTAGCAAAGCGGGATCAAGAACAGGAGCTCGTGTGGAAGGCTATGCATGGGAAGCTATTACCTCTGCATAACCACCTCTCTGTGGATCCGTAGCCAAGCATCTTTTGATCAGCTGTGGCTGCTATTGGATATCAGGGCAAGACATAAGAAAGAGCAGATGGACATGGAGGTTTGACCTATTGGCCAACACCATATCCAACCACAGTGACCTTCTGAGAGTAATGGCTGCTCTTTTGCTTCTGCCTTCCAAATCTTATATAAGTTCCCTCATGGCCAACTCTAACCTCGATTGAAAAAGAAAGCACAGTCCGGGTGCAGTGGCTCACGCCTGTAATCCCAGCACTTTGGGAGGCCGAGGCGGGCAGATCATGAGGTCAGGAGCTCGAGACCATCCTGGCTAACATGGTGAAACCCGTCTCTACTAAAAAATACAAAAAATTAGCCGGGCGTGGTGGCGGGTGCCTTAGTCCCAGCTACTGGGGAGGCTGAAGCAGGAGAATGGCGTGAACCCGGGAGGCGGAGGTTGCAGTGAGCCGAGATCGCACCACTGCACTCCAGCTTGGGCGACACAGTGAGACTCCGTCTCAAAAAAAAAAAAAAAAAAAAAAAAAAGAAAGAAAAAGAAGAAAGCACAACCCAGCACTGCCTCCTACCCAGCCTGAAGGAGTCTATATGGATGTGCATTCTTTATAGAAATGAAATCACACTGTGATTTTTTTTACCACTTTCACAAAGTCTAGGTCAGTTAGTACGTATTACATATGAAACGAAACTCCCTCTTTTCACATTTTTGCATCTCCTTAAGATATCATTTTCAAACCATTGGTGGTATCCCTTCGTGGTTTATGGACTTAATTAGTGTGTCAAAAGCACCATTAAAAAGGATAGACTAGAACAGGAAATATAAAAGTGTCATATCCCTCTGTAAGGATAACTATTGCTTTGTCAAATGTTTGTTTTAGTTAAATATGTGTGTGCTGTGGACACAGCCTGAAATATATATCTTACTGAAGGGAACAGCAGTTAAGAAAAACATTGCCTTTGAATGTTTTTTTCTTCTTTCTTTCATCTTCTTCTTTCTTTCATCCAATCTCCCCTAACCCTATGTTTTTGTTTGGTTGTTTATTTTGATGTATAACCAGAATTTGGAAAAGAATAGGGCAATATCTGGGGCTAATCATTTTTGAACTAAGGGAATGAGAGAGAAACAACTAAATTCACCTTTTGTAAATAAAAAAAGCAAAAAAAAAACCCCAGAAATATATAATGTCTTATACATCACCAGTCCAAAGTTGCTAGTGAGCCCTAGAGTAAGATTCTTCTTCAGCAACCTGAAAGAGAAGAGAGCAAATATGACCAGAAAAATCATACGATGTAGAAAGCGCAAAAAAAAAAATCTCTTTGGACAATGTTGAATCTTACAAGAGATTGATAGATTTCATTTCTGAACTTCCATAACCAACAGTAAAACATACATTGATTTGTTTGGTAATGGAGACCTCTAGAGAGTGCATGTCAGAATTGCAGCAAAACGTTTCTTTTTTAAGCACTAACTTTAGTTGACATCATAGATTTTTGGAACAGTAAATGGACCTGAGAGATCCTTGAATTCTGTATACGTGGATCTTCCTAAGACTTAATCGTCACCTCTTACATGCCAAGAAGTTTTATAAATAATGTCTAATTTAATGTTGACAACAATCTTGTCAAGTAGATACTATCACTTTTGTTTTCTTGTGTGTGGACAAATAAATGATGACTCAGAAAGTAAAGTGGCATGTCTAAAAGCTGAAAGCTAGAAAGCAGAAGAACCAAGTCAGGACTCCAGATTCCCAGGCCAGTGGTTGTTCTAATATACCACAATATTGAAACAGTACAAGTTTTAAGCGATGAGGATTTAGATATCATTTAGCCCATGCCCTTCATTCTTTACCAGGAAAAGATGACACACAGGAAAAAGAGAAAAGTATTGGGGATCACATAGCTAGTAAAGAATAGAACCTAGGTACTATTCATGATTCTTGGTTCTCAATCTCCCCCTCATACTGTATGAGACTAAATATATACTACTTAATAGTACTGTGGAAATACTCTTATTTCTGGCAGTATGACAGAAGAAAGAAAAAAGGAAAAGAAAAAGAAAAAAATATACACATACTTTTAAGGGAAAAAAAACACAAAAACTCTAGATAAAATAATTAAAAACAAACTTTCACTTTCCTGAAAAAGAAATTCCTAAATTTGCAAGCTGAAAATTTTAAAGTTAAGGTAGAAAGGTATCAAAAAAATTCAGAAGACAAAAAGTAGTGAACAAGATAATCAAGTGAGGAATTTCAGAATTTTTTATCTGGTGGCCTCACAGGACGTTTGCAAGAAGCAAACCTTCAGGCCTCCATAAGACTAAAGTCATATAGGATACCACTGCATAAAACTGGGACACCAATAGGGTAAAACCCTTAGTTGGAAAGGTGAATCAAAAAATTAAAGTTAGGCTGGACACAGTGGTTCATGCCTGTAATCCCAGCACTTTGGGAGGCCAAGGTAGGAGAATCACTTGAGGCCAGGAGTTTGAGACCAGCCTGGGCAATATAGTGGAATCCTGTTGCCACAAACAATTTAAAAACTAGTTATTCATAGTGGCACATATCTGGAGTCCCAGCTAAGTGGGAGGCTGAGGCTGGAGTATTGCTTGAGCCCAGGAGTTCAAGAACAGCCTGGGAAACACAGCAAGACCCTGTCTCTACTAAAAATAATTAGGCCGAGTACAGTGGCTCACGTCTGTAATCCCAGCACTTTGGGAGTCCGAGAAGGGTGGATCATTTGAGGTCTGGAGTTTGAAACCGGCCTGACCAACAAGGTGAAACCTGTCTGTACTAAAAAAATAAAAAATAAAAATAAAAATTACCCAGGCATAGTGGTGCATGCCCGTCGTCCCAGCTACTTGGGAGGCTAAGGCAGGAGAATTACTTGAACCTGGGAGGCAGAGGTTGTAGTGAGCTGAGATCACACCACTGCACTCCAGCCTGGGCAACAGAGCAAGACTCAAAAAAAAAAAAAAAAGAGAGAGAGAGAGAAAGATCCTATGTGTCTCTTTACTCAATTCTCCATAATTATAATATGTTGCAAAGCTATAGTACAGTATAGCAACTAGGATATTGACACTTATACAGTAAAAATACATTTCTATCAACAGAAGGATCTCTATGTTGCCCTTCTGTAACACATCCACACCCACATTCTCTACCTGTACTCTCTTCCCAACCTCTATTAACATTATACAATACTAAATAGACTTCAGAGCAAAGAACATTAATAGAGACAGAAAGGGATAGTTACCTAATGATAAAAAGGTCAATCCTCCAAGAAGATTTAACAATCCTAAATGAGTATTCACCAAACAACAGAGCTGAAAAATAAATGTTGACATCTATAGATTATTGTTTTTTCATACAATTTGATATCTTTCCGACTCTTCCCTGACAAGGGATTTTCTGTTTAAACCTGAATACATTCATACAGCAACTCCCTGTGTGGTCTCCACTAACAGGGCTGAGTTGACCTTGTTAGTAGTGGGCAATGTGAAAGGCCTGACTCTCCACTAGGCCTCTTTGTTCTCCAACTCAGTAGAGGAAAGAAAGAGATTCCTTGTTATTAACAGGCAAGAGTGGAAGTCTAGACCGCCCTTTAGCCTCCACTGACACCATGGTGGGATGGGGGGATTCATTACAAGCTGGCAAACATGAAAGTTCCGGCTTCTTGTTTGGTCTCTTCTGACACCACCTCCGTTGTCATGTTGGTGCTTCATTACAGCCTTACCAAGGTGGAAGTGTAGGCTCCCACTCGGCCTTTACTGACATTGGTAGCAGTGGGGTTACAGTACTCTTGTGTGGTGTTTGGTTGGAGTAGAGTAGTTATTGTCTAAAAGCTTCACATCTTGCCAGGTTGCTCCTTTTTTAGTACTTGGCTAGAGAGAGCAGGCTTTTGTCATGGCTATTTTTGTCTGCTTCAACTCAAGTTTCTAGCTTGCCAGTTTCCTTATCTCCAAGTATGTAATAGATAAGGCAAAAAGAAAACCCAGGGAACTCACTATGGTGGTGTTCCTTAGGTCCCAAGATCTTTAGCTGGTCTGCCTCCTTCTTTCCACCTTTCAGAGTATTCTTATGTTTGTCTTCTACATAATGTCCAGGATTTTTAGTTACACATATTGGAAGGATAGAAGAAAGTAGTCTACTCTATCTTAGTGGAAGTGGAAGTGATTATCTGCATTTTGCAAAATTTTCTCCCAATATGTGACTTGTGTTTTCATGTGTTTAGCCATGCGTTTTGGAGAGCAGGTTTTTAAAACAACTCCATTGAGGTATAAGTGACATACAGTAAAGTGGCCATATTTAACTCAACAATTTGAAAACTTTTGATATCTGTATAGACCTATTAAACATCATCACAATAAAGAAAGTGAACATATTCATCTCCAAAAATGTCTCATTCTTCTTTTTAACTCCTCCATCCCTCCTACTGTTATCTGCTGTCCTACTCCTACCTTCCCTCCCATCCCCAAGCAACCTCTGTTACTATAGATTACACAATTTACTATAGATTGCACTGCTATAAATATACACTATCACTATAGATTGCTTTGCATTTTCTGAAATTTTATGTAAATTAAATTATATAGTGCACACTCTTTTCTGCCTTTTTTCATTAAACATGATTATTTTGCAATATATCAATGTTATTCCATGTACCAATAATTCATTTTGTTTTACTGCTTAGTACTATTTCATTGTATAGGTATGTTACAATTTATCCATTCACTAATTGATAAACATTTGGTTTGGCTTTCATTTTTAGGTTATTACAAACAAAGCTACTGTGAACATTCATGTACAAGTCTTTGTATAAGGATATATTTCTTTTGTCTTGGGTAAATAACTAATTATGTCATGGCTGGATTACATGGGAGGTGAATGTTTAGCATTTTCAGACACTGTCATACTCTTTCAAAATCCCCACCAGCCCTGTGTGAGTTTCAGTTCCTCCACTTAATTGACAACACTTGATTTAAATGACCTTCTTAATTTCAGTCACTTTGATAGGTTGGCAGTGGTATCTTATTATGACTTTGACTATGACTAATGATGAACATCTATTCATGTTCTAATTTATCATCCATGTATCATCATTGGTAAAATTTCTGTAAAATTATTTTGTTCATTTTTTATTAGGCTCACTTGTTTCTTATTGTTGAGTTTTAGAGTTGTTTATGTATTCTAGGTATTCTGGAAACAAGTCAGATATATGTTTCGCAAATATTTTCTTCCACTCTGTGGCTTGTTTTCTCATTCTCTTAACTATTTTCTAAAGAGTAAATGTTTTTAATTCATGGAACATAATTTATTAGAGTATTCTTTCATGAATTGTGCTTTTGGTGTCGTATCTAAGAAAATTTTGTCTAATCCAAGATCATGTAGATATTCTTCTATCTTTTCTTTTGGTAGTTGTATAGTTTTAAGTTTTACCTTTAGGTCCATGATCCATTTTAATTTTTGCATATGTGTGAGCTGTGGATTCAAGGTCATATTTTTGCATATGAACAGTCAGCCAACTCTCTCAATATCATTTGTTAGAATGTTTATCTTTTCTCCACTGCATTGCCTTTGCATCTTTATAAAGATAAAAAACAAAAATAAAACATCAGTTGTCCATATTATGTGGGTTTATTTCTGGACTTTCTATATCAGGGGTTGGCAAACTATGACCTGTCCACCAGGTCTTATCAGCTGCCTCTATTTTTAATGCCCGTGGACTAAAAATGCCTTTTACATTTTTAAATGGCTACATTTCAAATGATTATGTAAAATACCTACCTAATAGCCTCAATTTTGTTTCCTGGTCACAAAGCCTAAAGATTGATTATATGGCTCTTTAAGAAAAGTTTGCAAACTCTTGCATTACGTTGTTTCATGAATCTATTTATCTACCTTTACACAAATGCTATGTTGATTATTGTAGATTTATAGTAATTCTTGAGGTCAGGTAATACTATCCCTTTTGAACAGCCAAATTTTCAAATTTTAATGAGGTTAAATTAATTAAATTTTAATCTTACAGATGGTGCTTTGGTATAGTATGTAAAAAGACCCTTACCAAACTCAAGAGCCCAAAGGTTTTAGCTAATCTTTTATTCTAGGCATTGTATCGTTTTAGGTCTTACGTTTAGGTCTGCAATCCATTTTGAGTTAATGTTGTATGTGGTGCAAGGTATAGGTAAAAGTTTTTTTTTCCGCCTCTCTCTACATGATATTCAGTTGTTCCAGTACCATTGGCTGAAATGACTGCTTTCCCCATTGAATTGCCTTGAAATCTGTCAAAAATCTGTTGAACCTGTATGTCTTGGTGTATTCCTTGAATCTCTATTTTATTCCAATAATCAATAATGCGCCAATCCTTTTTTTAAAAATAACACCCTATTCTGTTGATCACTAGAGTTTTATAAGTCTTGAAATCAGATAGTGTGAATCTTCTGAATTTAGTTCTTATTCAAAAATGTTTTGGCTATTCTAGATCCATTGTTTTCCATATAAATTTTAGATCAGCTTGTGAATTTCTATGCAAAAAAAAAAGACAATTTGGTGGGATTTTGATTGGCATTGTCTTGAATCTATAGATAAATTAGGAGTGTATTTACATCTTAATGACACTGAGTCCTCTAATTCACGAACACTATATATCTATTTATTTAGTTCCCTTTTGATTTCTTTCATCAGTGTTTTGTAGTTTTTAGCACACAAACCCACCACCTATTTTGTTAGATTTATACCTATGTATTTCATGTTATTGATGGTACTATAAATTACACTCTTTTTGTGAAGTTCAATTTTTAACTGTTCATTGAAGGTATGCATAAATAGAACAGATTTTTGTGTATTGATCCATACCTTGCCACCTTGCTAAACTGACATATTAGTTCTAGTAGTGAATGTGTAGATTTTCCATATTGTCTGATAATAGAGACAGTTTTCGTTTTTCATTTTTAATCTGTGTGGTTTTTGCTTCTTTTTTTTATCATCTTGTACTGGATAGAATCTTCAGTACAATGATTAATAGTGACAGTGAATATCCTTATTTATTCTCCCACTAGCAGATGTAAAGCATTGATTCTTTCACTTTATTAAGTATGATGTTAGCTGTAGAGTTTTGTAATAGATGATTTTAATCAGTTTAAGAAAGTTTCTTTTAATTTTTAATTTGTTGGAAGTTTCTATTATTGATAGATAATGCATTTTGTTAAA
Source organism: Homo sapiens (assembly GCF_000001405.40). Lineage (NCBI taxonomy): Eukaryota > Metazoa > Chordata > Mammalia > Primates > Hominidae > Homo > Homo sapiens. The sequence goes on along the minus strand of NC_000007.14, from coordinate 95,713,220 downwards.
TGTTTTTGTAGCTATGAAGATAACCAAGTTTTGTTTCTTGTTTAATCAGTTGATAAGTTTAATTACATTAATTGATTTTTGTTTTAAAAATTGAAGATTTTTTCCAATTGGAAACAAAATGAAATTTTTTAAGTTGAAAATTTGAACCAGCATTCCTGATATAGACCCTAATTCATTATAATATATTGGCCTTTTTATATATTGATAGATTCAGTTAGGTAATATTTTAGGACAAGAATTTATATCTATATTCATGAGGGATATTGTTTTATAGTTTTTTTAAGTTTTTCAAACGTATTTTTTTAATCAGTGTAATGCTCAACTAATAAAATGAGTTTGTTAAGTGTCTCTTTTTTTGTTTTTCTGAGTTTCTGTAGAACTGGTTTTATTTGTTCCTTAAATGTGTAGTAGAATTTGCAATTAAAGTCATCGCTGTGTGAAGTTTACTTTGTTCAAAGATTTTTAAAAAGAAATTTAATTACTTTAATCGGTATAGGACAATTTGGATTACATTTTCTGCTGGCATTACTGATGTGAGTCACCATGTCCAACCCTGTCTTTGTATTTAAATTGGGAAACTTTTAGAGAACGTATGATTGGGTCTTATTTGTTTGTTTGTTTTGTCCACTCCAACAATTTTTGACTTTTAATTGGTTTATTTAAACCACATTTAAAGTGATGAGCTATATAGTTGTATTAATATCCACTGTGTTTGTAACTACTGTCTGTTCATTACATTTGTTCTTTGTTTCTTTTTTATTTTCCTCTTTTTCTGTTCCCATTCATCCCTTAAAAAATTGCTGTCATTCATTTCATGTATCCATATACTATAGTCACACAGTAATTGTTACTATTTTCAGTTTAAACAGTTATTTATTTGATTAATTTATTTACAATAGCTATTTATTTGATCAATTCATTTATTTCTTCTTCAATGCTCTTTCTTTCTTCATGTAGATTAAAGTTTTTTTCCTATATCATTTTCCTTCTCTCTGAACTACTTTTTAAAAACATTTCTTGCAGGGAAAGTCTGCTGTTGATTAATTTCCCCAGTTTTTATTTGTATGAGAATGTTTTTATTTCTCTTTCACTTTTGAAAGATAATTTTGCCAGATATAATGGTATATTAGTGAAGATTTTTCTTTCAACACTTTAAATATTTCACTCCACTTTCTTCTTGCTTGCATAGTTTCTGATGGGAAGTCTGATGTAATTTTCATCATTGTTTCTTTTTAGGTAAGTTGTATTTTCCTTCTCTGGCTTTCTTCAAGATCTTCTCCTTGTCTTTGGTTTCCTGTAGTTTTAACATGATATTCCTAGGTAAAGATTTTTGGTATTTATACTGTTTTGTGTTCTTTGAACTTCCTGAATCTGTGATTTGATGCCTGACACTAATTTTGGAAAATTCTCAGTCATTATTACTTCAAATATTTATTCTGCTTGGTTCTTATTTTCTTTTCCTTCTGGTATTCCAGTTATGCATGTATCATGCCTTTTGAAGTTGTCTCACATTTCTTGGATGAGTTGTTCTGGTTTTTTTTTAATTATTGTTATTTTTTCTCTTTGCCTTTCTGCTTGGGAAGTTGTATTGGCATATCTTCAAGTTCACTGATTCTTTTCTTGGCCATATCCAGTCTACTGGTGAGCTCATAACAGGCATTCTGTATTTCTGTTGCAGTGTTTTTTAAATTTATTTATTGCATTTCCATTTGATTCTTTTTTAGATTACCTGTCTCTGCTTATATTATCTATTTACTCTTAAATTTTGTCTTTCTTCCATTAGATTCATTCATATATTAATCATAGTGATATTAAATTCTCTGATAATTCTAAATTCTGTGACATATCTGAGTCCGGTCTTATGCTTACTTTGTTTCTTCAGATTATGTTTGTTTCTGGCCATTAAGCATTACTTGCAAGTTAAAAAAAAATCCAGACAAGATGTATCAATTAATAGGAACTAAGGTAAAAAGGCCTTTGTTATGAGAGTTTATGCTAATCTGGCTAGGTGTTGGCTATGTTTAATGTTTCCTGTACATGGTTTCAATTTCCTTTAGAGTCCTTTTTGTGTTGTTGTTCTTTTTCCATTGTTGTCTTTGGGTTTCCATTTAAAGCTTCTTCAGCTGTGATCCACTGTTATAGTGGAATCCCATTGATGTGGTAGTGAAGTGTGGAAGGAAGAAACACATTCTATAATCCTATGATTAAATTTCAGTCTTTAATGAACCTGTGTCTCTGGGCTATAACCCATTTTCCTCCCTCACATGAGACAAGAGGGCTAGAGAGGACTGGAGTTGGGTAATTTCCTCCAAGCTGAATAGGCTCTAATAAAGTCTTTTCCCCTGGTGAATAAGACTTTGTTATGGAGAATGCTCTGGGCATATCTCAAAATGGTTACATTTTCCCTCCCACTTCTAGAAATGTGAGAGCTCTTTCTTGGCTTATCACTGTGAGAAACTGATGGGATTCCTGGAAACAAAACCTATGAAAATGTGGAGGATCCCCAATACTCTGTCACCCCCCAAAATCCATCACTCTCATGCTAATCTACATTCTGCCTTCAGCAATTCATCAAAGTTACCATATAAGTGTTCTTATCAGTTTGCAGCTCAAGTAGTTCCTGTTCTAGGTAAATTCATCTCATCTGTGATTCTCTGCATTCACCTGTCTCTCCAGATGTTGGTGTGGCAGTATGCCCTACAAAGAGGTTCTCTGATGGATTCAATAAAAATCAGTGGTTTTCAATTTATTCACTTATTTTGTTCTTGTAAGGGGAGTAGTGGTAACTTCTAAGTTCTCTACATATTGGAGTTGAAACCAGAAATTTTTATTTTATTTTATATATCCTATAAACTCGCATTGCTACTATATTTGTTTATAGATGAATAACAATCTTTTAGAGCAATTAAAATAAAATTAAAGATATCTTTTATATTTATCCTTATTTTATACATTAATGGAGTTGTTCACTTCTTTGTGTAAACCCAGTTTTCTGCTAGCTAACATATTCCTTCTGCCTGAAGATTTTCTTCATCATTTTTTTTTAGATGGATTCTTACTCTGTCATCAGGCTGCAGTGCAGGGGCACAATCTCAGCTCACTGCAACCTCTGCCTCCCGGGTTCAAGCAATTCTCCTGCCTCAGCCTCCCGAGTAGCTGGGACTACAGGCACCCACCACCACACCTGGCTAATTTTTGTATTTTTAGTAGAGACGGGATTTCACCATGTTGGCCAGGATGGTCTCAATCTCTTGACCTTGTGATCCACCCGCCTCGGCCTCCCAAAGTGCAGGTGTGAGCCACGTGCCCGGCGATTTTCTTCATCATTTCTCATCATGCTGTGCCGCTGTTAATAAATTCCCTCAATTTTTGTTTTGCTGAAATAAAAGGTCATCATTTCTCATTCATTTTTGAGATTTTTGCTGGGCTTAGGATTTTTAAATTGACAGGTATGTTTCTTTCTCAACATTTTAATGATGTCACTCCATTGTTTTCTGGCTTGCATATTTCTGATAATTCATCTGGTGTAATTTCTATATTTTTTATCGTTGTATGTAATGTGTCTTTAAAAAATCTGTATTCTGTTAAGATTTGCTTTTATCTTGGTTCAGCCGTTCAATCACGATGAAGTAGACACATTTCACTGTATTTCTTCCACTATCTGAATGTTAAAATCCTGGACAAAATGCATAAAACACTGGAAGACTCTTACATGAGAGAAAAGAAGGTGTACTGCCTAGGAATTTTGGAACTTGAAAAATGACAGTGGTCTGTTCCCTTTTTCTGGTTTTTGTTTTGTTTTGTTTTTTGTCTCTCATATACCCCATCTTGATCACTAGAGAAGAACACAACTTGGAAATGCCAATAGGCACAGGCCAAGAAGCTCCAGAAAAATCCTACTTTCTCTAGCCAAAGGACGTGAAAAGGAGTGGGCCAATAGGAGAGTACTCTTTGAGCAGTACCCATCCTATTCCAGCCAAACACAGTACAAAAAGAAAAATGCCCCTTCTCACATACCAGGCACTGCAGGAAACATGGACACTGTGAGCAGAGCTCTGACTTCGTCCTCATCTGGTAGTAATAAGTGGTTGGGTACTCCTTATAGTCTCAGCCAGTTAAGTGTATGTAGAGACAGTGGGGTGTGATGGGTCTAGGCTTCCATTCATGATTTGTAGTAACTAGTCAGCACTTCTCTCTTTGCAACTTGAGGTTAGGGAAAGAATTACAGAAAGGAAGTAGTTGAAGAAAGAGATACTTTATTTATTCATTTAACTTTTATTTTAGGTTCAGGGGTACATGTGCAGATTTCTTATTACAGACAAATTTGTATTATGTGGGTTTGGTGCACAGACCATATTGTCACCCGGGTACTGAGCAGAGAGCCTGAATGTTTGTTTGTTTGTTTGTTTCTGAACCTCTCCCTCCTCCCTCAAGTAGGTCTTAGTGTCTGTTTTTCCCCTCGCTGTGGCCATTAGTTCTCATTAGTTAGCTCCCACTTATAAGTGAGAACATATGGTATTTGGTTTTCTGTTCCTGGGTTGGTTAGGTAAGGATAATGGCCTCCAGCTCCATCTATGTTCCTGCAAAGGACATGATTTCATTATTTTATATGGCTTCACAGTATTTCAAGGTGTATATTTACCACATTTTCTTTATCCAGTCTATCATTGGTGGGCATTTAGTTTGATTTCATGTCTTTGCTATTGTGAATAGTGCTGCAATGAACATATGTGTGCATGTGTCCTTATGGTAGAGCAATTTATATTCATTTGGGTATATACCCAGTAATAGGATTGCTGGGTTTAATGCTAGTTCTCTTTTTATTTTTTTGAGGGATGACCACACTGCTTCCAACAATGGTTGGACTAATTTACATAGCAGTATGGCAATAATTTACATTGCCATATGGCAATGAGAAGAATGCATAATCCATTGTTTTTGGATGGAGAGTTCTGTCAATGTCTATTAGGTTCATTTGATCAAGACTTGAGTTCAGGTTCTGAATATATTTGTTAATTTTCTCCCTGTCTAATACTGCCAGTGGGATTTTGAAGACTCCCACTATTATTGTGTGGGAGTCTAAGTGTCTTTGAAGATCTCTAAGAACTTGCTTTATGAATCTGGGTGCTCCTGTGTTGGGTACATATATTTAGGATAGTTAGATCTTGTTGAATTGAACCCTTTACCATTATATAATGACCTTCTTTGTCTCTTTTTATCTTTGTTGGTTAAATCAAAGTCTGTTTTGTCTGGAATTAGGGTTGCAACCCCTGCTTTTTTCTGTTCTCTATTTGCTTGGTAGATTTTTCTTCAACCCTTTATTTTGAATCTATGAGTGTCATTGCATGTGAGATGGGTCTTGATAACAGCATACCATTGGGTCTTGCTTCTTTATCCATCTTGTCACTCTGTGCCTTTTAATTGGGAAATTTCGTCTATTTACATTCAAGTTACTGTTGATGTGTGTGGATTTGAAACTGTCATTGTATTGTTAGGTTGTTGTTACACAGACTTATTTGTGTGGTTGCTTTATAGTGTCACTGGTCTGTGTATGTACTTCAGTGTGTTCTTGTTGTGGCTGGAAATGTTCTTTCCTTTCTATATTTAGTGCTTCTTTCAGGAGCTCTTGTAAGGCAGGTCTGGTCGTCATGAATCTCTCAGCATTTGCTTCTCTGAGAAGGATCCTTTTTCTCCTCCACTTTTGAAGCATGGATATGAAATTCTTGGTTGGAAATTTTTTTGTTGTTGTTGAATGTGGGCCCCTCATCCCCTCTGGCTAGTAGGGTTTCTGCTGAAACATCTGCTATAGACTTTTAGACTTCTATGGACTTTTTAGCCTGATGGAATTCCCTTAGGAATTCCCTTAGGAGAACTGCCCTGTCTCTCTAGCAGCCTTTAATATTTTTTCTTTCATTGCAATCTTGGAAAACCTGACGATTAAATAATTATACGTCTTGGGTATGAAATTTTTGTGTAGTATCTTGCAAGGGTTCTCTTTATTTCCTGAATTTGGATGTTGGATTCTCTAGTGAGGCTGGGGAAGTTTTCATGGATAACATCCTGAAATGTGTTTTCCAAATTGCTTGCTTTCTCCCCCTCTCTTTTAGGAGCACTAATGGTCTATAGATTTAGCCTCTACATAATCCCATACTTCATGGAGGTTTTGTTCATTCATTTTCCTTCTTTTTTTTTTTTTAATTATCTGATTGTCTTATTTTAGAGAGCCAGTCTTCAAGTTCTGAGATTCTTTCCTCAGCTTGGTCTATTCTACTGTTAATACTTGTGATAATATTGTGTCTGGAGTTGGTTCCTTCTGGTGGGTTTGTGGTCTTGCTGACTTCAAAAATGAAGCCGCGGACCTTCGCGGTGAGTGTTACAGCCCTTCAAGATGGCACGGACCCAAAGAATGGGCAGTAGCAAGGTTTATTGTGAAGAGCAAAAGAACAAAGCTTCCACAGTGTGGAAGGGGACCTGAATGGGTTGCTACTTCTGGCTGGGGTGGCCAGCTTTTATTCCCTTATTTGTCTGCTCCCATGTTCTGTTTCTGCCCTATTAGAATGCCCTTTTTTCAATCCTCCCTGCGATTGGCTACTTTTGGGATCCTGCTGATTGGTGCATTTTACAGAGTGCTGATTGGTGCATTTTACAGAGCGCTGATTGGTGCATTTTACAATCCTCTTGCTAACTACAGAGCGCTGATTGGTGTGTTTTTACAGAGCACTGATTGGTGCATTTTACAATCCCCTTGCTAGCTACAGAGCACTGATTGGTGCATTTTACAATCCTAGCTACTGAGTGCTGATTGGTGTGTTTTACAATCCTCTTGCTAGACAGAAAAGTTCTCCAAGTCCCCACTCTACCAAGGAAGTCCAGCTGGCTTCACTTCTCAATATTATGAAATTCTTATGGTGTATTTTTTAGCTCTATCAGGTCATATAGGTTCTTTTTTATACTGGCTGTTTAATCTGTTAGCTCCCATATTATTTTATTTTCATTCTTAGCTTTCTTGAATTTGGTTTCAAAGTTCTACTGAATCTCAATGATCTTCACTCCTATCTATATTTGGGATTCTATTTCTGTCATTTCAACCATCCCAGCCTGGTTAAGAACCCTTGTTGGAGAACTAGTGTGCTTGTTTGGAGAACAGAAGACACTCTGGGCATTTGACTTGCCAGAGTTCTTGTGCTGGTTCTTTCTCATGTCTGTGTGTGCATGCTCCTTTAACTGTGGTATAAATTGAGTACAGTCAGTAGACTTTCTTTTTGCATGTTTCCAGAGGGCTGAGGCTTTGTGCAGAGTCTTTATTTGTAGCTGACTTCTTGCCTCTGGTTTTACAAGGGGACAGATTACCAAAGTATTTTTCAGTGTTGAAGTTTTAGAGTGTGAACCAGTAAGTAGCACTTAAGCGTAATGGTCAGTAGATAGGGTCTTGTTCAGTCATAGGGGTACTCTATATTACCTCACAGCTCCAGCCATGCTCCCTCTCACAGCTGAAAAAGATACTTTATATACAAAGTCCTGGGCAGATCCTCAAGTGACTCATGCAGGATTATCAACAAAGTAACAGTTTTAGGTACTGAACTTCAGTGGAAAACCAACCAGGTTTCAGACTGGGTTACTGGTAGCACACAATAGTGCAGATGAGAATATCACTACAAAGACTTTGAAAAATAATTTCATATTTGAACTACAACTCACAAAAGTAGGCCATAAAATGTATGCTAAACCTAAGTAGCTGGAATAACTGCTAAAAAAAGAAAAGGAAAACTAACTGGGAACCTTGTCTCATCACATAATGTATAATGTAACAAATGGCTAGAAAATAAGAGAACATTACTCATTGTACAAAAACAAGGAAACTGTGAAATTGAAAGAGAAAAGACAATCAGCAAATGCCAACACCAAGATGACATGAATTTTGAAATTATCTGCCAAGGATGTTAAAGCAACTATTATAAAAATTAGTAGTTAGATACATTCTTGAAACAAATTTTTAAAGTGGAAAGTCTCAACAAACAAAGATAAAAAGAAAATCAGATGGAAAATTTAGAACTGAAAAATTCAATAACCTAAATGAAAAATTCACTGGATAGGCTCAGTAAGAAAACGGAAATGACAGGGGAAATAATAAACTTGAATATAGATCAATAAATATTATTCAATCTGAGCAATGGAAAAAAGATGATTGGGAAAAGAATGAATAGAACCTCAGATAACTGAGACAACAACATAAAATTTAACATTTGTGTCATCAGAGTCACAGAAGAAAAAGAAAAAGTGTGCAGGGCAGAAAACTTAAGAAAAAAATAATAATGGTGGAAAAACTTCCAAATCAGCTAAAACAAATAAACTATAGATTTAAGAAGCTGAGTGAACCAAAAATAAGACAAACTCAAAAAAGTAAATTTGTAGAGACATCATAATTAAACCTCTGAGAACTGAAGACAAAGTCCTGAAAGATCCAGAGAAAGTCCTGAAAGATCCATGACAGATTGTTTATAGGAAAAAAGCATTTCCCAGAACAGTGGAATTGTCATCCAAAACCACAAAGGTCAGAAGGAAGTAGCAAAATATTTTCCAATTGCTGGAAGAGGAGAACTGTCAACCCAGAATTCCATATCCAACAAAAATATCTTTCAGGAATGAAAGTGAAATAAAGACATTTTTACTAAACTACTTAGCATGGTTCATTTCAAATAAACCACCTAACATTATACCTCAAGGAACTAGAAAAACAAGAACAAACTAAACCCAAAATAAGTACAAGAAAATAAACAATAAAGATCAGAGCATAAACCAACAAAATAGTGACTAAAAATACAAAATATCAATGAAATGAGGAATTTATTTTCTGAAAAGATAAAATTGACAAACTGCTACCTAAAAAAATGAAAAAATGTCAGTAAGGCTAACTTAGAAGACTTGCTAAAGAAAAGTATTCCAACAGAAAGAAAATAATAATTGAAAGAAACCTAAAACATCAAGAATAAATATGGAGCAATGGAATAGGTAAATATAATAGGATATCATTTTCCTTATGAGTTTAAAAAATTATATTAGTCAAAAAATTATATTAGTTGGAAGCAAAATTTTTAAATTATCTAATGTGGTTCTCAATGTATATAGAGAAAATATTTGGGAAATTTATATTACAAAGGGAGGAGGGAAAAGAGACCTAAATGGTGATAAGGTTTTGACTTTATTACTTGCAGTGATAAAATGTCAATACTAGTAGGTTATAATAAATTACATATGTATATTGTAATACCCAGGGTCACTACTTAAAATACTACATTAAGAAATGTACTCAAAGACATTGTAAGTAAATCAAAACAGAATACTAAAAAAATGTTTAGGTTACCCACAGGGAAGCAGAAAATAGAGAAATGAAATAAGAAGGGAAGATGGAAACAAATAATAAAATGGCAGACTTAAGTCCTAATACGTCAATAATTACAATAAATGTAAATACCCAATTAAAAGACACATTTTAGCAGAGTGAACAAAAATTATGACAAACTGTATGCTACTAACAGGAAATTAATATTACATGTAATTATATAGTTAGGTTAAAAGTACATGATGTAAAAATACACTATTCAAACAGTAATAAAGAAAAATGAGAATAGCTATCTTAAATAAAGTAGACTTCAGAGGAAAGAAAAGATATACAATGACAAAAGGGTTAATCCACTGACAAAGACATCACAATTTTCAATGTGTACACAGCAAACAAGCTGCAAAATATATGAAGGAAAAACTGACCACTTAAAAAAAAGACAAAGTTATAATATAGAGTAAATTTTATTTATAATTTGTTATTCTCTCAAGTAACCAATAGAAATAATGGACAGAAAATCTGAAAAGTTATAGTAGAATTGAAAAATACTACTAATCAATGGGATCTAATTACGATTTATAAAACACTCTACCAAACAACAGCAGAATACAAATTCTTTTCAACTGCATATAGAATATTCACCAATACCACATCCTTAGTCTTTAAAACAGCATTCAACAAATTCAAAAGAATTGAAATCATACAAAATATGTTCTCTAACCACAATGGAATCAAACTAGTAATCTATTAGAAAGACAATAGAAATATCTTCAAACACTGAAAAATTTAACCACACACATCTACATAATCCACAGGTCAGAGAAGAACTCTAAAGGGAAATAAAATATTACATTAAATAGAAGAAAAATGAAAATACAACATATTGAAATATGTGAGATGCAGCTAAGCAGTGCTTGGAAGGAAATTTTTAGCACTAAATGCTAATATTAGAAAATAAGAAAAATTTAAAATTAAAAAATTTAGCTTCCTCCTCAGGAAGATAGAACATAAGAGAAAGATTAACTCAAAGCAGCAAAAGAAAGGAAATAATTTGGAGACTAGAAATAAATGGAACTGAAAATAGAAAAACAACAAGAGTGATGTCAGTAAGATGGCTGACTAGAGTTACCTAACACTTATCCCTCCCACAATAAATGACAGAAACAGCAAGAAGAAAAATACTTCAATTGGAAAACTGCTATTAGAAAAGTCTAAAGGAAAACACTGGAATACAGCAAGGGATTCACAGAAACCCTGTGAAGCACAATGAAAGTTTAAAATTCATTGGTAGAGGTAAATTCCAAATCAAAGTTAGAAACAGTAGAGGTAAATTTACTACCAAATTCAGGATAGCACTAATGTAAAGATAGTATATAATCTTTCAAATCTCTAGTACAAATGTTAAAATGGTTGATGAAATCTATAGTTCCAATAAGATGTTAAAGAACACACTATATTAAAAAATATAAATTAGGGCTACAAAATTATAAATTGCACGTGGAGGGCAAAAGTCTAGAGTATTTGTATAAGATCAAAGTTAAGTTGTCAACTTATAAATAATATTCTGCATAAACAGGAACTGAAAGAGAGCAGGAGTAGCAATACTTATGCCAGACAAAATAGATTTCTAGCCAAAAACTTAGAAAAAAGAGATAAAAAGGCCATTATATCATGATAAAGGGGTTAATTTGGGAAGAGGATGTAACGATTTTAAACATATATGCACCCTACCTCAGAGCACCCAGATATATAAAGCAAATATTGTAAGATCTAAAGAAGGAAATAGACAGTAACTCAAAATAGATTAAAGACTTAAATGTAAGACCCAAAACTATAAAAGTACTAGAAGAAAACATTAGGGGAATGCTTTATGACATCAGTCTAGGAAATGATTTTTATATAAGAACACAGAAACAGAGGCAACAAAAGCAAAAATAGACAAGTGGGATTACATCAAACTAAAAAGCTTCTGCACAACAAAGGAAATAATCAACAAAGTGACTAATGAGAGAAAATATCAGCAAACTATGCAACTGACAAAGGGCTAATGTCCAGAACGTATAAGAAACTCAAACAATTCAATAGCAAAAAAATAAGTATTCCAGTTTAAAAATGGAGAAAGGACTTCAATAGATATTTATCAAAAGAAGACATACAAACAGCCAAAGAGTACATGAAAAAATGCTCAAAATCACTCATCATCAGGGAAATGCAAATCAAAAGCCACAATGAGATAGCAGCTCACAACAATTATAATGGCTAGTAAAAAAAAACGAAAAATAACAAATGCTACCATGAATATGGAAAAAAGGGAACCTTTACACATAAGCTGTTGATGGGAATGTAAACTGTCATAGCCATTATGAAAAACAGCATGGAGTTTCCTCAAAAAATTAAAAATAGAGCTGCCGTATGATCCAGCACTTCTACTATTGGGTATTTATTCAAAGGAAATAAAATCAGTATGATAAAGGATATCTGAACTTCTATGTTATTGCACTATTGACAATAGCCACGATATAGAATCAAGCTAAGTGTCTGTCAACATACAAATTAATACAGTCTGATATATATACACAATAGAACATTACTCAGGCATGGAAAAATAAAATCCTGTCTTTTTTGGCAACATGGATGAACCTGAAAGACATTGTTAAGTAAAATAAGCCAGGCACAGAAAGACAAATACCACATGATCACACTCCTTTGTGGAGTCCAAAAAAGCTTATCTCATTGAAATATAATAGAATAATGGGTTGCCAGAGGCTGGGGAGTGTGGGGAACTGGGGAGGGGAAGGAGAGATCAGTCAACAGATACAAAATTACAGTTAGGTAAGAGAAATAAGAGTATTCTACAGCATAGTAGAGTGACTACAGTAAACTATATTATAGTGTACATTTCAAAATAACTAGAAGACAGAATCCTGAATGTTCTCACCATAAAGAAATGATAAAAGTTTGAGTTGATGAATATGCTAAATACCATGATTTAATCATTATACAATGTGTCCAAACATTATGCTGTACCCCACAGATGTATATAATTATGTGTCAATTAAAAACAAAAGAAAAATTTTAAAAAGAAAACAGAAAAAAACAGTAGATAAAATCCATCTATCAAACCAAAAGCTGGTTGCTTGAAAAAGATTGATGAAATTGATAGACCTTTAATAAAACTGACAGACAAGAAGAGAAAGAAGATACATATTATCAATATCAGGGGGAGAAGGGGAATATCACAACAAAATCTGTAGATATAAAAAGATATTAAGGGAACACTACCATCAACCATACACACATAAATTTGACCACTTAAATGAAATGAATCAATTTCTGCAAAACTGCAACCTAACAAATTTCACCAAAGGTGAAATAGATAATCTAAACAGTCCCATAACTATCAAATAAGTTAACTTTGAAAATAAATACTCCAAAAAAAAATCCCCAAGATGGTTTCACTGGACAATTCTCACAAACATTTAAACAAAAATTACCTGAATTCTATGCATTCTTCTTTCAGAAAATAGAAGAAAGCACTTCCTAACTCATGTTATGAAGCTAATAATATCCTCAAACCAAAATCAGCAAAGATAGTACAGAATAAAACTACAGACACAAAAAACTCAACAAAATATTAGTAAATCTATCCAGCAATACATATGTAAATAATTATGTGTCACAACTAAATAGGAGTCATTCCAGAAATATAAAGGTGGTTTTATACTTGAAAATCAAGGTAATTCAACATATACAGGTTAAGAAGGCAAACCACACAATCATATAAATTGGCATACAAAAAGCATTAAAAATATTCAACACCCTTTCATGATGAAACTCAGAAAACTAGGAATAGACAGGAACCTCCTCAACCTCATAGAAAGCATCTACAAAAGCCTACAGTGAACATCGTGCTTAATGGTGAAAGACTGAATATGTCTCCTCTAAAATTAGAACCATGAAAGGAGGTCTACTCTCACCACCCCTTCAACACAGTGCTGGAAGTTGTAGGCACTGCAATAAGGCAAGAAAAGGATATAAACAACATATAGACAGTAAAGGAAAAAATAAAATGGTCTCTTTTCATATGGCACAATTGTCTACATCAGATATCAGCAAGCTTTTTCTGTGAAGGACCAGATAGTAAATACTTAGCTTTGTAGCAATGTGGTGCCTGTCACAAGTATTCATTTCTGTTTTTATAGCATAAAAACAGCCATATACAAAATATAAATATGCATGTTCTTATGAAAGTTAACAAAGAGAGTGTCCTGAATTTGTCCCACAACCCATAGTTTGCAAACTCTCTAGTGTATATTAAAAAAAATCCCCAAAAGTTAAAAAGAAATCCCTTGAACTAATAAATGAGTTTATCAGGGTCACAGGATCTGATATGGTTTGGGTGCATCCTTATCCAAATCTCATGCTCAATTGTAATCCTCAGTGTTAGAGGCGGGGCCTGGTGGGAGGTGATTGGATCATGGGGGTGGAGTTCTCATAAATGGCCTAGCACCATCCCCCACTTGGTACTGTATGGTGAGTGAGCTCTCATGAGATCTGGATGTTTAAAAGTATGTGGCACTACCCCCTTCTCTCTCTCTTTCTCCTACTCCAGCCACGTAAGACACCTGCTCCCACTTTGCCTTCCACCATGAGTAAAAGTTTCTTGAAGCCTCCCCAGAAGCCTGTACTGCTTGGTTTTCACACTGTTATTAAAAAATGTCTGAGACTGGGTAGTTTATAATTGGCTCATGGTTCTGCACACTGTACAGGATTCTTGATCAAGAAATCAATAATATTCCCATAGACTAGCAACTAACATTGAAAGCCAAAACTTAAAAAACAAGACCAATTAAAATCACTAAAAAAATTTAACTATTAGGCGTCTGTCTTAGAAAACATTTACAGGACGGTATGCTGTCAAGTACAAAATGCTGATGAAATAAATAACAGAAGCAGCAATAAAATGAAAAGACACACTATTCTCATAAATTGAAAGACTTACCCTAGAAAAATGTCAATTCTTCCTAAATGTATCTATAGATTTAGTGCAATTCATATCAAAATCTTCATAATATTTTTGTAGATATAATCTAGGTTAATATAAAATTAATGTAAAATAGCAAATAAACTAGAGTAGGCTAAATATTTTTGAAAAGTAATAAAGTTCGAGAAATCAGGCCACCTTGGTCTAAGACTTACTGTACAGCTACATTAATCAAGACAGAATCATGCAGAAAAAGACACATAGATCAATGGAGCAGAACAAAGAACCTAGAAAGAGATCCCTTAAAGGTATGGACAACAGATTTTGATAAAAATGTGAAAGCAATCAATAAAGGAAAGGTGACATTTTCAATACATGGCACTGGGAAAATTGGACATTCACAGCCAGAAAAATGAACTACTACCTAAACCTCACACCTTATGTAAAATTAACTCAAAATGAACTATAAGTCTACATGTAAAACACAAATTTATAATACTTATATGGGAAACATTGTAGAAAAAAATCTTTGTGACTTGGGTCTAAGAGATCTTAGATGTGATACCAAAAGCATAATCTATGAAAGAAAATTTGATAAATTGGACTTGATCAGACTTAAAAACTTCTGCTCTGTGAAATACCTCATTAAGAGGATAAAAACACAAGCCACAGACTGGGAAAGTTTATTTGCAAATCACCAATAAGACAATGGTATTATAAAGAACTCCCCAAGTTTAACAAAAAAAAAAAAAACCAAACACCACAATAAAAAAAAGGTAAAAGACTGAAGCAGACATATAACCAAAGAAGGAATGTAGATTGTAAATAAAAGCACATATAGAAATGTAGAACATCATATATTGGTTATGAACACAGTTATGCTGAGTGAAATAAGCCAATATTAAGGAGTTCCTTACTGTATGATTCAGTTTACGTAACCCTCTTGATGTGACAAAATTATAGATATGGAGAAGAAATCAGTGATTGTCAGAGTTAGGGAGGTGGGTGGGCAAAGAGGATCTGACTGTAATAAGGTAGCATGAGGGAGGGTCTTTGTGATGATGGAACAGCCCCATATCTTGTGGTGGTAGCTGTGTGAATCCATACAAGTGGTAAAATCTCTTAAAACTATGTACATGTATATATACTATATACATGTAAAAAATCAGTTCAGGTAAAAACTGGTGGAATCAAGTAAGGTGCGTAGCCTAATCAACAGTATTTGATTTTGGTAATGTGCTAGTAGATGTAAGATATTAGAATTGGGGTGAGTTGAAGAAAGGGTACATGGAACATGTTTGTACTACTTTTGCAATTTCTTGTAAGTCTATAATTATTTCAAAAGGTTATTAAAAAGGAACCATTGGACTGCCATTCCTACTGCCACCTCAATGACAATTTTATGCCAGTGAATTTGAAAACCTAAGTAAAACAGGCAAATTTCCAGAAAAATATTACTCACTGAAACTGACTGAAGAAGAAAAAGAAAATCTAAATAGTTCATATGTACACGTTAAATAAATGATCCAAAATTATAATAAAACTTCCCCCATTCACACCACCAAATAAATTTTACAAAGCTTTCAAGAATAAACTTTAGTTAAGAGAATAGATATGACACATCACAATCCAATGTGAGTAATGTCACTGGTGTCAGTTTTGCCTCTTCAATAGAAATATATACTACTAAATTGATTTTATTTTCTTCAATGTCCTATAATTTTCTTTTATCAGGTCTGTTCCAGTTACTCATTTGGAATTTGCTGTTAAAGATACTTCATGTTCTGGGAAGACAACTGGCTGATCCTAGGCTTCATTTTACCAGGACTCCTACAGAAATGCTTCCTCCTAACAGTTTAAATTTTTCTTTTCATTTCGTTTATGCATACTCAGGCATTTTTCCTGAAATTATTGATATTTATGATTCTGTATGTAGTAATGCTATTATAACATTATTTGCACAATTACATTTTAATAGATAATATAGGAAAAATGTGATCAGGAAAGATAAAAGAATGCCATGTTTCTAGTTTAGAGCTCTGGGTTTTGTCTCTGTAGTCTAAGCTTATCCTTACTGTTTTTGATAGTAACAGTCCCTTCCTTTTTTCCCTTTGTTGGAACAGCAGAAGTTCTTTACTTTTGGGCTGCATGAAAGCCATTTATCCCTATGTGGTCTACTATTCTGTCTCATGGGGCTTACCTATTCTTAAGATGGTTCTATCTATTTCTTTTCATGTCTAGAATAAGCAGAAGTTCTTCTTATTCTTTCTTTTATTTTCTATTAGGTTCTTCGGTGTGTCCTCAACTCCCCTACCTTCCCCATCAGTTCCTTCTTTTTTTTTTTCTTTTGGTCTATTTCTTTTAGATCTGCTCTAGTACCAAATAATCTCCACATTTTTCAGTAGTCTAATAACAGTGTCCTTACCATGTTTATCTCAACTGGGACATCATTACATCCCACCTGTATTTTTAGTTGCTCTTATAATTGTAGTTGGATCTGGGGACATCCTGCCTTGTAAGTGTACTAACCTTAATTACACTTACATAAACAACAATTCATCTTATATGTGTGCATTACGCCCATGCTCTCTCTCCCAGTTTTATCAGTATTGTTTTACTTTTCTGAAACCCTTCCACAGTTTAGCTGTTAAGCTCTTGTTTGGATTTTACCATCTAATTTTCCACCCTGCAAACATCCACTTCAGATAATGACTGAATATTTCACTGATATTTTCAGATATTGAAATAATGACTATCTTTTGTCTGTGACCTGTATGTTGTCTGAATTCCACCCCTTCCTTTGCTTTTTAATGTTAGTGTGGTAGTGTCAAGGAACATGATATCCATATATCCATTTATTGCCATGTGGTTTCTAATTCTCTAACTTGATATCTGAATTCTTTAGCAATATTTTGTAATTAATAATATTGTGTATTATATATTTGCCATATTTTGTATTTATTATTCTGTGGTTGAACCTATTTTATGCTCGCTATAGCATAGATTTTTTTTTTAGTAATCATGACTGGTCACTCTCTGTAAATCCTGTCATATGGATTGTTGAAATCTCCCATTAGAGTGTTAATTGACGGGCCCAGAACACCCTGGGGTCATTATATTCATCAAAATATTTATGATATGCAGCACCATCTGTTGGAAACAGAGGTTTATTTCTTCTCTTTTTTCCTAATTCTGTCTAGATCCTCCACTGTTTCAAATCATAATTATCACATCCTTTACTGTCTAGTTTTCTCTTATCCATTTGGTCTAAGCATCTTGGGAGTAGAAAATCAACTCACCTTCTATTTTAGGTTTAAACATAACTGTGTATATTTCTAGTAACTATTTGTTTACTTTTAAAAATCATGTCTGCTTAGTCTGTTACACTAGTAAATATTCCTTTACTGAGTTACAATATCTTTTAAATTTATTCGTGTTTTAAGATTGCTAATGAATTTCTTTCAGTTCTTGATCTCAAATTCTATTTTGCTTTAGTCTTATACACATACAGAAGCATATCATTCTAAAAACATGATGCTGTGCATATATACATAAAGCTAACAGAGATTCAGAAGAACATTTACATTCTGAAGGTGCAAAAAGGTCAGGCTCAAGCTTAATAACAATCCCGGAGGAGAAAATGTCATGTCATTATGTGGATAAATGCATCTTATTATCAGGTACAAAAAAATGTATAAATATAATTTGTGATATGTTTCCTGGAAAATGAAATAGACAAATCAAGAGTTTCAAAAAATGGTCCCAAATCATGAGTTCAGTGAGGAGTGGAGAGATGCGGCTGTACTAGTTTGATATTAAGAGATGCAAGGAATCTAAATTAGGCTTGGTGTGAGGAGCTTGTTTGTAGAAAAGTGAATAAAAGGTGATAATGCATCATGGTGGGGTGGGGTTGAAACAGTGAGTCTATGGGGTGAGTGCAGTAATATCAAAGGATACATTAAATGGCAAAAATGCACTGGTTAAAGATTACCGAGAACCAGCTGTGTGCCAGGCTGCAAATTCAGCAGGTTACATGTACTCGCTCTCATACTACACCAGCTCTGCAAAATGGGCAGGGTTGTGCATATTTACACATGAAGAAACTAATATTTCATATTTACACATGAAGAAACTCGTGTTTCAGAGATACTTTTTTTCATTTACCTAAAACAGCAGAGAGAAAACATGAAGCCAAGTGTTTGAGGCTCTGAAACTACATTTATCTCATCACTCTGCTCTATGGTTAGAATATTTCATCATTCATTATTTAAACATTTCTGCTCAGCTATTTCATTGAAGACTCACCAGCCCCTCCCTCTAATGCATACTTTTTAGGGGGAAAAAAAAACCTGAATCCAGCAAGCAAAATTTCTCAGTTTATCCTACAGGTGCCACTATAACCATATAATATCTCTTTCCAGCTCTTCAACTCTGATTTCTCAGGGCTGCCATAGACCAGAAATTCTAGAAGACAGAAGAAGGCAATTTATGTAGCTGACGGTTCATTTTGATAAATCTATGCGTGTGTTTACAGCTCTGTAGCTTCTATATATGTGTAATAATTGCATTTTTCCTTTTATAAAAAATTCTAAGCTTTTGAATAGAGAATATTTACATGATTCAAAAAATAGAAAGTATAAAAAGGCATATAATAAATAATCTCCCTTTCACTACCAAGTACCCTTGTCTGTCCGCTTCTTATTTGTGACCTCAAAACAGATGACCACAGTTAGTCACCTCTTGCATCATTCCAGTGTGTGTGTGTGTGTGTGTGTGTGTGTGTGTGTATACACACACATTTATATATATAGATACACATATTTATATATATAAATACTTGTTACTGCCTCATTTGATTACACAAATGGCAGCATATTATACAGACTATTCTGTACTTTGTTTTTTTACGTAAAAATATACACTAGAGATTTCTATATCAGTGCATAAAAAGTTTCTTTATATTTTTACACAACTGCATAGGATTCCGTTGTATGAATGTACAACAATTCATTTAGATAGTTCCCTGTTGATGAGCATTTAGGTTGATTTCAAGGTGCTTGCTACTTTCTGTTTACCAACTCCATTAACATAATATCAATATAATAAACCTATGAGTCAAACACTCTGATTATTACCAGGTCCCTGTGACTCATTAAAATAATCACTCCCGTTTTATCTCTGATGGTAAAGCAGAGCCACTTGGCATCTACCATTCTAGGATCTTATTATTCCCATGAAATCAGACCCTATTCCAGGGCAACATATCTATCATTATCACGTGCCTACTAAATCTGGCTTTTAAGATAGAACTTTTTAAGGCACTTTTTAATAAATAAAGGATGATGAATAAAATATCTTCTGATCTCTCTTGCTAGTTATAATTGGGTGTGGGAGGTGGCTATGCAACCTGTATATATAGAGATCCACTCAACATTTCCATATTCACAAGTCTTTGAACTCTGCTACGTACAGCTTACTCGAAAAATTCCAGCCTCATAGCCTCATTAGCTGTAGGTCACCAGTGCCCAGGCTTCAGTTAATCACAGCCAGGTGCTCCAGCCAACACATTAAACTATGAATCCTCTGTGAGCAACTCTATCTATAAATGTGGCCAGATATCATCTTATGTTTCATCTAACACACTTAGAAGCATTGCCTTTGTATGCTCCCTAGACCCCTACCAATACAAGGGGACAAGATGTCTCAACTCATTCAGTATGTTTTTTATCTCCTCTCAGAGCCAGCCTCACACTCTCCCTTTGGGCTTTGCTGGTATTTAACTCTTACCGTGGGTCTGGAGGTAAATGAGGGTTGGCGAGGCTGTGTTGGGGAGGATTGATTCCCCTTGTGAGAGAACTGCTCTAGGTTAAGTCAACAAAAGAAATTTATGTAAAGGAAATCAAAATCCCTTGGGAAAGGGGGAAAAGGGATGGGCTTCTTACCTAGGCAAGGAAGATTCAGGGAGATTTCAGGGTTCAAGACTCACAGTCTTGCATGGTTAACCAACTGTTTCTACTCCAAGTCTCAGAATCCCACTCCTTATTAACTAGTGCCTTCATTGGCACATGACACCTGGAGATGTTGAACATCTAAATGCTGCTTCTTCTCTGCATCACATACAGTCAGTCCTTGGGCCTAATATTTAGTTGTCTGCACTCTACAAATAAGAATTATTTTAATATCACCATTGAGGCTTTTTGATTCTCTCCTCGTTCTCTACATTGGAAGTTCAAGTCTTCAGGCTTTTATTTCCTTTCTCTAGCTCTCCAAGGTCATTAGGAGTAGCCAGATGACAAACTGCAATGACCACATGTTGCCATAGCTATTAAGAGCTATAGTCATTTGATCATGCCTTGCCATTCACTTCTACTGCATCCCAAACCAATGATAACCTGAGTAATTATAATATTGCTGCATACTACAGAGTACACTAGAGGATACTGTGTGCTGCATTCAGTAGAGGTCAGCCTCCTGGACCAAATGCATGGCAGAAAAAGACCAAACACATGGCAGAAAAGAATGGAAATGAGGCAGGGAGGCCAAGGGAGAATAACCGGCCTACTGGTCTTTCTCTTGTGCAAGGATGTATGCACAATAAATTCATAGAAGTGGACTTTTTGGATGAAAGGGTAGATGCATTTGTAATTTTTATAGAATTTTCAAACTTCCCCCCGTAAGGGTTCTATTATAGCAGGTTATACTTCCTCCAATCCTGTGTGTGACTGCCTTCTGCCCCACAGCTTGTCCACCGTGTGTTACCAAATGTTCTGGACTTTTATCAATATGAGAAGTGAAAAATGTTATCTGTGTAGTTTCAGCTTGCATTTCTTTTTTCTATGATGGGGTATGACAGCTTTCATATAAATCCAGTTACAAGTGGTAGAAAATGCAGCTCAATTGGTTTAAGAATAGAAATAAATATTCAGATAAAATAAAGTCAGTAGGTGCATTTGGAGACATGCCTCAATCCAAGAACCCAAAGATCTCATCAAACCTGGCTCTGCTCCAATCTCTGTCTCTGTTTCTCTCTCTCTGTCTTTCTCCCCACCTTCCCCACCTCCAGGCAGTACCAGGCTTTCATTCTCATAGCTTCAACTTGGGCAGAAAGTCCTAGGCCTGACTCTAACTGACTTCAATTTTCTCATGTACCTATCCCTGAACCATCACTATAAAGTGGGGAGGGACAGCTCTGTTTGTCCAGGCCTGAGTCACAGGAACAGCACATCCTTCTACCTGTACGTACATGTTCAGAAGTGCCCGTGTCAATACAGTGCAGCTACGCTACTCACAGTAAAAACTGTGCTCATCCACATCTCAGAGGGAGGTGAGGTGAACAACTCCAAACTCGTAAGTAAACTTGTTGTCACTCTAAGTCCAGAATCTTTGGGTGATGAATATTTTTCTTGGTCCTAATGTGGCTTCTCATAGTCCAGCAAACTATGATTAAATGAAAACCGTAATTCACATTACACACTTAACAGGGAGAGATGATCACAATTGAAGTAAAGGCTTTCATTTGGCTTTCCAGAGTTGAGGTGAGCTATTTTGTCATATGACTTTAGCCACCCTGGAAGTTTCTCTCCTGTCCTTTATCCTCCATGGCCCATTTAAAGTGAGGACTTTCAGAAGGATGCCCCTTCCATGGACTGCATCTGTTCAACATCTCATTTCCTGAGTGAGTGGGTTTAGGGGCCTGGAATTGCCTCAGGGATTGAGCAATTGAAGGCTACTGTTTGTCAGGTTAGGGTTTCTCTGGCTAAGAAACTCCCTTCAAAAGTTAAGAGACAACAGTCCTTTAAGGTGAGTTTTATTGCCCTCATTTTATAGGTGTAGCCTCTAAGCTCAGTCATGTTATGTGGTTTTTGCCTAAATCCACAAAGCTGGGGAGTGACAAAGCCAATATATGTTACCAGAGTCTACTTTTACCTCTCTATTCCACACTGATTCTCTGTGTGTGCCTTATATAAAAATAGTTTTGTTTGCAATGTCTCCATTATTTTTAGTAAAACTTTTACATCTAGCAACTCTAAGGGGAAAATTCATGCTCAATACCTGCCCTCTCCATGCTCCGCTGATTTCCTCTGCTAGTAAGAAAACAATTAAAAAACAACAACAACAAAAAAAAAAAAACAGGAAAAATTCTCACTTTGTCCTGCAGGTGCCACCCTCATCACAGAACATCTATTTCCAGCTTTATAGCACAGATCTCTCAGGGCTGCAATAGACCAGATATTCATAGAAAATGGAAGAAGCTGGTTCATTCAACTTATGCATTTCACTGCCTGGATCAGTAAGATTGGTGTATTTTTTTTTTTTTCACTGCCTGTTGTTTCACTGACTCTTCCGCCCCACAAAAAAAGCACCAAGAAACAAGCTGAAACATTTCCGTTTGTCCTGTAGGTGCCACTGTAACCCTGGGATATTTCTTTACAGATCTGCAACTGGTTCTCTCAAGGCTGGAAAGGATTAGAAATTCTAGAAGATGGAGTCTAGTCTACACACAATTCAAACTAAGGACCCCTCACACCCCGCCCCTGGGTTTAGAGTTCCATAGCTCCAACACAGAAGTGAAATCGTTTCCCCTGGAATCTTTTCACTGCCTGTTTTTTAACTGTTCTTTAGCTTGTAGGTCCTAATGAGAAAATTTAAAAATTTATATTCATTTAGTTTTTGAATAAGTAATGTTTTCATATGGCTCAAAAACAAATTAAAATGATAAAAAGAATATGCTAAAAAATTTCCCTTTTACCTATTACATATCAAAGGTTAGCAAAGTTATTAGTTTCTTTTATACTTCCAGAGACCATTTTATGCACATACAAGCAAATACTTTAAAAGCAACTTTTTATTTTGCATGATAATGTACTATAACACCTTTTTTTCTGTGTCTTAATTATTCCATATAATACTATATCTTGGAAATCCTGTATATCAGTACATAAAAATTCCTCTTTGCCCCCACCTCTCTAGCTTTGAAGTATTCCCAGTTTATGGATACACCAAAATTTATTTACCCAGTTCTCTATTGATGAACATGTAAGTTGATTGTTTTGCCATTTAAAATAATACTGAAATGAGAAGTTTTGTATAGGGTCCATTTTGCATGTGTGTCAATATACCTAAATATATCTGAGAATTCCTGCTGAATTTCTCTGCCAGTCAGAAAAAAATAATGAAAAAACAGAAAAATTCTCACTTTGTCGTGCATCTGAGGATACATGTATTTGTCATGTTTACGGGCATTTTCAAATTGCCCTTCACAGGGCTTGTACCAGCTTGTGCTCCTGGCAGCCATGTAAAAATTGTCTATTTCCCAAAAGCTTGGCCAACACAGTATGTTTTGAATTTTTGCCAATCAATCTGAGAGTTAAAAAAAAAAGTTGTATCAATTATTTTCTTATTATTATGAGTTTGAGCATCTTTTGGTTTAAGAGCCATTTGATTTAGAACTGTTTTGATTGCAAGCAATAGAAAGCCGCAGTCTACCTGGCTCAAGCAAGATGTTTATTTTCTCATCACTGAAAAGCCTAGATGGAGAATGTCCAATGGGCCTTACTCCAAAGGCTTAAATGTCACCCCCGACTGTGATTTCTCTTTCGCACTCTCGCTCTCATTCTCTCAATCTCACTCTCACTCTCACTCTCACTCCAGCTCCCTCTGTCTTGGCCCTGTCCTTAGACAGGCTCCTTTCCCCTTCATTCTCGCAGCTCCAATCTCAGCAGAGAGATCTTGCTTGCCCTGAGTCTCTCTGACCTGAATTGAACAGGATGCAGTGTTCTGACTGGCCAGGCCTGAGTCATACAACCACTTCTGGAGCCGGGGATAGAGCCAAAATCACTCAAACTAGGTGAATTGAGAGATGTGAGAGGCATGGATTCCAGGTGTCCAACAGAAGATCAAAGTGACATTAAATGTAGAAAGACAACTAAGCGCTGGCTTGGCTAACAACAGAGGTTTTAGCTGTAATTCACACCTTCAACAACACACTGTCCCTTCTACTCTCACATATCCCTTCAAAAACGCCAGTGCCTACCTAATGAAGCCATAATTAGATACCATGGAAAGTGCACTTTCCTCTTCTCAGAGGGAGACCACACAAAGACTTATCTAGTTATAGCTCCAAGTCCAGGATTTCTGGGTGATTCTTCTTAGTCAGGCCCTGGTGTGGTGGTTCCTTCTGGCTCAGCAAACTATGGCTCCAATATAACCACAAATGCAATACATGAAGGGACAGAGAAAGAATAGGATAATTATCAAAAAAATCATCCATTTGATAAGGAAGAGAATGGGAAGCAGCAAAAAGTGTAGCAATTCCTGGTGCGTAGCAATTCCCATGATGTGTAGGACTGGAAACACAAAGTATCCTGACCTGGAGGTGATGTGAGCTCCTTAGCCAATCTGGCTGCCCTGATGAGTTCTCCACAAGGATCTCCTTGTCCCTTATCTTCCGTGGCCCTGACGAACTCTGGGTGATGTAGCCCACAGGTTTGGAGGCCTCCTCTGTGGACTACATCTCTTTAGCAGCTCACTTCCTGCTGGGATAGGTTTGGGGCATTTAGGATTGTCTTAAGGGTTGAGTACTCACAGGCCTTTGTTTGCCAGGTTTGGAGTTTCTCTGGTAAAATAAGTCTCTTAAAACACTGAGGCATTAACCTGTAATATAGACAGCATATTTCACATATTTCAAGTAGACACTATAACTCAGAAATGTTAAGTTCCTTTACCTAAAGCCATACAACAGGGGTATAACAAAGAGCAGGTGACAAAGCCACGATGTTTGTAATCACGGGTGTTTAGCTCTAAGGTCTAAGCTTCTAATATACTGGTATAAAAATTATGTTTGCAGTAACTAGCAACTGTAACGTCACCTCCTTATCTCTGTCCTCCTAAACTTTGACTCCCCCTGCTCCACAAAAAAAGCACCAAGAAACAAGCTGAAACATTTCCGTTTGTCCTGTAGGTGCCACTGTAACCCTGGGATATTTCTTGATCAGCTCTGCAACTGGTTCCCTCAAGGCTGGAAAGGATTAGAAATTCTAGAAGATGGAGTCTAGTCTACACACAATTCAAACTAAGGACCCCTCACATCCCACCCCTGGGTTTAGAGTTCCACAGCTCCAACATAGAAGTGAAATCTTTTCCCCTGGAATCTTATTTCATTTTTGAATCGGTTGTGCAGTTACAGGGTTCAAAAATTAAAATGTGCAAAAACGTCTTCATTGAAAAAGAATCCCTTTATCTCTGTCCCTTTTCTACCAAGTTCCTCTACGTAGCCTTTGCCATGCTATTCCACTTTTTGTATATTCTTCCAGAGATTTTAGTGCACATGCAACTAAACATGAACATAGATTCCTTCTCCCACCCCTTTAAGCATAAATTACAGCAAGTTCTTCATATTCTTTCCCTGTATTTTTCTAAACAGCTATATATTATAGAGAACTTTCCATTATCAGTTTCTAAAATTTTTTTTATTCCTTTTAATGGATTCAGAGTTTTCCACCATGTAAATGAAATCACTTCTCCAGTGATGAACGTTTGATGCTTATTGTTTATTCTTTGGAACAATGCTGAATAGCCTTGTACATGCCTCATTTCACAGGATTGAGTATATATCTGTGGGACAAATTACACAAAAGCATAATTGCTGGGTCGAAAGATACATATATTTGCATCTTAACAAATATGTTTAATTTGCCTGCTTCAGGAGTTGTTAAACTGCTCATCAGTAAAATATGAGAAGGCCTATTTCTCCACAGCTTGGCCAATATAATGTGTTATCAATTTTAATTTAACTTTTTGCCGATATAATAGGTAGAAAATGTCATCTCATTTTTAATTTCTACTTTTATTATGAGTGAGGATGAGCGGCTTTTAGTATGCACCATTAGATATTGTTAGAAGTTTTTTTCAATTACAAGTAAATCACCTCAATCTAGCTTTAGAAAAAGAAAGTTATTGTCCTTACAACAGAAAAATCAGAGGTAAATTCAGGGCTTCCAATATGCCATCAAAGTATTCAAAGAATGCCATTGAAGTGTGCACGTCCTTTCTCTCCTCTCTCCCTTCACTCTTTCTCTCTCCTGCTCCCTCTGCCCAGGCATTCTCCATTCACTTGCTGGACTGGGAAGCTTCTAGATTGCATCCTCATAGCTCCTTCCTTGGGCTGTATTTCTTTAGCATCTCATTTCCTATTGATGCAGGTTTGGGGTTGTCTCTGACATTGAGCAATCACAGGAACATTTTGGCGGCAAGGTTGGTATTCCGTAAGTGACACAATTCACTTAAAATTTATTAGCCAAACTGTGATAGGGTAGATATTATCATCCACAATTTACAAGGGTAGAAACTATAGCTTTTAATAAACATAAGTGCCTTTGCCTAAAGCTACCCAGACAGTAAATTATAGGAACAGGATTTGTATCCAGCTGTATCTGATGGTAAATCTATGATGATGGTCAAAACACTTGTCCAACAACTCCAATAGAAAACCAATCATTACACCTCTATCCATACGCCACCTCCACCTCTCTGAAAAATAAAAATAAAAAAAGAAACATAAGATTCTTACTGTGCCCTGTAGGTGCCACTCTTGCCACGGGATAACTCTTTTCAGCACTGCAGCACCGAGCTGACATTCTAGAAGGTGGAAGAAAGCCCGCTCATCCAATTTATGCAGCTGACATTTCAGCACCAGCAATCCATATATGGCTTAGAACTCCACAACCTCACTCTACTGTTACTGTATTTTTTTGTTTAAATATATATGTGTATATATATATTTAAATATGTGTGTGTGTGTGTGTGTGTGTGTATAATTGTTGTGAAGAGTTTATGTGGTTCCCAAGATTTGAAAATACAAGGTATACAGTGAAAAAAATCCCCCTTCCAATCTTATCCCCCAAACCCATGTTCCACCTCCACCCCGTGGGTAACGATACTTCTCAGTTTATTTTCTATCTTTACTGAGATATTCATACACATACAAGCAAATACGAAAAGACATTTCCTTTCTTCTTTCTATTTTTACACAAATATTTTGCACAAACATCTTCACTTTTAAAAATTTCTCCTAACATATCTTGAAGGTATGTTCATATTTAGACAAAAAGAAATTCCTCATTCTTTTTTACAGCTCCACGTATTCCCCTGTATGATAATTTTTCATTTATCCAGGCCCTTGTTGATAGACTTTTAGACTGATATATTTTACTGTTACAGATAATAATGTAAGGAATACATATTACTTTATTTCACATGTAAGAGTCTATTTGCAGAATAAATCCTAGAAATGAAATTGCTGAGCAAAAAGGTAAATGCATTTGAATTTTGACAAACATTTCCAAATTACTCATCATATGTATTGTACCATTTTAACACTCCCACCAGCAAAGTATCATAATTCCTATTCTGTCATAAGTTACACAAAAAATGAGTTATCAATATATTGGATATTTGCAAATCTGATTGTGGAAACCTGGAGTGTCTGTGTGATTTTATTCTTATTTCTTGTATTCTAAATGAGGTTATGCATTGTTTCATTTATTAAAGAACCATTGCATTTAGCCGAGATTTTTCCACTCACAAGGGTTAGAATACCAGACTCATAGTGACTGAATCAAAGAGAGGAAATTCATTTTTCACATAACTGGACATGCATGTACTTTGATTTCAAGGTGAAGGATCAGAGGTAGGATTAGAATTTTCCTAAGGAAAATTAGAGTTGTGTAACATAAAGGAAAATGAATGAGTACCAAGATGGGTACCCAGCATCTACATGTATCTCTCTCCCTATACATACATCTCAAAAAGTGCTCATGTCTACAGAAAAATTTTAAAATCATTTACTCCTTATCTAGAGGGAGGCAACCTAGTGTTTATTACTTCAAATCTGTAATATCTAAGTGATATGCATTCTTGCTTATATCTAGACTTGGTTTCTCATGGCCCAGTAATTTATAATACATCATAACATTAATCATCCTCAATCAATATACAAACTATTAATTGATAAAGGATAATATAAGTGCCGTAAAGACTCCATTGTAAGCACAGAAAATGGGAAACACAACAGTGCTGCCTAGAACACAGTCCATGTCATGTCTTAGAGTTCCTTAGCAATATAATCTGGCCCTTCTGGTTTTGTTCTCTGGAAAATTTTTCTTTGAAATGGTCTGTGTTTGGCTGTGACTTTGAGCTGCCCACTTCCTGTCGTGTGAGTTTGGAGGACCTGGGATTGCCTAAGGTTTGAACATCCCTGACTTACCAAAGTTCTGAGTTATAAAGAGATAACTTTAGCATGCTAGACATTTAAAGGAAAGCAATATTGTCTACATTTTACAAATGAGGAAATGAAGGCTTGGAAATATTAGGAATCTTAGCCCATAGTCATAAAGATATGAGTGACAAGAGCAGTGTCAGAATCCAGGTATATTTCCTTCTTTCAGCATACTGTCATCCCAATGTGCTCTCTACAAATTGGCTTTGTTGGTAGTGCTTATATTGGTAATTATCAAAACTTTTATTTCTAGCAACAGGAAGCAGAAATCCATGGTCACAACTCCCAACCACGTTTTCTAAACTCTTGTCTTTAAAGGGGGACCAAAATAATGAAACTTCTCAATTTGTCCTGTAGGGGCCATTTTAATCATGGAATATCTCTTTTGAGCACTACAGCCCTGATCTTTCAAAGCTGCAATAGATCAGAAATTCTGGAAGGCAAAGAAGTTTGATGTGTCAATGTACGCAGCCAACAGGTCAGTGCCAGGATCTCTACACATGTGTTTAGTGATTTATCATTATAATAAATCAGTTAGGACTCTGTTACTTACTTTAAAATAAATTTATTGGATTTGTAAAAATAAGGAATAAATTTATATGAAAAGAATAAGGGAATATTCAGTGAAAACAAAAACAAAAAGCTCCTTTTCAACTTTGTCTCATCTGGTAAGTCCTCATGCCTGCTTCCCAAATATGTAACCACTCATTATTTTCTTCCATGTCCTTCCAGAGATTGACATATATTTGAATAAACATTTTCTGTCCCCTTCCTTTTATACAAGTGGTAGCACAAAATTAATTGATTCACCAAACAACATATATCAGAGTATTCCACCATGTGGTTGTACCATACTTCATTTAACCAGTCTCTCTTGATGGACATTTAGGCTCATTTATATCTTTTATTGTTATAAACAATACTATAATGAATAGCCTCATATATTTAGCATTTTTCACATGTATAAGTATATTTGTGGAATAAATTTCTAGAAGTAGAATTCCTGGGTTTAGTCCATGAATTTTTTATTTTAATAAATATTCCCACATTGCCCTTCATAAACATTGCAAACAGCTTATATTTCATCGACAGTGTATGAGCGTACCCACTTTCTCACAGCTTGGCCAACATAGCCTGTTATTGAACATTTAGATCTTTTCAAATCAGATAGGTGAAAATGGCATCTCTTTTCATTTTAATTTGTTTCTCTTGTTTTGAGCAAGCTCGAGCAACTTTTCATAAGTTGATAAGAGACAATTGAAAAAGTCAGAGGACTTTTACAATTGCAAGTGTCTGAAAACCAAACACTATCGGGCTTAAAGAAAAACTGGTGATTTTTTAATAAGTTTATGTAGATATTTTAAGAACACTTAGCTTCCAGATTTCTGGGGCCTTGCCTCTAGGTCATGAAAATCTCCAGAAAGCAACTATGGTCAGTCTCTCCCTCTGCCCCTGTGCTAAGGGACAGTGATACCTTCTTGGTCCGGGGGCTGTTGTTTTCCCTCCCAGATGCTGACTCATGACCATGTGTGATTCTGGGGCAAGCAGCTCATATGGAGGTGTGGGGATGATCTACTTACAAGACTAATTCCTCTTAGAATAGACTTTTTTTAATTTAACTTTTATTTTAAGTTCAGGAGTACATATGCAGGTCTGCCATACAGGCAGACTTGTGCCATGGGGGTCCGCTGCACAGACCACTTTGTCACCCAGGTGTCAAGCCCAATACCCAGTAGCTATCTTTGCTGATCCTCTCCCTACTCCCACACTCCACCTCCCAACAGGCCCCAGGGTGTGTTGCTTCCTTCTGTGTGTCCATGTGTTCTCATCATGTAGCTCCCACTTATAAGTGAGAACATGCAGTATTTGCTTTTCTATTCCTGCGTTAGGATAGATTTTTCTATCCATTTGGTTGTCGTTCCTCAACCTATAGTGCAAACTCCTCACAGAGTTAATAAATTCAGGCCTGGTTCCGGTTCAAGATGGTTGCCATAGTCACCTTGTCACCCTCAAGAGGGAGTGTTTTTCTCCTTCTACGTGAACCCAGTGGAAGCAGGGTCTTCACTGAAATTTCTTTGCCCTCTCTGCTCTATTCCCTAAAATCTGGTCTTTATTTTTTCCTTTTCAGTCAACATTTCTGCAACACTCATCTCTCCCTCTTCCACCCTTCATAGTCTTGTATTCCTTTTTAACATTACCACAACATACATTTGTCTTCATGCACCTGTTATTGAACGGACACAACCTTGTCCATTCATTTGCTTTACTGACCTAGCTTTTATAGGCACCTGTCTCTGAGACCTACAGTTACTCTCCTGCATAATTTGAAGAAAGGAAGCACAAGGAAAGCCATACTTTCAAATTCCAAATTTAAATCGGGAGAAGAAAAAACGTTCCAGAGTTTAATGCTTTGCCCACATGATGCCAAACTAACTATTCAAGAAGAAAATTGCTGTCCTTCCAATAAATTCAGTTTTTTTATTAAATTGGTTTAATTGACCAAATGTTTTGCTTTTAGATGAACATAGCTTCAGCCTGCTGTTTTGTGAGCTTGTTAGAGGCCATAGGTTGATTGGAAAAGCCAGGAAATCCCAATGATAACCTAGGAAACATTTCAAAGTATCAGAGGCATCTACTGTAAATGTCGTCTTTATTATAGCCTCTTCACAAAGCATCTGTGTGTATAACATATTAATGTGGAAAGAACAAGAGCTTTGGAGCCAGCCAACCTACATCAAACTTAGCCTCAGTCTCATCTTTTTGCTTTGATGCTTAGAAAATTATTAAACCTCTCTGAGCTTATCGATATACAATAAAATAATTAAGGATCTATTTCCCAATCACCAAACATTTAATCTACCATGATGTAAGCCCCATGATATTTGAAACATAGTAGGTAGCCAGTAATATGTGTTGTAGTGCCAACTATACCCCCAGACATTGTGTAAATGCCTATGTATACAAGTGGTGATCAAGACAGAGTTCCCTACACACAGGGAAGGTTTAAAACTATTTGGTGAACTGGACGAAAAGGCAGGACATTTCAGTGTAGTTATGGGTGGGTACATGGAGGAACACATGAATTTGGGAAACTACACACAGTTCCCTATACCTATACAGTAGCATGGTGTGGAGAGGAATGGTGAGCCATGAGTTTGAGGAGATAAGACAGGGAAATGTCAGGCAGCATCTGGTGGTCAGGCAAAGGCCTTTGGCTTCTATCCCAAAGCAAAGGGGGAACCCCTGAAGGATCTGAGACAAAGAAGTGACATAACTGGATGCATGTTCTTAAATGTTCAGTCCAGCTGCAGTGTGGAGGAAGAATAGGGAGGAAGCAGGACTCTGGAGAAACTTGTACAGGCAAGAAATAATGGTAGTCTCAACCAGGAAATGGCAATGGAGATGAAAAGAAGTGAATAAATGTGAGAGATATTAAAATGTTGAAACTGAGTGTAATGATTGATTAGACAGGGAGACTTAAAGGAATTGGAGAGGAATCTGAAATTTCTAGCTCTTACAACTATGTGGATAGTAGTACTATTCTAATAAACACAGAAGATGAACAAGAATTTTTTAGATGAGTGGGAAGAAATAATGAAAAATATAGTACATATGATCATCATGAGATATTAATGACATATCTATTGGAGTTGTCCAATTGGTTGTTACGTATATGGGTCATACTTAACAGAGAGAGCTGAGAGATATTAGTTTGAAAATCATCGGCATGTAAATGCTAACTGAAACCAGAAGTAGATGAGATTGGTCAAGGTGAATGTGCAGAGCAGGAAATAAGAGTCTAGACTCTGCAATGGTCTTCCACCAAGCAATCCTTAAGGCTATTATTGTGAACCCTGGTTGGATGCTAGAATCACGGGGAGCTTTTCAAGAATAGTCATGCCAGGACCCCATCACAAACTAATGACATCAGAACTCTGGGATTGAGACCCAGGCATCAGTATTTTTTCCAAAGCTCCCAGGTGATCATGGTTAAGCTCTGACTTAAGGAGTAAAGACAAAAGAGAGTTTGGATAAAAATCCAGGTAATGGCTGGGTACAATGGCTCACGCCTGTAATCACAGCACTTTGGGAGGCTGAGGTGGGTGGATCACTTGAGGTCAGAAGTTCGAGACCAGCCTGGAACCAACATCGTGAAACCTCATCTCTACTCAAAATACCAAAATTAGCCAGGTGTGATGGCAGGCACCTGTAATCCTAGCTACTCAGGAGGCTGAGACAGAAGAATCCCTTGAACCTGGGAGGCGGAGGTTGCAGTGAGCCGAGATCATGCCACTACACTCCAGCCTGGGCAACAGAGCAAGACTCCATCTCAAAAAAAAAAAAAAAAAAAAAAAAATATATATATATATATATATATATATCTCCAGGTAATGTGGTGTCATGGAAGTCCAAAGGAAACAGTGTTTGAAACAAAAGGAGTTGTCAATGGTTTTATGTGCCTTGAGGAGTGGCAAAAAATACCACTGATAACTTGAACAGTATTGGGAGTGGGGAAAGTGAAGGAGGATTGGCAGATTGCTATAGAATATTAGTTAGGATTTTGATACTAACAGCCTCTAAAAGCATTGCTTAAATAAGACAGAAATATATTTCTCATTCAAGTCCTAGAAGCCTAGGGATGTCGGTTCAGTCTGGAATGGCATTCCATTGTTTCTATTACCTAAAGTTTTCCATCTTGTTCCCATGTCATGTGTGGCTTCCATTCCAAATTTAATTTATGGTCCATGTTGGCTGGTGGCATTTGAGCATTTCATCCACATTGCACCAGAAGAAAAGAGGTAAGAAACAAGAAGGTTATACTCTCTCCATTTAAGATAATTTCTCAGAAGATACACATATCATTTCCATTAGCATCCCAACAATCAGAACCTAGAAACATGGGCACACAGAACTGGAAGGGAAGCTAGAAAATGATATTTACTCAAGTGCCTTTACAGTCTTTAGCGTCTTTACAGTCAGGTGCCTGGCTAAATGCTAGGGTATTATTACCATGAAAAAGAGGAAGACTTGATAGGGGACAACAGCTAATGATCTCTTTTAAAAGTGTGTTGAGAAATAAAGGAAGCAAAATAGAAATAGAATATAAGAAAGTCTTTGAAGATGTTTGGCTTTGTAGAGGAAAAGAGCATAAATCATTCACTACCTGGAGATAAGAGGTTATAGGGCAGTTTTTAAAAATGGCTTGAATGTTGATTTAGAATGGGAGAGATTTAAATGTTTAGATGTGGTTGAGAGGATCCAGCAGAGAAAGTAGGTTTGTATTTAGGGAAGACACAGGAACATTTGAAGAAACCACGTACCTGAACAGGTAAGGAAGGGCATCTTTTTTGTTGCTTTTTTTTTTTTTTAGCAGAGCTTCTCAAACTTGAATTATGTTGTTAAAAAGCAGATTCTAGGCCGGGCGCGGTGGCTCACGCCTGTAATCCCAGCACTTTGGGAGGCCGAGGCGGGCGGATCACGAGGTCAGGAGATCGAGACCATCCTGGCTAATACGGTGAAACCTCGTCTCTACTAAAAATACAAAAAATTAGCCGGGCGCGGTGGCGGGTGCCTGTAGTCCCAGCTACTCGGGAGGCTGAGGCAGGAGAATGGTGTGAACCAGGGCGGCGGAGCTTGCGGTGAGCCGAGATAGCGCCACTGCCCTCTCGCCCGAGCAACAGAGGGAGACTCTGTCCTCTGTCTCAAAAAAAAAAAAAAAAGAAAAAGAAAAAAAAAGCAGATTCTGACTCAGTAGGTCTACGTGGGTCTGAAGTTCTGCATTTCCAAGAAGTTTCCAGGTGATGTTAATGCTGCTGTTCCTAGCTCACGTGTTGGAAGGATTAAATCTAGGCAGGAGAATGGGTGGGTAATGAGGCTGGGTGTAGATCAGCTATGTTGTAGGGAGGACAGAAGGAAGTTGAGGGTCCTACCTAAAGGGCTTCTTTCCCTTAGTAAAGTAGTATTTAAGTTTACTTACCAAGAATTAGGAGAGAGGCAGTACAGTAGGAGATTTCAGGAGAATGGAGAAAGTTTGCAATAGCTCTGGGGTAAAGAGTTGAAAGAGATGGCTTGAGAAATACAGGATGGCCAATGTTGAGGGCTTAAATGGGGCAAAGAGTGCATACTGGCAATGAAATCAATCTGCATGCTCTATGGTTTTCTGTAATAGTCCTCAGCAGCCCAGGTGTAGAAACATAGAAGATGGATTGTCTTGAGAAATACATTTTATTTCATTTGGTGAATATCCAGCACCATGCCTGGTTCCTAGTAGCACACCAAAATGCTAACACTCACTTCTCCAGTGGAAACCATAGAAGATACGTAATATTAAGTTGGTGCAAAAGTAATTGCCAAAACCACAGTTACTTTTGCACCAACCGAATAATAGGACTTTGGCAAAAACTGCAATTACTTTTACTTTGGCAAAACTGCAATTACTTTTCCACCAACCTAATAATAAGACTAACTGTCTGGGCCTCCCAGCTGACCTTTTACTTATATCTCATCTTCGTGGGCATCACCCAAACCAATCTGCCTGTTACCTGCTAATTTTCCCCTATCTCTATGCAATGTTTTCCGCCTTTGCTAGGCCTAGAAATAATCTGGAGTAGTTGTTAAAGACAGATTTTAGCTACTTCCAGAGATTCCTGCTCAATAGATTTGGGGGTGAAGTTCACTTGTATGTGATTTTAAAAACAGTCTAAATGATCCCAATGCAGTTGGTCCATAGATGGCACTTTGAGAAATAACTGTTCTCAATCAGGCATCTTTGCAATGAAACATCCCATCACCTCTGCTATTTTATTTGGGATACCTGGAATTCCTCTTTGCGCTCATTGTTTACTTTAAATCACAGTTTAATACTAATTTCTTCCAAGAATCCTTAGCTATTAATTTTACTCCATATTTATTAGAGAATGAAGAATGGAGCACACTTCTTCAGCATTTTTATAGAGATGCCTGTATGATTATATGCATGGTGTTATCCTGTGCTCGCTTGTTATGTCACATAACATTATTTCTATTTTCCAGTCCTCCATCACTACTTTAGACTGTGATCCCTCTAAATTCAGGAATCCTATCTCTGACCAGCATGGTGTTTAACCCTGAAAGTTACCCTGAAACTATATGCTGAGCGAATAGATAGGTGAACAAATATGAGAGTGCATGGAGAATCAAGAAACAGAAAAATTGATGGGAATACTAAAAGCAAGCAGTGTAGTGGAAAACAAAGATGTGATAAAAAGAATAAAGTAAAATAAAAAAACAGGATTTCACGGGAAGAGAATCATTAGAGCCTAGAGGACAATGTGGGTGATTTAATCACAAATAGTTTTAAGAAACATGAGAAAAAGAGTCTGCAGGCAATTTGAAATAGACTCTTAAGTACCTGACAAACCTGAGAAAAACAGGTAGGGAAGAAATCAGTGCATTGAAACCCAACAAAACTTCAATGTACCATCCCTTTTCAATCACTTGGAAGGAAAATGATGTGTTTAGTACATCCTCCTTCTTCATGTTTGGATCTTTAAATAGGGTATTTGGATTCACAGACTGTAGCCTCCTCAGATTGTCTCTCCTCCCAGCACACTGCCGTGCTTTTTAAATGACACCAGACTTCCAAGCAAGATTGATTGTAAATTTGAAAAGGTTATATGTGATGTAATGAATAACACATGCTACCCCCTCGAGCGTATCTCCAGAAGGGCATATACCTAGGATCCTGTGTGTTCTTATCATTCAGAAAAGATTGGAAGGGAATCTTTCTGGGCAAGCTGAAAGAAAGTTTCCTATTATGCTCATTTAATAAACTGCCTTATCTTTTGTTCATTCACTTTATGAACATACAATTATTAAGAACCAACTATTTTTGGCATTCCATAAATGTTTGTGGATAAATGTGTGGATGAATGGATATTATATGCAAGTCAGAGTGAAAGAGTCTATGAGGATATTAACATAACACAAACAGAGGACCTACTCTTAGTAGAGATTACAACCTACTAAGGAAATCAAGACATGAAAAACACTTTCTAAGGAAAAAGTGGTAAGTCCTATCACAGAGTATACATATTGCTCTGAGAATAGAGAATACAAGGGAAAAGGGGTTATTTCAAATGGGTGTTGGAAAAGGATTTTTGCAAGAAGTTGTGTTTGAGTTGGACTTTGAAGGATCTGGACATGCAGAATCCAGGAAAGTTTATCTGGGGCAAAGAGCAGGAAGTGAAGTGTGTTGAGATGTGTGGAAAATGGAGAAGAGTTTTATTTGGATCAGCTCTGGAGTTTATGAAGGACCACACTGGGCAACAATGAGAGTTTGCATGGAGATCTTTTAAAGTTTTAGATTCATAACATAGCCCAGGATGGTTAACTGCTAATATTTATTGAATGATTACTATGGTCCAGGCATACTGTAATCACATAAATTATCTCAACTAAGGTTGACAGTAATCCCATACATAGGTCCATGAAGTCCTCCTTATCCAAATATAATTGGTGTTGGGAAAGGCTAGGTTAAAAAAAATCCCACTTGAAACAGAAACCTTGATTTCATAGTAAATTGTGCGTATGTGGTTGTGGGTTGGAGGTGGGGAGAGTTTGATTAGAGCATATCTTTTAAAAATGATTAACATTATAACACACATTTATTTTATCTTACATCAGCAATACATACACACACATTGTAACTACAACTTGTACTAGTTCTTAAAATGAACAAAGAATGATTCAAATGGATGTTTTTGGGGGGAACACACACTTTTACCAAGAAAATTACACGATTGCATAATACAATATTCTTTAGGTTCGTATTTTTTAAAAGATCATAAAGAGGAAGTTTTTAACAAGATCATAAAAAATTCTGATCTTTATTTTCATGAAGAACTCAAATTGTGATTTTCCAAAATTTGAGTTCTTCATTATTTTCCTCGGAACTCCAATATGAAATTTAGTCTCCTTTGAAATGCCTATCATGTCATTGCTCTGGTCAATTGTTTTTTTCATGAAGTGACTTTGTGTGTGATTCAGATATTTCTCCACTTCTATTGAGTTTGTGACACCTTGCGTTAGTTGCTCTGTTCACATTTTTGTTTTACATTCATTTTAATTATATTCTTAATGATCATTACCATTTTCACAAAATGCAGTTTCCAGTGTTGGACGGTCAGTGAGAGTCTGATCAAAGCAGACATTGCTAGGCAGAGTCAAGGAGCTTGAGTGGGGGATTCAACTGAAGCGGTCAATTCATGAGTCAAGGTTTTCAAATTATGACACATTTTATTATTTTTATTTTCCTATAAAAGCTTGGCCAATAAATACTTGGATGATGAGAGCTCCCTGTGTTTTATGATTCCCATGTTACAGATTGGAAAACTTAAAGGCCCAGGAAAGTCAAACAATGTGCTCACCGCCGCATGTCTCGTAAGTGATAGAATCGGAATTCCAAAGCAGCTTGACTTTCGTGGGTAACCACTAAGCAGTGTAGGGGGTGGGTCAAGTGCCCCTAGTTGTCCATTAGGGATAAATCAAGGCTTCAAATTTACAAAACACTAGAAGCTCATCTTTCCTACATTGCATGCTAACTTATAAGTGTTCTTTTTCTCCTAACTTTAATATTAGACAGAGAGTTTATTTTCTTTTTTATAAATCAGTATAAACTCGCATTTTTAAAAAATTTTCTATTTCCATAGGTTCTTAATTCTCAATCTGCGTTTTTCCTAATATTTGTCATCAATGCATTTAAAGATTGGTTAGCTTAAACTCACAAGTTTTGATATAACAGTCTCTTCATTGATCCATAAATTATTTTGAAGTATGTTTTTAAATTTCTAAACAGAAGGATTAGTACTTTTTGACATTTACTTTTCATCTTTTTGCATTATGATTTGAGAATATCATCTGCATGATGTAGTCTCTAAATCCACTGGTGTTTGTCAAGGCTTGTTTTGGAACCATTATATGGTGAATTTTTGTAAATGATGTGCGTGTGTTTAAAAAGAATGTGTATTCTTTAACTCTTGGGTATGGGATTCTTCTATAAGTAAATTAGATCAAACTCATTAATTTTTCTGAAATATATTTCAAATATTTACTATTTTTGTTTGCTTTATTCATTAATTATGGAAATAATTATATTAAAGACTTACAATATAATCGAGATTTGTCAATATTTCATTGTAGTTTAATCAATTTTTTATTATTTTAGGTTTATTATTATTATTATTAATATCTTGAGGCAGAGTGTTACCCTGTTGCCCAGGCTGGAGTACAGTGGCGTGATCTTGGCTCACTGCAACCCCCACCTCTAAAGTTCAAGTGATTCTCATGCCTCGCTTGGCCCCCTGAGTAGCTGGGATTACAGGTGTGGGCCAACATGCCCAGCTATTTAGGTTTATTGTTTTTAAGTTTAGAATTTTTGTATCTTGTGTGCTTTTTTCCTAATAAATATATTTTAAATTTTACTTAAAGACATTTTGTCAGATGAATTGTAGCTATACCAGCTTTCTTTTGGTTATTGTTTTCTTGGAATAATTTTTCTCTCACTTTTTTTCTGTGTTGTATTTTGAGTGTATTTTTATAAGCAGCAGAGCTGATATTTTAAAAATTCGTTTGAATATGTTCTTTTAATTCGTGAGTTTAGATCATTTACATTTATTATGATTATGAATATATTTGGATTGATTTCTACCATCTTATTCTTTCTATTTAGCATACTTTTTTCCTTCTTCTTAGGATTCTATTTAATTGACAGTTTTTTAATCCATCAGCTGTCTGTGGTTTAAAAGTTATATATTCTATTTCTCTTCCTTTAGTAGTGTTTTGAACTTTTAACGTGAATTGTCAATATAACAATGCCTAAACTAAATCAATATTTTACCTTTTTTCTCACAATTAAAAGGATTTTAAAATGCTTTAACTCCAAACTTGATTTTTTTAACTTTCTATTCTTTTCTAGTGTTTTCATTCCATCCTGTTTTTATATTTTCAAATCTGTCTATTGTCATTGCAATGCTTAGTTAGATACCAATGTTTATAAATGTGGTTGCTCATCACTGCTTCCTTTATCCCACTCCTTCATGAATTTTATTACCTTTTTTATGGAGCACATCATTTACTAGTTCTCTTTAGCAAGGGTCTTTGAGTAAAAAAGTTTTTAGTCATTGTTTCAAACAGGTTCTTAAATAACAATTTAGCTGAGTATAAACTAGGTTGACAGTTACTTTTCCTTAGCCCTTTAAATACATTCTTTCGCTACTTTCTCCTCTCTATTTTTGCTATTGAAAAGTTTTTTGTTTTTGTCTAATAGTTGTGGCTTTCTTAGTTAAGTAACTTCTGTGTTTGCTTTTAAGATTTTAAGCTCCACAGCTTCACTGTGATGTATTTAGGTGTAGATTTATTTTTATTTATCCTTCTTGAAAATGATGTGGTTCTTGATTTGATGAATTTATACATTTTGCCACTTCTGGAAAATTATTACAAGAATTTTCAAGACTATATCTCTCCCATTTTTTCTGTTCTGTTCTTTTGTACTGCCTATTAGGGGTGCAGGGACCTTCTAATTCTACCTTCCATGTTTCTTAAATCTTAATCAATTTCCCTTTCTCCATGTCACAATTTCCCAGTGCAATACGCTGTCTAATATCCCCAGGTAGAGCTTTCAGTTCATCAATTATTTAGCTGCTTAATCTGTTCTTTGTCAATTTAAAACTTTTTATCTGCTATTGTTTTTCCTATTCTCCTTTATCCAATGTGCCTGCATGTTTCTCTTTTTTTTCATATTTTCTTATTCCTTTTTAGGGTTTCAATTCTTTCACGTCTTACTTAGTTTAAGCATACTTCTGTTATATTCTGCTTCAGACTGTCGTCATATTATCTCAAGTTTTAGGTTGTAATTCTGCTGTTTTTACTCACTCTCACTGTGGTGAATGCCTTCCTTGTATGGTTTGTAATTTTTGCCATGAGCTCTCTTCTTTAGCCTGTTTCCTTCTATTCAAATTCCTTCTGGCCTGCATGTGAGAGTGTCCCTCCAGAGTGTTTGGTTTCAGTCAGGAGCTTGGGGTATTATTGGCCTAGGGATTAATATAACAACTTTATGTTAATTTCTCAACCTGGGATTGAAGGTTTAACCTACTTGAGTAGACTAAATTCAAGCTCTAAACCTATTTGAGGCACAGATCTGTGGTATTAGATTATCGGGGGTAACTCTTTGCTTTGATTTCTTCACCCAGAACCCTGGCAGAAACAAATAAATGTATCTGTTGTCTTTCTTGGCTAGGGATCAAATTTATTTCGTAGTGCACTCTTAGATTAAAAGTGCAATACTTTCAGGGCATCAGCTTTATGTGGCACACTTGGGTCTGCTCAGCTGCTATAACAAAATACCATGAACCCAGTGTCTTAAAAAACAAGGCATTTGTTTTCTCACAGTTCTGAATGCTGGAAGTCTAAGAGCAGGATGCCAGCATAGTATGGTTCTGGTGAGGGCTCTTTTCTTTGCTTGTGGACTGTTCCTTCCCACTATGTCCTCACATAGTGGAGAGAACTAGAGAGCAAGTTCACCAACGTCTCTTTTTATAAGGGCCCTAATCCTATCATAAGGGCCCCATCCTCATATCCTCACGTAACCCTAATTACTTTGGGAAAAGGAGGTCCCATCTCAAAATACTATCACACCGGGGGTTAGGGCTCCAGCATAGGGATTTGAGTGGAGGGACACAAATATTTAGGTCATAACAGGCCCAATATGTCATCTACTGTCCTTTTGTGGGTGTTAAAACCAGGCTTCCAGTTTACCAAGAGAAAGGCCCTCAGTCTCGCCCCACAACCTACTACAGCATCAGGTTGAACCCTTAGTGAACCAACTGTCCAGCATGTCTAGGGTTTTTCAGGTCTTCTAATGTTACCTTATTGCTGGAAACAGAAGCCTCTCAGATTCAGCTTTCACCTCTGGTTTGTGTGATCTAAACACGTCTTCTGATTTTCCATTCCTTTCCTATTAAAAAGGGATGAAGTTCACCAGTATAATTCTCATTCATCTCATACAGTAATTCTGAGAAAGAGCAATTAGAGATAGCAATATGTTGCAAATTAAAAATGTTAAATATAGCAAACATTAAAAATGTTAAATATAGCAAAAGCAAACAGAGATTCTCTAATAATGCATTTTAATTATAATGCATTGATATAACATATTTTATCTGAGAATATTAAAGTATTTTACAACTACATTATAATTCCTTGAAGAGACCATGAATGTTTCCAACCCAGCAACCATAGAACAATTAGAGGCCATTTGGGATTTGATTGTAAATTGATTATTATTGACTCCCTTTTTAAAGACTGTAATACAATTCCTGGAGTGTTATACCATTGGTGAAGAGGTTATTTTTCTCAGAACACGTGTTGAGTAATCAGAATGGCTGATTTCAAAGATGCATTCTACAGGGCAAACAGTTCAAAGATAAGTGAAAAGGAGCTAAATGTACAAATAGTCTTGATTGGAAGCAGTATAAACATTGAGAATGGATGGCCCAGGAGTCTCTTTATTGTCTTGCTATAGTCCCATGGTTTTGGGACAGATTATATTTTCCCAGTGTCTTTTCTCTTTTTCTTCAGAAATAAAGAAAAAAAGATTAGTTGAAAATATTTGCTATTAAACATGAGGTCAAAGCTAGTGTAGTTATCACCTGGAGGAGAAGGCGAATGGAAAAACTAAGTTGACTTTTTCGTAATTTACAAGTAGCAGAGTCTGTTTGGGGCCTCCAATTCATGGTAAAGTTTATCCTTCAAAGACCAACTAACAATCGTGGAATCAAACTGGCTTCCATGGTATCCTCCAGAACAAGAATCAGTTCAAACTGAAGCCAGACCTCCCTTCAGAAACATGTAATGCTTGATATTAAGGATTTATTTACAAAATTCAATCTGGGAAAGAAGATGATACCAAACATTAGGGTTAGCTTATTAAAGCTCCCGGGCATTCTTCCTGCTAGTATTTAAGGAGTGTAAGTACCTAGGAATAATATTCAGGCAACTGATATGGCCATAATAACTGCTACAATATGGAACGACTACCACTCCATACACTAACCAATTTCCAGTCTTAGCTCTAATGTAACTCATCTGAGTTGACCACAACTTGCAATGGTTTGATTCGCTGTACAGTTTGGTTTGGCGTTTCAGACCCTAGTGTTTTATATCCAGACTTCACCCTGATCCTGAAAAGCAAATGGACTGAGTATTCAAGTGCCTGGCCACTCAGATCCTTTTTGGTATCCCCACACTATAACCAGAGTAAGTTCTCATAAGATAGTGAGATATCATTGATTAAATTTTTTGCATATTGTCCTAGCCTAAGCCTACAGGCCCAAATCAAACCAAGGCCTCCAGATTCCAACTTCTAGTGTTTCCAATATATGTATCTCAACAATCTGATTTTATGAGGGCTCCGTGCTTTGTTTGAAAGGTTCATTTTGACTTCCTATATTGCTGACCATAATGCTACATGTGCTCTATTGCACTTGATCCTAGAGTTTTTGATTTCTTAGATTCAATATACAAGTAAATCAATACTTAAGTATTTTGCACACTGACATAATTTTATCAACTTTTTAATCTTACCACTATTATTACATGCGAGAAAGAGCAGGACATAAATTGTAATAAAAACACTTAAAGAACTTACCATATGAAAAACTCACTATGTTGTCTTTGCCTTTTTCATTTTGCCAAGGACTAGAGATAAAATTAACCACAGACTGGGAGTGATCAGTGGCATTTGTGAACCTGCACTGTACTCCATACACTAACCAATTTCCAAGCTTAGCCCTAATGAAACTCTGCTTTAACCACAACTCCCAGTTGTTTGATTTACTGCGCAGTTTGGTGTTTCAGATCCTGGACTTCACCCTAACCCTAAAGTATCAAATGAAGACAGACTTAGCATTAGCAGTGTCCTTTCACTTCCTCCCACACTGCTAGAGGTGAGCATGAGCCCTGCAATTCTAAACATTTGCATTTGCTTCTCGGTCCCAAGGCTGGCCCAGAACCCATATTTTATAGTCTATCTTTTTCTTCTTTCCATGTAACATGTACATTTATTTTCATGTGTATTATCTAATAATATTGGAGTTTTCCTGGCAACATGAATTGCTCCAATAAGAATATGCAACTACGTAATTAGACCTTGATACCAGGGGAGATAGTCAATACCTTTCCTGTGGAAAATTGTTTTCTGGCTTTGAATAAAAGTATCTGCAAGGACCTTTCATCTCTATACTCGACTACA
Organism: Homo sapiens; assembly: GCF_000001405.40. Lineage (NCBI taxonomy): Eukaryota > Metazoa > Chordata > Mammalia > Primates > Hominidae > Homo > Homo sapiens. The sequence continues at coordinate 95,669,335 of NC_000007.14, read as the reverse complement.
TCAAAGAAGGAGTGCTTTTGATGCATATTATAAAACTACAGAAAAGGATTTTATCTGACATTTGATAATTGTACCAAACTATGTGTGGAAGAAAGAAAACGCTTCAGCAGCAAAATAGAAAGGCATAATTGATTACACTATTAGGAGCTGTTACAAATGAAACAAACAGCATAAGATTATAAGAAGATTCAGCTAATAATGTATTTCTGACATCAATAAAATTAGATGTTTTCATCTGTGTTGTGAACTTTCTGATTCATTTTAGCCCTGTGTATTATTCTATTACGACATGATGATTCTCATTATGCTTCCCCAAGCCTATCAACAGATAGAGCCTAGATTCTAATTATCTCTATATTTAGTCAAAATAGTCAGGCTTCATCTGTTTCCAGAACAGTTAATGTATTTGGCTCATTACTCTGAAATCACTGAGTACAATTTAGCTCACTGAAAACGCATCCAGCATTAGCTTATGTAAGGACCATAAAGGTCCACTGCGTGATGATTTTATACTTTCTCTATTGCAGTGAGTCAGGATATAATAGCTACTACTGTTGATCACTATGTACCAGACACTATGCTCACCTTTTATGTGCATTATTTATTTAGTTCTTACAGCAGCAAGTTATTATTCTCACTGTACCGATTTAGAAGCTTACCTAGAGTTACGCACCTAGGAAGTGTCAGAGCCAGGACAGTCTGATTTTAAAGCCTGACATTGTAACCACTCTGCTGTAGGACATACTTAATTACACAGATTCAAACTTTAAGTCTGATATTTATTCAAAGTACAGCTTTGTCCCTAAAGAGATGGACTCTAGTGCCTCAACCCTGACATGAGACTGCTTTGAATGTGAAGATGGCCTTCCTTTTTATTTATTTCTCCAAGAGGATTAGTCCCCTGTTGAAAATCTTTGAATGACTTTCCACTGGTCTTGTATAAAAATCCCAGTCTATGAGTTCCTGGGCACTTGGACTGATTTCCATTCCAGGCTGCTTTATTTACTCTGGTTCAATCACTATGGCTTTCTACAGTTCCTCCAATACTCCAAACTATTTCCTTCTTTGGGACTTTCTCCCATCTTCTACCCTCTGACTCAGACATTTTTTCTGCTTCTACTTATACCTCCAGACTCAGTTAAATTTATTTCTAAAGAGGCCTTCCTTCCTTGAGTTGGTTCTAGCCCCTCTCAGCTGCAGATCACCCATCCAAGTGATCCAATAGAAGCCCTCCCAGAAATTAGAGGGAAGCCACATCTGTCAGCCACCTGGTAACAGGTCCACTGTCTGCAAACCCAGAAGTGGACTGTCATCCCATGCCAGCTTTACAGAAAAAGTCACTGATGTTTTTGGGATCATAAAATCCTAATGCTGAAGTCAACAAACTTTGTACTCTTTCTATAACAATTAGGCATTAACTGTTATTTTACAGGAATAAATGGTTAAAAGGGGGCTAACCAGAAGGGAGAAATTATCTGTTTAAAATCTATTTCAAATTGTATACTCTCCGTAAAAATTTAGCTATTTTCATTATAAAGATAATTCATGCTTCTTATGAAAATTTTAGAAACACTGAAAAACATAAACAAGTCACTCAACTTCCAACAATTTCGAGAAAATCTTAGGTAACATATGGTGTATTTCCTTTCAGTCTTTTTGCTGGGTACTTTTTAAACATAGTTGTGATAAATTTGTGTCACATAAGATTGACTACAATTTTTAAACTTTATCTTTTATTATTTATAGAAAGAAGTATGCATGAAATTATAAAATGTTTGGGGAAAATAGAAAAAATAAATTTAAAAACTGAATATAACCACATATATCACTACCCACAGATAACTACTATTAATATTTTGGCATATGTTCTTGTAGTCTTTTTCTTGGATATTTTCTTAAGTTGTATTATAACATAGATAATGATTTTATAGCAGAGTTAACACAGCAATATTTACAGATCCTAGAATGTTGCAGAATAATTTCTGAGGGCTAATAGTTTTCTATTTCAGTTCACCTTAGTTTACACACAAAGCTCAATAGAATAAAGCACTCTATAGTACCAAGCATTATTTTGTATTATTATACTGTAAGTTCTGGGTTACATGTGCAGAACGTGCAGTTTTGTTACTAGGTGTACATGTGCCATGGTGGTTTGCTGCACCCATCAAACAGGCATCTACATTAGGTATTTCTACTAATGTTATCCCTCCCCTAGGCCCCCACCCCTCACAGGCCCCAGTGTGTGATGTTCCCCTCCCCCTGTCCATATGTTCTCATTGTTCAACTCCCATTTATGAGTGAGAACATGTGGTGTTTGGTTTTCTGATCTTGTGATAGTTTGCTGAGAATGATGGTTTCCAGCTTCATCCATGTCCCTGCAAAGGATATGAACTCATCCTTTTTTATGGCTGCATAGTATTCCATGGTGTATATGTGTTACATTTTCTTAATCCAGTCTATCACTGATGGACATTTGGGTTGGTTCCAAGTCTTTGCTATTGTGAATAGTGCCGCAATAAACATACATGTGCATGTGTCTTTATAGTAGAATGATTTATAATCCTCTGGATATATGCCCAGTAATGGGATTGCTGGGTCAAATGATATTTCTAGTTCTAGATCCTTGAGGAATCGCCACACTGTCTTCCACAATGGTTGAACTAATTTACAGTCCCACCAACAATGTAAAAGCGTTCCTATTTTTCCACAACCTCTCCAGCATCTGTTGTTTCCTGACTTTAATGATCGCCATTCTAACTGGCGTGAGATGGTATCTCATTGTAGTTTTGATTTGCATTTCTCTAATGACCAGTGATGATAAGCGTTTTTTCATAGGTCTGATGGCTGCATAAATGTCTTCTTTTGAGAAGTGTGTTCATATCATTTGACCATTTTTTGATGAGGTTGTTTGCTTTTTTCTTGTAAATTTGTTTAAGTTCTTCGTAGATTCTGGATATTAGCCCTTTGTCAGATGGATAGATTGCAAAAATAGTCTCCCATTATGTAGGTTGCCTGTTCGCTCTGATGATAGTTCCTTTTGCTGTGCAGAAGCTCTTTAGTTTAATTAGATCCCATTTGTCTATTTTGGCTTTTGTTGCCGTTGCTTTTGGTGTTTTAGACATGAAGTCTTTGATCATGCCTATGTCCTGAATGATATTGCCCAGGTTTTCTTCTAGGATTTTTATGGTCCTAGGTCTTATGTTTAAGTCTTTTATCCATCTTGAGTTGATTTTTGTATAAGGTGTAAGGAAGGGGTCCAGTTTCAGTTTTCTGCATATGGCTAGCCAGTTTTCCCAACACCATTTATTAAATAGGGAATATTTTCCCCATTGCTTGTGTGTGTCAGGTTTGTGAAATATCAGATGGTGGAAGATGTGTGGTGTTATTTCTGAGGCCTCCGTTATGTTCCATTGGTCTATATATCTGTTTTGAGTACCATTTAATTAAAACTCTTTTTATTGATTTCATGTGTGGGCTAACACACAAGATCAGGCTGTCAAATCAGGCTCACTCAGAGAGTTCTCATACAGTAACAAGCCTTATTAAAAATTTCAGGTCATGGTCAGTCAAGAGGCATGGGACACAGCAAAGTTTGGGACATCAAAGGGGTCCTTTTCCCCACATCAGACATGTATTCTGTGATAATAATAACAGAGGTTTTAGATAAGGCTTTTCAGGTTTACCTCACATAGCAGGAAAAGTGCTTAAGTTATAAACGTCTCCACGGTACACTCCAGAGAGTTCTGTAACATGTGATCTTCTTTAGGGAATCATGTGTCATAAATCTGTAAATTCTGGGCTCATTTACTAAGTAATACTTAGCAAGGACGTCCTGCCATACATCACTAATTCATATCATTAGATAAGAATCTTTCCTTTTAGCAAATATTAGTCTATTTACCTGGAGTTCCAGGTAGCAGAGATTAGACTGGGTTGATCTGCCTTTTTATTCCCCCCTCCAAGGTAATTCCTCCCACCACCCTCAAAGAAAGTGAATGGATCACAGACCAGCTGTTAAAATGCTTTCATTCTCAATGAGCAATAATGAAAAACAGTATGGAAGTTTCTCAAATTAAAAATAGAACTACCATATGATCTAGTGGTTTCATTACTGGCTATATATACAAAGGAAATGAAATCAGTATGTCAAAGAGATATCTGCTCCCATGTTTATCCTAGTATTATTCACAATAGCCAATATATGCAATCAATCTAAATGGCCATGTACAGATGAATGGATAAAGAAAATATGATATATGTATCTCCAATAAAATATCATTTCATAAAACATAATGAAATTCTGTCATTTGTGGCAACTGATAAACCTGAGGAACATTATGTTAAGTAAAATAGCAAGTCACAGAAAGATACTGTGTGATTTCACTCATATGTGGAATCTAAAAAAGTTGATTTCATAGAAGTAGACAGTAGAATAGTGGTTACCAGAGGCTGGAGAGGGAAGAGGTGAGGGCAGGACCAGGAAAGGTTGGTCAATGAGTACAAAGTTATAGTTAGACAGGAAGAATAAGTTCTGGTGTTCTCTTACACATAAGGGTGACTATATATATTTTAAGAGCCAGAACAATTATTTTGACCGTAATCACCACAAAGAAATGGTAAGTGTTTAAAGTGATGGATATGGTAATTACTCTGATTTGATCATCATATAATGTATAAATGAACTGAAACATCACATTGCACCCTATAAATATGTATAATAATGTGTCAATTACAAATTTTAAAACTAATTTAAAATTTTAAAAATATAATAAAGCAATATCACAATAAAGAGAGTCACACAAATATTTTGGTTTCCTAATGTATATAAAAGTTATGTTTACACCATACTTAGTCTATTAATTCTGTAAAGTGTATTATATCTAAAAATGTACATATTTTAATTTAAAAATATTTTATTGCTAAAAAGTGCTAATGATCATCTGAGCCTTCAGTAAGTTGTAGTTGTTTTGCTGGTGGAAGGTCTTACCTCAATGTTGATGGCTGGAAACTGATCAAGGTGGTTGTTTGCTGAAGGTTGCAGTGGCTGTGGCAATTTCTTAAAATACGACAACAGGCCGGGCGCGGTGGCTCACGCCTGTAATCCCAGCACTTTGGGAGGCCGAGGCGGGCGGATCACGAGGTCAGGAGATCGAGACCATCCTGGCTAAAACGGTGAAACCCCGTCTCTACTAAAAATACAAAAAATTAGCCGGGCGTAGTGGCGGGCGCCTGTAGTCCCAGCTACTTGGGAGGCTGAGGCAGGAGAATGGCGTGAACCCAGGAGGCGGAGCTTGCAGTGAGCCGAGATCCCGCCACTGCACTCCAGCCTGGGCGACAGAGCGAGACTCCGTCTCAAAAAAAAAAAAAAAAAAAAATACGACAACAGTGAAATTTGTCTCATCCATTGACTCTTTCTTTCATGAAGGCTTCTCTGTAGCAGGTGATGCTGTTTGATAGCATTTGACTCGCAGTAGAACTCTTTCAAAATTGGAGTCAATCTTCTCAAACACTGTTGCTCCTTTATCAACCTAAATCTATACAATATTCTAAATATTTTGTCATGTAAACAATGCTCACTGTATCCTCACTAGGATTACATTCCATTTTAAGAAACCACTCTCTCTGTTCATCCACAAGAAGCAACTCTTCATTCGTTAAATTTTACCATGAGATTGAGCAATTCAGTCATATCTTCAGGCTCCACTTCTAATTCAAGTGGCTATACCAATTTTCCTTCACAGAAGAAGTAAATGGAATTCCTGTTGCTTCACATCCTCACCAGTATTTGGTGTTTTTAGTGCTTTGAATCTGCTTACTTTTTAACTGGGTTGTTCATTTTCTTATTAATGAGTTTCAAGAGTCTGTGCATTTAGTTAATCGTTATTATAGTTTCTATTCCTAAAAGTTATATTTGACCATTTTAAAAATTGGCTGTGTAATTTTTTACAGTTTCCTATTTGCAGATATTTTCAAGCTTTTCCTTCGTTAAACTTATAGAATATAATTATTTAAAAATATTTGCTGACAATTCTTATCTATGTTGTCTTATGGCTTTATTTCTGCCACTTCTCACTCATGGTAGCTTGTTTTCTTGTGTGTTTTGTCATTTTTGACTGTGTGCTGGAAATTGTCCTTGAAACATTATTTGTGGAGAATCTTTGAGGCCTCAAATAGATACCTTCTTTCAGAAATCATTTGTATTTATATTAATGACAGAAGCTAGAGGCATTACCAGCCTATGACCAATTTAGACTAAAATTAAACTACATTCATGGCTTAATATTTTTGGAACTACTTAGGTGATGTGAATAGGACTGCACACCTTCACAATGACTAGTTTACAAATACAGATTCTACGGGAAAGATTTTATTTCCCTTCTTTGCTTAGCACAAATACAGTCACCTGGGTTATTTTGGGTGGTGTGGGTGATGAGTCCACCTCTTCTCATCCTTATCATAATAGTGTGGCTATTTGGAATCTCAGCTTAATGTGGGAGGGATCCTTTTTAACTCTCCCATTTCGGCATGCCCTGGGACTTGATGTTAAAATCAAAGTTCACAGTTGCAGAAACTGACAAAGGCTGTGGGAGACAATGGCACTGCATCTCTGGGTCCCCATTTTCTTCACAGGCTTCATAATTCCATACTCTCTTATCAGTTCTTTGATGTCTTTAAGTTTTTAAAATTATTTGATCCAGAATTTTTAGTTATGAAAGGTATTTATATTTGACACAGAATGCTTAGTTCTGTGAGGGGTTGGTCCCAACCTACCGGTTTGCTTTAGTCTCAGAAATGGAAGTGTCCCTTGTGGTCTTCTGAATCTTCTAGCCCTTCCATATCCTTTACCCTCCGTTCACCCTGAAAAGTTGTTATTGTCCAGATTTCTGACCATGGCATACTTTTTCATTTGAATATTTACTCCCTTGGTTTGCTGACAGCCACTGGCATGGGCTAACTTATCATCTCTGAGCTATACTTCCTTGTGGATGTATTTGCCTGCATCTCATTGAACTCAGTATTTTCTTAAAGCAGCTTCTCCTTTTGTCATACTCATCTATGAAACAGCACAATTTTCCCAGGCATCATTCTTAACATGTAGAGTCACATGAAGAGTTGTTCTTCATGCTGTGTAATCCATGCCTAACAGTGCTCCTCTCACAGGACTCATGTCCCCCAATCTTGTCAGCTCTCATCTGAGCCCCCACCGCCTTCTGCCTGGTTCCCTTCTCTGTAATCTTCCACCTTTGGTCTATTCTGAGCATTGCCTCCATCATTGAGCTCCCTTTTTCAGAAACCCTCCATGAATTCACATGGCTCGGTAGAAAAAACTCAGACTCCTTAACCAGCTGTCACTTCTGCCCTACATCATCTACCCTGATGCTTTCTTTCAGGTTTGTAGCCCACACCACACAGGCATCAGGCCAACTTAACAACTTGCAAATTTCTGAACACTTTGTATTTTTCCTACCTCTATACTCTTGTACATTCCATTTATGTTCTGAAAGAGTCTCCCTACTGAATCTTCCTTGAAATGTAATGCTAAATCATGCCAAATTCTAAATTTCACTTCCTCCAAAAAAGTATTTCTTCTTCATCTTAGCCTTCCTTTATTTTTTAAAACAAGTATTATTGTGTGCATTTCAGTTTCACAACATGATGTTGTGGGATACATATAGATTGTAAAATAGTTACTATAGTGAAGCAAATTAACATATTTTATCATCTCACATAGTTACTTTTTTGTGACAAGAGCAGCTAAAATCTACTTATTTTTAAAAGTTCTTAATACAATACAATTTTATTAACTATAGTCCTCGTGTTGTACATTCAATCACAGTAGTCAATGTATGAAAACAACCTAAGTGGCCATCGATGGAAAAATAGACAAAGAAAATGTGATATATACATAAACACAATGGAATATTATTCAGCCTTGAAAAATATGATATACATATACACAGTGGAATATGATTCAGCTTTAAAAATGGAGGAGAACCTACCACCTGCCAATCACCATATGAATGAAGTTGGAGTGCATTATTCTAAGTGAAATCAGCCACAGACAGAAAGAAAAAGATCACATGATCTCACTTAAATGTGGAATCTTAAAAAAAAAAAGATAGGGAGATTTAAGTCACACAATACAAAGTAGCTGCTATCTAATCTTCCTTTTCACAAAATAGAAGATTTATAGGTCAAAAGTGTTTATACATTGGCAGTTTCATATGAGTGAACCTAAAACCTAGTTCTCTGCATAAAATTAACATGTGGCTAATAAATATTCATTTAAATGTGTGAATTGACATTTTGAGAAAAATAAGCAATGCAGTCCAACAATGAAAGAAGGCCTAGCTTAATACTTTCAAATTAAGGAGTATTAAAACTGTATCTCTCTAAATGTATGAAGAATTATATATCATATGTATGCATGTGTGTATATATTTTATATATATAATATATATAATTGCCCAAGGATATTAGAAAGCACTGTGAGTACAGTGCAGAGAAGAATAAGGACAGTGAAAGTAGCAGTTACCAATGCTTGAAAGTAGCAGTTACCAATTGCTTGCAGCTCACATATGTTTCATAAAGCTGGATGTCAACTGATAACCTGTATATACACCCGAATGTACTTTGAATTAATTGACTGCAAGGGACTCTTTAAGAACAAAGTGTTATTATTGGAACAATACTATTGAAACATCATATGATAATTGGAAAATAAAGTCAGCGACTGCAATTTAACTTAAAAATCGAAGGAAATTCATTTAAGTGCTCTCTTGACATTTCACTTCTTGCTAAAATCTACTTTTAAAAGCCAAATTAACCAGATTGTCCATTAACATCGATCACATTAGCTATATAATTGCCAAAGCTCCATTTTACTTATGCCATTTGGATACAGCATAATATGAAAATAAGGACAATGTACCTTGCTGCATAACACACACTATCCACGTAACTTCTTTTACAATCTTTGAAAAGTGATCCTCTCCGCCTGAGCCTTCATTCAACTATGTGCCTACTATTTTACATTACGTAAGCATGCAACAGAGCCATTGGCAAAGACCTCTCTGATGTCATAAAAGGAGTGCTGCTGCCTTGCCTTGTGACAGTGTACCCTCTTATCTAGCCAAGAACACAGTTCATAAATAAATATGAATGAGACTTTGCCAAGATTGCCTTAATAGTACCAGTAATAAAAGATCCTGAACTGGAAAGCAAAGTCCACCTTCCTTTGCAGAATTGGCTACTTCAGTTTACCCAGTTGTCCTATGACTGAGGTCTTTATCACCAGGGAAACAAAGAATGTACTTTGAGGTCAAAGCAAATCTTCTGCAACTTTCCCTGTAAAAATAAAATGAGTACATTTTGTACCACCTGCATAACAGGAATAAACAATAACTGAAAAGATGTATACAATTTCGATACTTTACCCAATGAACTGATATACATCCAATGACAGGAGTCTTGACTTTTGACTGAATGTGTTTTAATAAATATGTGGATGTTTTTACTTTGTGTGGCATTCTGGTTTCTTTCTTTTTCATTTGCTCAAGATTGTGTGTGTTTGTTATACCATTGGTGGAGAGACTCTAGAATCTCCTCTATTTCAAACCAGAAGAACTCTCAGATGTATAGTTAATGGATATCCAGGATATTTGCAATGTCGTGTATGCTTTTAAAGCATGTTTGCTGAGGGAAAATAAAATCACTGAATCAAAGCCCTGAGTTTGATTCACAACTATTACTAACAAGGTATATAATCTTGAACAAGTTTTTTAGCCTATTTTTAAAAATCTAATTTCTTTCTATAAAATTAAAATGAGACTCTGCCCTTCTATTTTATTAATATGTCATGAGAATTAAAGTATATTTCATTAAAACCCTTTATAAATTGCAACATAGCATTCATATATCAGGTATTGCTGTTAATTTCTTTTACAGAAATGTTGCAGGACTTTTCCTTAGTTTAGCTAAAGACTGGGTTCTTGTCTGTCCCGTGGCCATAAAGATTTAGGCTCGAAACCATCGTTCTCAGCAAACTACCACAAGGACAGAAAACCAAACACCGCATGTTCTCACTCATAGGTGGGAACTAAACAATGAGAACACTGGGACACGGGGTGGGGAACCATCACACACTGGGGCCTGTCGTGGGGTAGGGGGATGGGGGACAGACAGCATTAGGAGAAATAGCTAATGTAAATAATGAGTTGATGGGTGCAGCAAAGCAACATGGCACATGTATACCTATGTAACAAACCTGCACTTTGTGCCCATGTACCCTAGAACTTAAAGTATACTAAAAAATAAATAATGTGGACTCACAGAAGGTTTAAAGGGTAAGTAAGGCTGGGTTTTATGGGGTGAAAAGGCGGGGAAGGGGGGGGTGAACACGGCCTTAAGGCCAGAGTCCCCTGCTAGAGCCCTTCCCCCCGCCATTGGAATACCAGGTTCCACACAGGAAGAGGCGGGGCCAGGCTCTTCCCCGCTGCAAAGGGTGCGAACCTCCCGAGGCTCCACCTCAGTGGGCAGGCTTGTTGGAGTTTTTCCAGGGACCCCCTTTCACCTGGCTGTCTCAGAAAGATATAATGAGAATAAAGAATACTTTGGCAACTATCAGTGTTATGCATCCCTTAATAACAGGTTGGTTTTATTTCCCAAATTACTTTCTGTTGCTGTTCTGCTACTACATTATTCAGACCATTAAAGGAAGATGGTGCATAGAGTGAACAGAGTTATGTATGGCCTGTTCTGTAATGCAAGTGGGATCTCTGTTCCCTGATTGCAGCATTATAACCTCTCATTATAGCATGCACTATAAGTCATCTTGTGCACAGGAGGCAGGATTGGATCTTCGGGTAATCTGTGAATAGTGACACTCTTTATAGCAAGGTTATTCTCTGTTTTTGGCATGATGGGGAGAGTTTCCAGAATACATGATACTACACCTTCATTAGACAGTTAGATATAATGATTACTAAAAAATCGATTTCTATTCCATGGAGCAGCTTCTAAAAGGGGCACAGTGAGGAAGATACACATCGAACAAAATAGCAGACTAAGAAGCATATATGACACCAAGCCAACTAATCATAAAATAACAATATCTTACACTTCATTAACACTTATTTGGTACCCCCCCCCCCAAAAAAAAAAAGCACAAACAAAACCCATAAACTTCTCATGTATGATTTTATTTGATCTTCACAACAATCTCAAGGAGTAAGCAGGCAAATTACGCTTACTGCCATTTCTACAGATATTCGGAGGGGTTAAATGACTTGAGCAAGTTCACAGAAATTTTCTCATTCCTCCTATAGTTCTTTTTCTAATATTTCTCACTATGCAAAAAGGCAGACAAAAAACATTCCACTAATTATGTTGCTTTATAAAATTTTTGTCTTACTATCTCAAATGAAGCTTGAGACTAGGTGAAGAGAATGTGAAGTGAAAGAAGAAAACACCAAAATAAGGTTCTTCAAACTGCATAAAATTGTGATGTATTAGGTTTACACATAGTGTTTTGAAACAGCCATCTAAGATCAGTGTGTAGCATTCATTTGAAATTTTTTGTAATTAAAATAATTATTTTTGAGACGGAGTCTTGACCTGTTGCCCAGGCTGGAGTGCAGTGGCGTAATCTTGGCTTACTGTGACCTCCACCTCCTGGGTTCAAGCGATTCTCCTGCCTCAGCCTCCTGAGTAGCTGGGAATCCAGGTGTGCACCACCACGCCCAGCTAATTTTTGTATTTTCAATAGAGACGGGGTTTCACCATGTTGGCCAAGCTGGTCTCGAACTCCTGACTCCGTGATCCACCCACCTTGGCCTCCCAGAGTGCTGGGATTACAGGTGTGAGCCACTGCACCCAGCCTAAAATAGTTTTTGAAAATAAACTTACTATAACTTTTGTGTAAGCACTTTAAGATACATTGAAATGAAAGGTATCAACTGATTTTTAGAAACTGTTTTCCAGTGATCTTCATGGCTCTGACCACATGGCCATACATCCTCAAATGTCATATACTTGTGCTGTTTTCATGCCACTCACACCAAAGAAATAAATGATAAATACATGCATGCATGGCTGAATGCCTGTTCAGAATTTAGAATTTGTCAGATAATTTTATAGGTTCTTTCATAAAAATTATATCTCTTATGGTCTGAGGAGACCTTAGGTTTTTCAAGAGAGAAAGTCATCTTCAATTAGGAGCCTGTAAATTATGGTAAACAGTAGATTGAAAATGTGAAATAGAAGAAAATTCAATGAATGAAGATAATATAATCTATAACTGCGGGACTCCCAAAATTAGACTGTGAGTTGCTGGATGGATGGTAGGTTTTTAATCAGTCTCTGTTCTTTCCTCAACTGGCAGGGAATAGGTGCTGGGTAATTATTTGTGGAATTGTTGGTTAGATGGATGGATGGATTGATGGATAAATTAAAGACAGCTCTCCTTCCAGTAAAATTTCATACAGAAACCACATTTTAAATTTATCTTGCACTTTTGAGCTCAAAATAAGCCCTGCGAGCAAGTCTTGGGCAAAACAGTCAGAAACTAACATTATTTTTTACTTTATTCTTTCTTTACCTTCCTGACTCTGACCTCTGGAAAAGCACCAAGTAACAAAGTAGCATGTGTTAATTGCAGTGTCATTTTATACAAATCCTCATGACATAGACAAGAAAGACATTATAATCAACCTCCTTTCAAAGACTAGAAAGCCAATGCTCAATGAAAGGAGTGCAGCCAAGATTTTTATCCAAGCCACCTGAATGTACATTCTGGATCTTTCCTATCAAACGTTCTCTGCAATCTCATGGTCCTAGAATCTCACTCTCAGATCTCTAGCAATTAATCCTCTAGTGGTTACATAATAAGTCATGATAGATACTCAAATTTAATGCTTCTGAGAGGTACTTAAAAATCTAGAAAAATGATAAAGCAATAAAAAAGTAACTTTAGAATCCAAAGGAGTGAAATTATAAAAGTCAAAGGACAAACTGCAGGAGTTGACATGTTTGGCCAAAACCCTACCCTCTGCTCCTCTTAAGTTACATTCTCAGAAGTACTTTGTTAATTAATTAATGTATTCATGCAGGAGGCAAAAGAGATAAAAACAAAGCATGATTTTATTTCTTTGTTAATGACACCTATAGCTGCTTATTCTGACCCTGCAGAGATGTTCCTTATAATGTTTTCAATAACACTTAATTGCAGCGGGGCTTAATACAACAAAATTACATTTCTTCAGCTATATTTTTTTTGCTTGTTTGTAAGTATATTCTGATTTGAATTAAAGTTTTGCCTGGAAAATGTGAACTATTTCAAATTTCAATATTTTCTATATCTTTTGAGAGTGTTGCCTATAAAGGGCACTTGGAAAATGTTTGAACTTATTTTTGTATTCTTTTGTTTCTTGCCTACTACTCTTTCGTTCCATTTTTCTTTACCCACACTCAAAGTTATTCTGACTTCAAACTTGAATTTGGATTGTGAAATCCTCAGGTAATACTAGGTGTTGTGTTAGTAAATAAATAATATTTATTTAGTGTAGAAGTTATCTGCACTAAAAAGGAGGTCTAAGAAATTGGCAAATATTTGAAAAGTGTGTTTTAACCAATAATATGAGACATGCTTACAGATAACTTTCTAGTCTTGCACTCATCTCTTTTGTCTTTGTAACAGGTGACATAACTAGGTGGTTGACAAAAATGACATCACAAATTGGTTGAGAAAACCAATCATCCTAGTGGCTCTTAATATTACAATATCTCTCCCAGAATCTCAGTTTCATGATTGCACACGTGGCTTGAGATCAAGCAGAGCAATTTGAGTTTCTCCTATGTCTGTGCAAATCATCCTTGTGAGTATGAACTAAATCTCAAAGCTCATTCTTAAGCATGTGCGCACGCACACACACACAAAGCAATGCAGTGACAAGTTAAGGTTTTCTTGAATTTTATTTATAAAAAATTAAACTTCTCTTCCTAGTCCTCTTTCCTCTTCAAAGGGCCATGTATGTAATTCAGTAGCTTATTAACTTGGACAGGAAAAAAATACATTATTATTTTCATTAACCTCTATATATTATATATATATAGAAAAATATATATTATTTTCATTAACCTCTAATTTAGAGGTTAATGAAACATTAACATGTCTTTCTATTATGAATGTAGGCAACAAATTTGTGTCATTTTTACCAATCAAAAAAATAAACATTTTCATATTATATCAATTTTTGGTAGGTATATTAAAATATTATTTGAATTTTTCTACCCCCAAATCATAGATGTTTTCTACCCCCAAATCATAGATGTTATGAAATCTATTTCTAGATTTTATTTATTTAATGTGCTCATTAAAAAGTACATATATTGGCCAGACGAAGTGGTTCACACCTGCAATCCTAGTACTTTGGGAGGCGGAGGTGGGCAGGTTGCTTGAACCCAGGAGTTTGGGACCAGCCTGGGCAACACAGTGAGATTCTGTCTCTAAATATATGTATATATATATATTTACAAAAATATATATATACAAATAGATATATATATATTTACAAAAAAATATATATACAAATATATATATATTTACAAAAATTAGCCAGGCTTGGTGGCATGTGACTATAGTCCTAGCTTCTTCGGAGGCTGAGGCAGGAGGATCTCTTGAGCCTGGAAGGCAGAGGCTGCAGTGAGCTGTGATCATGCCACTGCACTCCAGCCTGAGTGACAGAGCTAGACCCTGTCTGAAATAAAGAAAAACAAAAAACCCAGAGGTCAAACAAAAGATCATTGCTCCAAAACACACACTTACAGAAATGTAGTAACTTAGCCACAAAAGGGCCCATTTGTTGTAGTGAAATAAAATTAATTTTAAATAGATGGTAAAGAGATATAATGTATATGAACATAGTTTGTAAGCTGTAAGAAGGTTATGTAAATAATGGCATTATTGCTCTATTATCAATGATACTAAAGTGTAAATGACAATAATACCTCTTGAAAATTATTTTTTGCCAAGCTTCATAAAATTTCTTGCATTCCACTCCAGTGGAAAGAAAACTTAAAATGCTTATTTCATCTTCATTCAAAATACAAACTTAATTATAAACTATATATGCTTCTTCCCTATGTAGGGCTTTTCTTCTCCACCCCACCCGTTGAAAGGATTTGCATGTATTAAATATGGCAATTTCTTTATTTCAGATTCTGTGCTCTCTACTTCAAATGTCCTCATCCGTAGGAAAAAAGAGGATTCTGGAAAAATATCATGCAACAAATTCCTTTTAATTTAATAAATGAGATTTTTAAGAAATATGTATTTTTCTATTTCCATAGTTTTCCCCTTTGTATGAAGGTTTTGCATTTAAAGTAACAAAACTTTATTTTTTCCTATTTTATTCCAAAATATCTTATGAAAGGATACATAAATATCACTCCAAACAAGAGGCATTTCATAGAGGAAATGAAAGAGCAAGATAAGGAACTTTCTAAATTGATGTATAGATTCAACACAATCTCTATCAGAATTCTACCTGGCTTCTTTGCAGAAATTGACAATCCAATCCTAAAATTCATATGAAATCCAAAGGACCCAAAATAGCCAAAACAATCTTGAAAGAGATTAACAAAATTGGAGCACTTACAATTCCATATTTCAAAACTTACTATAAAGCAATATTAATCAGGACAGTATAGCACCAGCATAATGACAGGTACATAGACAAACAAAATAATTGAGAGTCCAGAAATAAATCCATTTATCTGTGGTCAATCGATTTTCAACAAGGATGCCAGGAAGATTCAATAGAGAAAGTATTGTCTTTTTAATAAATAGTGCTGAGACACCTGGATAGCTACATGCCAAAAAAAATGAAATAGACCATTATTTTTTACCATATAAAAAATTAACTGACAGCTAGGCACAATGGCTCACGCCTGTAATCCCAACACTTTGGGAGGCCAAAGCGGGAGGATTGCTTGAGCCCAGGAGTTTGAGACCAACCTAGGCAACATAGTGAGACCTTGTCTCTACAAAAATGAAAATTAAAAAATTAGCCAGGCAGGGTACCAGTAGTCCCAGCTACTTGGGAGGCTGAGGTGGGAAGATCGCTTGAACCTGAGGTTTAGTTGTAGAAAGCCATGACTATGCTACTACATTAAGCCTGGGCAACAGAAAGAGCCTTTGTCTCAAAAAAAAAAAAAAACAAAAAAAAAACACTTACGATGGAAAAAAGACTTATGCATAAAAGCCAAAACTACAAAACTCTCAGAAGAGAACATAGGTATAAATCTTCATGACCTTAGATTTGGTACAAACAATCAAAGAAAAAATAACTAATTTTTGAAAATCAAAATTAGAACATTTCAAGCTCCAAAGGACCTCATCCAGAAACTGGAAAGACAACCCACAGAATGGGAGAGAATATTTGCAACTCATATATCTGATAAGGGGCTCGTTTGTTGAATATATTAAAAAACCCTAACAACTCAATAATAAAAAGAGTAACCCAAACGAAAAATGAGGAAAGGATCTAAACAGGCATTTCTCAAAAAAAAAAAAAGATATACAAAAGGCCAACAAACACATGAAAAGATGCTTGACATTATTAGCCATCAGTGAAATGCAAGTCAAAACCACAATGAGATACGACTTTGCATCCACTGCAATGACTATAATAAAAAATGAGACAATAACGAGTGCTGGGAAGAATGGGGAGTTGAAACGCTCGATTTGGTTGGTGGAAATAAAAATAGTGCAGCTGTTGTGCAGGACAATTTGGTGGCCCTCGGAAAGTTAAATACAGCGTTACCATTTGATCCCACAATTCTACTTCTAAGTATATAGCCCCCTAAAAATAAAAACTTATGTTCACTAGAAAAATTTGTATGTGAATATTCATGTAGCATTATTCATGAGGTGGAAATAACTCAAATGTCCATCAACTGAAGAATGGATAAGCAAAAGGTGACAAATCCGTACAATGGAAAATTATTTATCCATAAAAAGGAATGAAGTACTGATCTATGCTAAGACTTATCATACAATCTAGAAATTGCACCGTTGGGCATTTATCCCAGAGAAACAAAGCCTTACTTTCACACAGGAGCTTGTGTGTGAGTGTTCATAGCAGCTTTACTTGTATCAGCCAAAACTAGAAACTATACAAATGCCCTTCAAAGGGTAATCAGTTAAACAAACTGTGGTATAACTATACCATGGAATACTACCCAGAAGCTACTTGGATGAGCCTTAAAGAAACTTTGCTGAGTGGAAAAAAAAAAATCTTAAAGGGATCCATAGTTCATAATTCAATTTATGTAACATCTGTGAAATAACATAAAGAGATGAAGAACACATTAGTGGTTGCCAGGGGTTAGGGATGAAGGATGGAGAAGTGGGTGTGGCTATAAAAGAATAACATGGGGAAATCTTGTAGTACAGCTATGTGTCTCGATTGTGGTGGGGGTTACTCAAGTCTATATGTGATGAAATTGCATAGAACTGTAGATAACACACATAGATGAAGCATGTATAACTGATGAAATCTGAATAAACTTCATGGATTGAAACAATGTTCATTTCTTGGCTTTGATATTACACTTTAGATGCATAAGATGTTCACACTGTGGTGAGGAGAGGGGGAGAATACTCAGGGAAGGATCCAAGGGATTTTCCTGAGCATTTCTTTGCAACTCCTTGTGAATCTATAAATATGTCAACATAAAAACTTTATACAATTTTTTAAAGGGATGTGAAAACAAGATAATAGGCAGAAAAAGTAGTCAAGGTGTTTGTGTGTGCTCTCACTCCCATGCCCTGCCCTGGGAGTGTTTCATTAATAACCACGTGGAAGCTCACTGCTGCTGTGTAATGTCATTACTCTGGGGCTTGTCCATGGAGTACTTTGGGGCAAAATGAGACACAGGAAGATTCTGTCTCACCCCTTGGGTTAAATGATGTTCCAGGGTCTCCAAAGCACTGTTGGTTTCTCACTATTTTCCATGGTGTGATGAAATTATTCTTTCTCCTATTTCTATGTTCTTAACTAAGCTAAAAATATTTTAAATTAAAACATAATACAAGGGGAACAAAACTAAAGCCCACTGGAGACTATTAAAAAATAGAATATCATGTAGCCATTACAATAAATGAATGAATCTCAAAAATATAATATTGAATAAGAAAAAAATCCATTGTAGAAGTTGTGTATTGTAAGGTATAATTCATATAAATTTTAAAACATACAAAACATAAATAGATTCATACAAATGAGATAAAAATTTAAAAATATGAAAGTTCAGATTAGTGGTTCCTTCTGGGGAGGAAAATAGCAGTAACGAGGGGCTTCAACTGTATCTATAATGTTTCAGTTTTTTAAAAAAGTCTAAATCATGCTAAACTTTGATACAGTTGGGTGGTGGGCACCTAAGTGTTGGCCATATTTTTATCTATGCTTCATTGTGTGTTGGAACTATTTTATTTTTTAAAATATTATGCCTATTTCCCACTAAATGCAACAGCTTGAACACATGCTGTTATATCTTCTGCCTCCCCAAAGCTGTCTAATAATCACAATAATGAACAATAATAAACTACTAGGACAAAGAAGCAAGAGACAAAATATTAGCAGATAAAGCACTCACAAAATTTTTTTTAAAAAGTGAACGGACAAATGGTGACTGGATTATTAGGCCAAGGAAAGCAGAAAATATAAACCTTCAAGAGAAAGGAAGAATATTGCTATGGCCTAATTAGTGTCCCCTCAAAATGTATATATTGAAGCTCTAACCCCCAATACCTCAGAATGTGACAGTATTTGGAGACAGGGACTTAAAGGAAGTTATTAAGTAAAAAAGATCCCACTAGGGTGGGCCATAATCCAATCTGGCGGGCGTCCTTATAAGAAGAGGAATTCTAGACACACAGAGAGACACCAAGATGCACACACACAAAGGAAAGACCATGTGGAAACACAGTGAGAAGGAGGCCATCTGCAGACTTAGGAGAGAGGCTTCGGGAGAAATCAAGCCTATCAACACCTCGATCTTGGACTTCTAGCTTCCAGAGCTGTGAGAAATAAATGTCTTGGATAAGCCACGCAGTCTGTGGTATTTTGTTATGGCAGCCCTAGCAAGCGAATCCAAGCATCAATAAGAAGCAAACCAATTTGCATTACAGAATCTCTCCAAAGCTTGGTAACCAGGGATACCACAACCTTCATACATCCTGGTTGTGGTGGACTGAACACAGAAGAACTGGTTCAAGGATTATATAAGACAGAGGTGCACACTGGAAGAGGAAATAAAGGAGGCTTTAAAGAAATATCACCAAGAGAAAAGATGAACCTACGGAGCAGCTGATGTGTTTGCCGTATTTAGAAGAGTTTTACAGTTTAGTCAGAGAAAACGTGTGACTGAATTAATAATAGGTGCATAGAAAACTAAGCCCCCCAAAGACAATTATTAACTTCACAGAAAGAAAATTGAGAAAGGAAAAGTAATCACAAGATAGCATATGGTTCAGCTGTTACAATATTTACACATACATTAGAATGTATCCTCCCCAAACAGTCATGCTTTTGCTTACTCATCCTAAGTGAAGTTCTACTAGTGAGTAAGCCCATACCCTCATACAGAACTTCAAATTATCAATCAGCTTTTTAGCACGTTTTTCCTAAATATGTATAGGATCATCTAATATTTGACGGAAATCTCTACTATGAACAATTATACACAAAAACTCTACACTGTACTTCACATCTATACACAAGAACCCAACTATAATTAATATGACTAAAGATTTAAGAGAAACTATTAATCCATCAAATAAGAAAAAGATCCTATAAAAAGAAGCACTCAACACATAAAAAAGAAGCCATAGAAATTCCAAAAAGATGAAGAGAAGTTTTAAAAATCTCAACAGGAGACTTGCAGTATAAAGATTATTATTATTATTATTATTATTGAGACGGAGTCTCACTGTGTCACCCAGGCTGGAGTGCAGTGGCATGATCTTGGCACACTGCAACCTCCACCTCCCAGGTTCAAGCGATTCTCCTGCCTCAGCCTCCTGAGTAGCTGGGATTAGAGGCGCCCGCCACCACACCTGGCTAACTTTTTGTATTTTCAGTAGGGATGGGGTTTGACCATGTTAGGCAGGCTGGTCTCGAACTCCTGACCTCAGTTGATCCACCCGTCTCGGCCTCCCAAAGTGTTGGGATTACAGGCGTGAGCCACCACACCTGGCCAAAGATGATTATCTTCTAAAAAAGACAAATTTAAAAAGATGAAGAGGTAGTAAATAGAGAGAAAAGAGAATTAGGGGATCAATCCATAAAATCCAAACTTCAATGACTACAAATGTCATAATGAGAGAATAGAGAAAAAGGAGAGAGGAAAGACACTATCAAAGAAATAAGAAAATTTCCAAAAGTCAAACTGAAAAGACTTATCCTGAACAATGGATCAAAAATAGATCTATATTCAGGGATATACCATGAAATGTTAGAACATGTGGTTAAAGAGAGTATTCTCCAAACCATGAGAGAGAAAAGCAAGAATGAAGAAGAGATAAGATCTAGGAAACACAGGAATTGCATAGGAGAAAGATGAATGGAAGTTCAGGATGGTGTAAAAGAAAGTTTCTGAAGAATTGTGTGGATGGCAAGAGATGCACATTGGAAGAGGAAGAAAAGGAGGCTTTAAAGAAACATCACCAAGCCTGGCGCAGTGGCTCACGCCTGTAATCCCAGCACTTCGGGAGGCCGAGGCGGGTGGATCACCTGAGGTCAGGAGTTCGAGACCAGCCTGACTAACATGGTAAGACCTTGTCTCTAATAAATACAAAAAATTAGCCGGGCCTGGTGTCACATGCTTGTAATCCCAGCTACTTGGGAGGCTGAGGCAGGAGAATCTCCCAGGAACCCAGGAGGCGGAGGTTGCAGTGAGCCGAAATTGGGCCATTGCACTTCAGCCTGGGCAACAAGAGCGAAACTCTGTCTCAAAAAAAAAGAAAGAATAAAAAACATCACCAAGAGAAAAGATGAACCTACAGAGCAGTTGATATGTTTGCCATATTTAGAAGAGTTTTAAAGTTCACTCAGAGAAAATGTGTGATTGAATTAATAATAGGTGCATAGAAAACTAAGCCCCCAAAAAGACAATTATGAACCTCACAGAAAAAAAATAAAGAAAAAGTAATTACATACCAGAATATGATTCAGCTGTTACAATATTTACATATACATTAAAATGTAAATATTGAGCAATGATCTAACCAAAATTAATACACATCCGAAGTAGGAGGTGGAAAAAGTGAAGAGGGAAGGACAATAACACAGGTAAATTCTCATCTTCCTTTGCAGGAAGGCAGTGTGTAATGTCTAAATTTGAAAAAAATAAAAGACAACCATATATAAGCATTTTTAAATAAATACCATCAATTGTAAGTGAATGGCAGAATAAAGTTGGTAACTACGGAAAGGTTTTCTTTCAACAGGAAGAGTAAAGAATGGCTTCATGGAGGAAGTGTCTTAGTCAAATTTCTTCTTGTTGCAAGAAACAATTTTACCTTACTTTCATAAGGAAAAAAGGGGATTTTTCAATTGCAACAAAACCAAATATTGTCAAATGAGACCTAATTAAATTAAAGAGCTTCTGCACAGAAAAACAAACTATTAACAGAGTAAACAGACAACCTACAGAAAGGGAGAAAATATTTGCAAGCTATGCATCCAACAAAGGTCTAATAGCCAGAATCTATAAGGAATTTAAACAAATCGACCAGAAATTAACAAACTCCATTAAAAAATGAGCAAAGGACATGAACAGGCACTGTTCAAGAAGACATACACGTGCCTAGCAAGCATATGACAAAATGCTTCACATCACTAATCATTAGAGAAATCCAAATTAAAGCCACAATGAGCTACCATCTCACACCAGTCAAAATGGCTACTATTAAAAAATCAAAAAATAACATGCTGTCAAGGTTGCACAGAAAAGGGAACACTTAACACCGCTGGTGGGAATGGAAATTAGTTCAGCCTCTGTGGAAAACAATGTAGTGATTTCTCAAAGAACTTAAAACAGAAATACCATCCAACCCAGGAATCCCATCATTGGTTATATATCCAAAGAAATAGAAATAATTTTATCATAAAGACACATGCATGTGTATGCTCACTGCAGCACTATTAACAATAGCAAAGACATGGGACCAACCTAAATGCCCATCAAATGGATAAAGAAAATGTGGTACATATACACCATGGATACTACACAGCCATGAAAAAGAACAAGGTCATGTCCTTTGCAACAACATGGATGGTGCTGGAGGCTATTATCCTAAGTGAACTAACGGGAACAGAAAACCAAATACCCCATGTTCTCACTTATAAATGGGGGGTAAACACTGAGTATACATGGACACAAAGAAAGAAACAACAGACACTGGGCCCTCCTTGAGGGTGGAGAAAGGGAGGAGGAAGAGGATCGAAAAACGACCTCTTGGGTACTATGCTTACTACCTGGGTGAAGAAATAATCTGCACATCAAACCCTTGTGACATGCAATTTACCTATATAAAAAACCTACACATGTACCCCTGAACCTAAAATAAAACTTTAAAAAGTGTGTGTGTGGAAGGGGGCTTTTAATTTAAGGCTATCAGGGTAGTTCTTGAAACTTAAATGTAGAAGGTACACCTGAGCCTAATGAGGGACTGGGATCAGGAATCCGGTGCCAAATGGAACAAAGGTTACTATATATAGCCCTTCAGAGTCACAAGATATATGGCCTTTGCTTTTTTATGTGCATCTCCTTTGACTTCTATTTACTTAATGGCTTTCTCAGCTTCTGAGTCCACATGGGCCAAACATAATTGCTGCAGAATGGCATCCTCAACTTCAAAGCCAACATCATCTAGGTCAGAGGGGAACCATCAGAGACTCACCAAATTTCTGAGTCCCAGTTCCAGTTACCAGAAGAGAGGTTCTGAGAGCATCAACTTCGGTCAGGTGTCAATTTTGGTTAGATTTTCCCTGGTAAGGATAGAGGGGTTGTGTATAACAAGCAAACCAGCAGAAGCCTTTACTATGAGCAGAGAGTGAAAGGTGGTTCCCACAGAAGGAGGGGCATAGGCTAAGCAGAAATCCTAATAGGTATCCATTATACATTTTTAAAACAGATATGTTTTGATCAAGGGAGGTATAAGAAAATAATTCCAGGCAGAGGAAAGAAAGCAAGCAAGCACAGGTCTTGCCTGAATAGCAATATATGATTCAATTTAGCTAGCAGAGGGGAAGTGGGGAGTGCAATATAAAATAAGGTTAGAAACATAGATTCTATGACCTTCAGACCTAATCCCCATCCTTCATTTTTGCCCCTTGGTCTGAAGCAGCCGGCGTTCTGTTTGTTCTTTTCTGATGGTTGCTGTGTTTTGTACTGGTTGGTTGCTTAGGATTTGGAAGCCAACCTGTTAAGACCTGTCTGCAAAAGCTTATGGAGGTAACGTACAAACAGGTTTGTATGAGCATCCAGTCTCCTAAAACTGTACAAGGGAACATTTAATATCCTAAATCTTCAATTAAACTGGTTTCATAATCATTTTTCCTACTGGGGTTCAACCCAAATTTTTACTTAAGAAATGTTGAAAGTACTTGTAAGAGAAAAATTAATTTTTCAGTGTCCAGTATGATACCAAATCTCAAATATACCATTGCTTGACAGATGAAATGGTTTTATAAGAAAGTAGAAAAATTTCCTGAAAAAATGTCAGAGTAAAAAATATATCAAGACTCTTTGACAGAACTAATAAAATTGACATACATCTCTGAAGATAAATTTTGAAAAGGTGTGAATTCACTAGTAAACAATATTAGGAATTAAAAAATCAATGGTGCTTCAAAGATTAAAATGATAATAAGAAGGTATTATGAACAACTTTATGTGATACATATAAAGGCTCATATGAAATAAATAAATCTCTAAAAAAATTTTACTTACCAAAATTTACTTAGGAGGATATAGAAAATGTACGGTCTTATAATCATAAAAGAAATTGAATCTGAAGTTAAAAATCTTCTCACAGAAAAGCCAGATCTAGTCAGCGTTGCTAGCAATTTACAGCAAATAAGGAAGAAATAAGTGCAAATATTCAAGAAAAAAATAATTCAAATCTCACACAAATTATTTCGGAATGTAGAAAAGTGGGAATATCCCTAGTTTACCTTATTAGGCTACTTTAACTTTGATACAAAACCCAAAAAAATGTGAGAATGGAATCATAAATTGCAGATCAATCTTGCTTATGTACATAGATATGACAATACCATGCAGAAATAACATAATACAGAAGTGTGTGTGTGTGTGTGTGTGTGTGTGTGTGTGTGTGTTAAGATAATGCTTCATTTGCTGATCCCAGGAGAGCAAGTTTGATTTTACATAAGAAATAAATTATTGTATATCACCCTATTAATACAAGAAAAGAGAAAATTATGTAATCATCTCAATAGATATAGAAAAGGCAATTGATAAAATTCCCCATCTTTTACTAAATGAAAAGAAAATAAGCTAGAAATAAAACAAAACTTCCCTAAACTCACAAAGAGTACCGACAGAAAACCTACAGCTAACATCGTATTTAATGGTGAAATATTGAAAGTATTCTGAGATTAGCAACAAAACAAGGCATCTACTAGCCCCACTTGTATAATATTGTGCTGGAAGTCTTAGCCAATAATGAGAACTGGAAAGAAAGAGAAAAAACTGACTTTTTTTGGAGGTAATGTGTGTATTAGAATTCAAAAGACCCTACAAATACATTTCTGAAATTAATAAGATATTTTAGCACAATTCCAGGATATAAAAATCAATATACAAAAATAAGTTTCAACAAACAGAAAATGCAATTTTTAAAAGATATTTTAAAAACATCAAAATTCTAAAATGTCTATAAATAAATATAACAAAATTTTTCAAGTACTTCATAAAGGAAAGTATAAAGCTTTTCTTTATAGAGCAAAGAAAACCTTGAAAACAGATATAATCATCATATATATAGACAAGAAGACTTGACCTCATAGAAGCACCGATTCTTCTACCATTGATAGGTAATTTCAAAGATATTCCTATTAAAATCTCAACTGGAGTTTTGTGGTGCTTGATAAGCTGATTTAAGACATTTATATGAAAAAGCAAATAGCCAAGATGAAGAAGAAAAAGGAGTACTTTCTTTATCACATACTTAGCAGCATGATAAAGCCATAATAATTAAGAAAGAGGGGTGTTTTCAAGTTTCTACTGAAACAGACTGGAAAGCCCAGAAACAGATCTACTTACAGGCCTTTGATATATGACAGAAGGTGTGTAGCAAGTCATTAAAGAAAGAATAGACTTTGCAATAAATTATCCTGGCACACTTGAGTATCCACAGGTGAAAAAAATAAAAATGTCTCCCTATTATATACCATATATAAAAACCAGTTCCATCAAATTAAAGTCTTAGATGAGAAATGCAGTGCTAACAATGTAGAAGAATATCTTTATGATCACCATATAGGGAGGGATGTCTTGGAATCCACACAAAAGTCATAAAGAAAAAGTGAAATTCTACCATTTCATTCAAAATATATGAAGATAATTAAAAGAAATACACAAACTAGGAAAAGAGATTTTTAACATATAAAACTGATAAACTATGAATATCCAAAATATGTACCAAAAAAAACACAAACAAAACACTCTCCTGCAAATCAATTAGAAAGAAAGAAAACAATCCAATAAAAAGGGCAAAATCTTGAAAAAGAACTTCACAGATGAATAATCATAGGTGGAAAGAAACATATGAAAAGATGCTCAGCTTTGTTAGAAATTATGAAATGTAAATTCAACTACAGTGAGATAATATCACACTCACAAAACTGATGAAAATTAAAGTCTGGCAACATTGCATGCTGATGAGGATGTGGGAAAAGAATGGATTTTATACTGCTTAAAGGAGTATCAGTAATTGCTGCAACCACTTTAGAACAGCTTGTCATTTTCTAATAAAATTGAAAATGTGTGTTACCATGACCCGTATTCCATCCTGGATACATGTGCACTTATGCACCAAGGGAAATACCCAAGAATGTACATAGTAGCACTGCTTCTTATCTCCACAAATTCTAAACAAACCAAATGCTCATCAATAATAGAATAGATAAATAATTTGTGTTTTACTACAATGGATTAGTATGCTTAGTAAAATTTAATGAATTTCAGATACACAAAACAACAAAAAAATTTGCAAAAATACACACAGTATGATTTCATTTCTACAAAGTCGGTATGTTCTTTAGAGATTCAAGGAAAAAGTAATGTTACTACGAAATGAAATAAAATTATAAACACAAAATGCTGGATGGTAGTTATCTGAGAAAGAAAGTGAGAGAGGATGAGACAGTCACACACAGAAACTTCAAAGTTCTTGGTAATGTTCTTTTTCTTGCCTGGAGTAAGTAAGGGGATGTTCGCTGTATTTAGTCTTTACATGTTATACCTATTCCATACATATTTTTATAATTACTCTTTCATTTTCTAACATTTTTAAAATTGTTTAAGCATATCAAGCACAGTAACAACTTTTCAACCTTCGACAGTAGCACCGTATGAGGCAGTCTATGGCCAGGTCCAACAATTTAACCAGCTAAGACCGGTGGCTACAAAATCCCAAACACAGAGATAGACGCAATGGACCATGTAGCCTGTCACTCCCAGTCACCTCATCTAATTTCTCTTGTTCCAATTCTTCTTTTGCCAGCCCATCCCCAATTATGAATTTAACATCCCACGTAGACTTTCCCACAGGGAGAGAAGGTACCGATCAGCACACATGAGTCACCAGAGAGCTTGATAGCTCCATTCCTCACTGTAATTTAAAGCTGGCATTCTGGCTGATATTTCAAGTTCTGTAAGCATCCTCAGGGACAATCTATGCCTGGCGAAGAGAAGATGGAAAGATGAATCATTCCAAGGACAAGTGGAGGAGGAAGCTGAAAAGGAGGCAGAACCTCCGAAGGGAAGAAAGTGTCATCCAAAGCCACAGCATTCAGATGCAGTAACAAGGGACCATATTATAGGGGCACTTCAACCGGTTGCAGGCTGAAAAGTGAGTGTTTACAAAAGCAAAAATTCACCTTATAACGTAGGAAGTGCTGTAGTGGAAGATAGTGTCATGTAGTGGAAAGAACAAGGTTTTTGATCTTGACTAAAATATTGGCTTCCTCACTCATGAGATCCCTGAGTCTCAGTACATTTACCTGTAAATAAAGATAATAACACTGGGGTGATTAAAGATGAAACACTGCAGCTATTCTCAAAGGAAGGCAGTTTGGTGAAGTAGAGGAACCTGGGTTTTGACACCAGACCCAGCCTAATTCTGGCTCCTCTACCTTCTGGTTATATAGTGTATCCTAGACTCATTTTTAACATCTATAAAATGGGGTAATTCGATCTACCTTGGAAATGTCATGAGGTTTAGTGATAATTAGCCCGATATTAACACTTAGGAAATGCTCAACAAAGGTGAGATAATATTACTATCACTGGATGTTGATTAGCTATTTAAAGATTAAGATCATAAATGACAAGTACATGGAGCCAGAAGGATGCTGGCTCCACAGAGAGATGCTGGGACAAGGAGAAGGTGTAGTCACAGTGATAAGCCACAGAGACAGCAGTCAATAGCCAGGCAGGGCTGACTGTGGTTAAAGTAAGGAGGAGGCACAACGCAGGAAAGAAATTGGCCTCAGATTAGTCTGGTCATGGGCATCAGCAACTCAGACACGGGGAATTCTGACCAAGGACAGATTTCTATTCACTGAAAAGGAGAGTAGGAAGAAGCTGTACTGCCAGCTTCAGTCCTAAAGAAACTTGGGTGGCAGGTGGGTAATCAAGATAAGGACTAACCCAGATGTAGTTGAAAGGCAGATGTCATGGAGACTTAGATGCTGGAGCTTGGCATAAGTCAAAGTATTCAGTAAAAGGCCACAAGATTACAGCTAATCTGATCAGACACAGAGCTGGGTTTGGCTCCTTAAATATTCTTACCAGGCTGAGGTAACCATTTTCTCCTGTGAGAAAGAAACGTTCAGGAGCTCTTAGCCGACCTGGGGTACAATGTCTTAGGAACACCTGCTGGTAAGGGGATGGAGCATTGCTTAACCTTGGGCTATAGTACACAAAGCACACAAAAAAGTTACATGAGAGGGCATGCTGGAGAGAAGCTACACACTAGCTACTCATACCATGCAGACCAAGGCCAGGCAGAGTCCTAAGCATGAGTATATAAAGCAGATTTTATACCTGGGGTAATAGCTATACAAACAAAGGTATCTACAAATGGCATTTTGCAGGGTGTGTGGGGGCTTGAGAAATAACATGTGGAAGGGAACAAAGTCACAGAATTTGCTTGGCATCACTACACATGCGCCTACAAATCTCAGTTGCAACAGTGAAGAGGCTTTATCTGCAATAATCCAAGCAGATCTCATCTTCAGAACCACAGAGTGGCAATAAGGGCCCATAGTAGAGCTGATGCCCATACATGCTCCAATCCTGAATCCACACCCCTTAGCCTGTGCCAGTTCTCTAGCTCTCAGGAATGGCAGAGCAAAATGCTATTTGCAAAGATGTCTGCCTCTGAGTTTCTGGCTATAGTGAATACACGTTTGGTGCATGAAGAATAAAAATCAATTTCCTAAAAGAACTATGAATACAAAGAGTGTGTCATCATTTCTCTGAATAGTTTCATAAGTATGGTCAGCTTGGAAAATAACTTTGAAGGAAATACAATTGCGTTTCATGAATGGAAAACTAACGTGGTTTTAGAATAACTCTTTCAAGATAGTTTTTATTCCAGCTCACCTCACACTGAGGACCTTAGAAGTGTTCAAATACATCCTGGCCAATATGGTGAAACACCGTCCCTACTAAAAATACAAAAATTAGCCTGGCATGGTGGCAGGCGCCTGTAGTCCCAGCTACTCGGGAGGCTGAGGCAGGAGAATAGCTTGAACCCAGGAGGCGAAGCGAAGGTTGCCATGAGCCAACATCGTGCCACTGAACTCCAGCCGGGGCGACAGAGCGAGACTCTGTCTTGAAAAAAAAAAAAAAGAAGTGCTCAAATACAATAAATATTTGCTTGCACTATTTAGGGTTTACTCTACTGTCCTAATTAATTTCAGCATGTGCATTATGTTTTGGGATACAGTTTGTCACTTGGCTTAAACAAAGAGCACTTAGATTTTACATTTGGTAGGAGGGGAGTTTCTTCCCCTATCATGCATAATCTCTCTTATCAATCATCAGCACTGCCTAAATGTCACCTGGATGCTCTTGAGCATTAACAACAAAGGACTGTTTTTGTCCAAATGTCTTCCACCAATTTAAGAAGAAATAAGTCCCCTCAAATTCTATCTCATACATCAAGGGTTTCATTCCATTTTAAGTTAGAGTAAGGAGCAAACTCTTAGGGGAAATAACTGGACTCTCTAATCCCAATATAAAAGTTTTAATGTCTTAGTTCATAACTCAAGGCTTTCAATGAATAATCCTGTTCTGTGATTCTTTTATTCATCCTTTCTTTTACCTGGCTAAATATTCAATTCTATTTATTCCACTGCATATGGCATCTCTAAGTCATATGATTCATCATTAAAGTCATCAAAATTAGAATCTCTGGTGCTTGATTATCTCCATTACTCTAGGGAAAAAAACTTCCTTATGTCCTTCTCCTGTTCTAGCTGAGAGATGAATTTAAATATTTTTCCCCAAGCATTGGCTTCTGTGGCCACTTGAAACCTGCACGTTGTGCACATGTGCCCTAGAACTTAAAGTATAATAAAAAATAAATAAATAAATAAAAATAAATTTAAAAAAAAAGAAATCCTACTAACATTTCTCTGGAATCTTCCTTAGGCTTCAAACTTAAGCTAGCTCAAAGCCTATTTTGGAGAATTGGACTTTAGTTTATATATAAAGAAAATAAAATTTTTAAAAAGTACACACACTGGAGCTATATTCTGAATGAGTGGCAAAATTTATCACTTTTATTTGGGAAGGTTTGTTTCTGTGTCTTATTGTTATTCTGTTAAAGAAACAGCCTCTGGGCTAGTCTGGAAGAAAGAGATTGAGAAAAAGCAGGCGTTAAATTGTGTTATATAATAAAGTAACAGGGATTCTTGATTTGTCCCCTGGCAACCAGGGGGAAAGGAAGTATTAGAGACCCCAGGAAATATGAAGGAAGTGAGAAGATGGGAAGTTTAAGTCCCCAGAAACCTGAGACATTTGGGGTTGAAAAGAAAGATAACCCCTAACGGATTCCCCTGCATAGGGGCTGGCCAAATCCTTCAGGAATAGAAGTAGAAAATGTGGACCTGCCCAAAGCTACATAGCATGAAGGACGTGGCTAAAATTAGATGTGTAACTAGAATATTAGAGACTCAGAGATCTATAGATTGTGTATAATATACAGTTTTTTTCTTCTTTAAAAAGTAAGTACCATTTCACCTTCTAACAATATTTATGTAGAAAATTATCATTGCCATACTTTTGATAGGTCATTCTCTTCAATTCAAAGAAAACCAAAGCAAAGAATTGGTTATTCTCTGCCAGTCCAAATCATACAGAAATGTTTAGACACTGACAAAAGAATCTTATTCTATTTTACATCTCTGAGTGGTATCTAAACATTCCTATGAAAGAGTACATGTAGAGTAAGTCATGTTGGTTTCTGGCTACCCCATTAGCCACAGTCCTCCTGTACCTCTCTTCCATCAAAGAGGACACAGGCATGACCCTCTATTATCCAGATGACATAAAATGAGATTGAATTTAAGGAATACCATAACTCACACCCTCATAAACATTGGGCCCTTTGCTGTTGAGTTCAGCATCACTGGGCTGAATTATTCTCAATACTAGACTCCTGACAGTCACAGCGAGTAATTAGAACTGGGTCGTGAGATGCAGTGGACTCCTCTTGTTTCTGTTTCTCTTCCTCTGAGCTCACCTGTCACTACAGACATTGCTACAGCCAGCTCCTCTGCTCACCTCATGTGAGCTTCACCACTTTTCTCTCGCTTTCTGACTTTGGTAGTTTTTCTGCTACCACCTTGAAGGACCCCTTGAGACCCTGCCACACTTCCACACTTGTGTAACCTGGAAGTGCAAGCGAGTTAATGCCAGAGGGCAAGTCTTCATCAATGGAGAATGGGAGCGGGTGGATAAATGCCCCCACCCATCCCCTGGATGGTCCACTCTGAGGCATAGACTACACTGATTATCAGAGTCTCAGTTGCCCACAGCAGTGACTAACTCAAGAATGCATCCTTGTGCTGGCTTTGTCACTGTCTCTGCTTCACTCGCCACTGTCCTCCACTTCAATTCCTGGGATCTCTTCCTCAGATGAAGTCTGTAAAAAAGTTTTTGCTTTTTGAGAATACCAGACTATGCAAACCATAATCTAACTGGTGAAGCATGGGTCACTTTTGTTAAAAAAAAATAATTTGACTGTTATTTTGTTATGCTTATTTTACAGTCTCTCCCTCAAGAAATCCATAAAAAACAAACATATGGCATGATAAATTGTCCTTTACACCTCTTCACTGCCTGAAAGAAAATATTGTCATGTAGATAAATTTCATCTCGAATTAATTGGCTTCATGTTTGCATTTTTAAAAATAATCTGTAGATGTTCAAATATTTCCACTTGGTTTTATTGTTGACAATTTAAAGTAAACAGAACATTCCAACTTATCTTTTAATTAATTTAACTTTAGATCTGGCTTTACATTTATTCCTCTTTAATATATTAGCTTATTTTTACACTTGGCACTTGTTTTTTAAGAATTCTATGAGATGATTTTGATAGAACCTGATGTCAAGCTTCCCAGAATTGTCCCTGCCCTCTTGGAAATTCTGGTCATTTATGCATATCCTGTCCTCATTATGCTTTAAAACAAAAAGGAGGCATCTGAGATGCCTCAGTAAAATCAAGACAGGTTTCCTGTCTGCGGTTGCTGCCTGGTTTCTGGGAGTCCATGGAAATGGGAGTTGGAGTCCATGGAAATAGATTAGCAATTATGCTATTCCTTCAGTGGCCATTTGTGATGAGGGCCTGGCAAATAAGTAACAAATATATATATATATATATATTTGTTATCCCAAATATATATATATATATATATTTGTTATCCCAAATATATATATATATATATATATTTGTTATCCCAAATATATATATTATATATATATATATTATCCC
Source organism: Homo sapiens (assembly GCF_000001405.40). Classification (NCBI taxonomy): domain Eukaryota; kingdom Metazoa; phylum Chordata; class Mammalia; order Primates; family Hominidae; genus Homo; species Homo sapiens. The sequence goes on along the minus strand of NC_000007.14, from coordinate 95,637,015 downwards.
ACAGGTTAGTATTAGAATATTGCCCCGGCCCATCTGACCTGTGAAAGCAAGTGTTTCTGTACCTGTTTCATCACTTCACCCTTGTGCACTCCCACCTTCATCATTCAGCAGCTGTCTCCATTCTCATCCCATTACTGCACCTAGGATATATTTTCAATGTGGTGCTGGATACCACCTGCCCAGAGACCTGACTACCACAATCTTTTACTTAGCTGGGGCTGTCTAGGCAGAGAGACAAAGGGTGTAAAGGGATGGTTTGTTTCACAGGGCCATGGAAAAGTCACCTTTTGTCACCTACAACCATTTGTTTTTTTCTTTGAAAGAATGTCTTGGTTACTAAGAGGACTCCTTAGTAACATGAAGAAAGGATAGGTCCTCATGGTATTTTTTTTGTTGTTGTTGTTATTCTAATAACCCACTCACCCTTTAGTACAGTCTTAAAAGTTCAAGCCTAGTGCTTTATAACTTGCTGTCTAATGCTTTTGTAATGTAAAGTAACTTTTACATGATTCCAAAGGAAAAGGAAGAGGCCCCTTTAAGAAGTAAGCTTGTGATAACTTGTGATCGGTTAACCGATTACTTCCTGTAAGTGAGTTAGGAGCATACTTCTAACTGTGATCAAGTGGATGTTACCTGGTTCTGCTTTGATAAAAGCTGTTCAGAGTCAAGTAGCAGTGATGATTTAAGGTTGAATCAGTGGTAGGCCACAGTGACCTCTAAAATGAAGTAATGAGTCATTAATGGTCTTAGGAAAATTTTGATGAGGTTACTTATATTCTTTAGTTGTGGTAAAGAATAAAGGACAATCCTTGAACACACTGTGAAAGTCCTGTGGCAACTCAGAAATGAGAAAAATTAAAGTGCTTCCCTAGAAAGAAAAGCATGTATATCAGTAAGTAAGGCTTATAACCATTTCTCACTGACAAAGGAAATAATTGCTGTTTGGCGTACTCATAGCCTTTAATCTAAATCTCAGTGTTGGAAATTTTTCTTTAAGATCATCTAAAAAGCTATGTAAATAAAAAAATACTTGCACCTTTATTTATAATAGTGAGACGTTAGAAACATCCTGAATAGCACATTACATGGTTATTGGTTAGATAAATTATAATACATTAATTTAATAGAATAGTGTGCAGAAAAGGAATTTTGTGCAGAAAATATTGTAAAGACCACTCAGCTATTATTCAACATGGAAAACATTGATGATATCTTACTGAAAGACAAAGTTTCTCAACCCCAGCACCACTGACATTTTGGGCCAGATTCTACTAGTTGGTGTTGGGGGATTGTCTTGTGTATTATAAGATGTGAGCTGAATCACTGGTTTCTACCCACTTGATATCAGTAGCACCATCACCCCAGCTGTGACAACCAAAAATGTCTCCAGATGTTGCCAAAAGTCCTGGCCTATGGGTGGAAATTATCAAAATGACACTGGTTGAGAATCACTGTTAAAGGGGAAAATTGAACTACAAATCTCCTATATTATGATTAAATGTAAGAGGAATTAAGCATTCATCTAGATTAAAATAAAGAATAAATGCAAAAATCCAAACATTTATTTATTAAGGTGATGGGCTTTTGAATTATTTTCTTTTTATAAATTCTCAGTGAGTGGAAATTTGTAGGAAAAAAGTATCAGAATTGGAGTCAGGACATTATAATTGTATTATTTTTTGCAATAAAGATAAATGGTTTGGTTAAAGGAAAAGTATACATTAGTACATTGTTTTCTTACCTCTAGTCCTAGAAAAGCCTGCCCATTGGCCTTCATTCACCTAAAACAAATTCCACAATTTACTTTCTAGCAGTTTCTCACTTATAGAGTTATGATAATTGAAATGTGGTTAGCTTTGTACCACTTGCCTTTCTCAGTGTTGGAAGGTCAATATATTAGTTTGCTAGGATTTCAGTAACAAAGTACCGCATACTGGCTGGCTTAAACAACAGGAATTTACTGCCCCACAGTCCTAGAGTCTAGAAGTCCAGAATGAAAGTATTGGCTGGGTTGTTTCTCTCCTTGGCTTGTAAATGGCTGTCTTCATGTTTCCATGGCCTTCTCCCTGTATCTTTGCATAGTCTCCACTTTGTCTTCTAATTTCTCTTTTTCTAAATAGAGATACCTAATGTCATATTACATTAGGGCCAACCCTAATGACTTCATTTCCACTTGGTTACCTCTGTAAAGACTGTATCTCTGAATAAGATCATTTTCTGAAGTACTGGGGAATGGGGTTGCTGGGGGAGTTAGGACTTCAGCACATGGGTTTTGGGGGATGCAATTCAGCCCATAACAGATCCTCAGAATGAACAAGAGAAGCTCTTTCTAACTGAACACAAAGCCCTGGAAATTCTGATATAAGCTTCACACATTTCTCACAAATGGACTGGTGTCCATCTTTCTTCCCCTCTCTGTCCACTTCTTAAAGGAGTGACATGTCTTGAGAAGCCACTGATACTGATTAGAATTTGTGATACCTCTCAGAGGGTATTGGGACAAAGTCAGGAGCACTGGTCTTGGGTAATGTTTTAATAACTTAGATAATAAATATTTCACATAGTAGTCAAATGAGCTTTTTTTCCTCCATATATCAACTACATGTGGATGAACAGCTGAAAACAACATTCCTTTTATGGCTTAAGAGACAAAATGTAGAAAATGTAAGTGCAGTGGCCATGGGATGAATTTCTTTTTGTAAAATGGCATTCTCTGAAGTTTCAATTTCATATGAATAATTCCCAGAGTTCTAAATGTTGTTTATTTGATATGGAGAAACCAGCCATGAATTCTGGCTTATTTGCAATCTAAAAGGATTTAAGGAAAGTGGTCTTCCCTGCTCTAAGTCTCAAGACTTCACCATGTTCTAGAATAAGGTCAAACAGAAGCCATAAATTAAGCTTTCTATGGGTTATATGGACCCAGGCTCAAATGTTGATGTTAAATTGAGACCATTTCACAGAGATTCTTGTGTGCATATTAAATGACTTGGATTTAAGCAATTTTCTTATTTAGTAGTATTGGGACCTTTTATAAATAACTCAGATATTGAAGGGTGCCTATATGCCTGTGTTCATCTATGCTCTTTCCATATCAGCCAAGTGAGAACCTAGATCCAGAATTCAACTCTTTTCCAGATTTCCATGAGAATTCCAACAACTACAAGTATATATTTGGAGTTTGTACACACACTGAGGCTTCAGGAATTACCAGGAGCCCAGAGCATGATATTCTGCCAAGTCTCTAAGCCTCTTTTCTCCTACGTTCTTTTCTTGCTTCTTCCTTTCTGTGTTGTCTCCACCCTACCCACCTATCAAAGCCACTTTATCTCCTCAGCGGTAATGTCAATTTCTCTTCTTACCTCATGCATAACATAAATTACAGCATATCAAATTATTTCCTCAAGTGAATGCAGTGCTTTTCTTAAGAACAATCAGGAGAATAAACTTTTCTCTATTCCATTACGCACGTAGCTACAGATAACTTGTCTAAAGAATATAGTTAAAATCCTCTGATAAGATGGACTTGGATATAACATAATTACGAATGACTTTCATCTTCTGATCAACCCCATTCTCAGCCGAAGAAAACTAAAGTTTATTTGGGTGGGAGGAAAAGAAGGCGAAGCCAGAAGAGGAAATGGCAAACAATCTCAAACCATCTTGGGAAGCAGGGAGATAGAAATGGATGTTTGAATCCTGAATATTCCCCCTGGCTCCATCTGGTCAACTGACTGGGAGAGACAAGACATGTCCAACCTCAGCAGAACCTGGGCAGATGTGGATGGCACACTTGGACCCAGGAACTTTCTGCATTCATCATGTAACAAAGTGACTCCATGTCTTACATAGCTGAATTTTTAGGCCTAATTTATTATGTTATGGTGGGGTTGTATGTCAATATGGAATTATTTGTGAGACACTTTACTATGCCATCTTATTGTATTCCCAAAATAACTACCAACTTAACAGTAAAAAAAGAAAGAAAGAAAAACAGATAACTCTGAACAAAGTGAGAGACTCAACAAATGAGTAATAAGAGTCAGGACTCCTAGCAGTTTTTCTGATGGCAACTACACTAATTTTTCCTGGACAACATGCTTCATTCACCATAAGACCTCATCAAGACTGGATAACAGAAACTTATTTTCTCTCCAAAACACTTATTTGGACTGGTACTCACTTAGTTATCTCATGTTTCATCTGGCCTGCGTCCACATGTTTTAGAAAGGATGTGGTTCTATGCCTGAATATTGGTGGCCCTCCAATTGCAAACTGGGTCTGAACCAGGCCAAAACATCTTGGCAGTTTGGTGAATTCAAAAGCAAGGAGTCATTTCAGTTAAATAAATAGGATGAGTAATTTTATCTCATTCCCACTCATCCCCCCCAGTGAAATTTTGTATCTCCACTGGGATAAAAAAAATTGAAAAGTTTAAAGTGGGAACAAACTGGCTTTATAGTGATGCACTGGCTAAGATGTCTAGTAATAATAGAAGAATAACAATAGCAAAAGCTTCCATTTACTAATGTTCACTATATTCCAGGCACTGCGGTAAGCACATAAAATTTGATCTTTGTTAGAAACAATTTTATAAATCAATTTTTGTCTTTTTTAATGAATGAAGAATTTTGCCATGATGATAAAGTAGCTAACTTTAAAACTCTAGGCTTTGATCACTACTACTTGTTTGAATGTAAACAATTATGACTGAAACTCCCAGTAGTGCTGTCAAATGGAAGAACAAGAACCGGAAGAAATGACCACGATATTTGATTTAGCATTTTCTTTTTAAATACACATTGCAGCAGGGCGCGGTGGCTCACGCCTGTAATCCCAGCACTTTGGGAGGCCGAGGTGGGTGGATCACTTGAGATCAGGATTTCGAGACCAGGCTGGCCAACATAGTGAAACCCCATCTCTATTAAAAATACAAAAATTAGCCGGGCGTAGTGGCATGCACCTGTAGTCCCAGCTAGTCAGGAGGCTGAGATAGGAGAATTGCTTGAACCCAGGAGGCAGAGGGTGCAGTGAGCTGAGATTGCACCACTGCACTCCAGCCTGGGACAGAGTGAAACTCTGTCTCAAAAAAAAAGAAAAAAAAAAAAAAATATATATATATATAAAATATGCGCGCGCGCACACGCGCGCACACACACACACACACACACACACTGCAACATTTATTTTCTCCATTCACTTACCTTGTGGGTGTAAGTCAATGTTTGTGATCTAGTATTGTGAAATGGCTACTTCCCACATGACAGAAAATCCCCCTAGGCCTTACAGGAAACACCCTGTATATAGCCAGGGGCAGATTTCTCCATGCTAATCCAGGAGTGATTTGCCCATGTTTATGGCATAGCTTTGTCTCTACTCTCACAAGTAACTTCAACATGTCTTCTAGACAATCAAGGATATTGCAGCAGTTTCTGTTTTTAAAGTTCCTGCAGCAGTGTCCTTGGATGAAGACTTTTCTATTATTTAAGTTTAGAGCTGTGTCATCTTGTGGTATGATCCCAAGGGGAATTTGGGGACCAGAGCAAAAAGAGTGGGCATCAAAAAATAGATTGATTGTAAGTTGGCATTTTTCATGATACACAGTCTGGGTTTGAATCTCCTTTCTGCCTTTTATTACCTGCGTGACCTGAGATATTTTACTTGTTATTTTTCTCATCTTTAAAATGAAGATAAGAACAGTGTCTGTCTCACAGGGCTAGTGTGATGCAGCAGGGAGAGAAGACATGTAAATATGTTAGCACAGTACCTGGCCCACAACCAGAGTTGAATAAACACTAGTTATTATGATAGAAACTCCTCCCTCTGTCACGTCTTAGGAATATACAACTTTGACCAAGTCTCTTAACTGCTCTAATCTCTGATTCTTCTCTAATCTGTAAAAAGAAAGAAATAGATTAGTCTAGATGTCCTATAAAATCTTTTTCAGCTCTAATTTTCTACGAATCAAAATCATTCTGTTCTTTAACAGCAGAAACAGTTCTCACCAAATACTCTACATACTCTTCTACATTTTTCAGCATTGTAATTAGGTTGGAATTGCATAACTAGTTCTGGCCAATGGAAATGCGAGTGTGTATGACTTGCTACTGTGAGTCCAACGCAGTTATGAGCCAGTGTGAATTCACCACAATACTCTTCTCTCTCTCTCTCTCTCATTGGTGATATTGGAAGCAAAGAATTTTGAGATACTATTGTTGCAATGTAGAAGCAGCCTGCATCTCTGAGAAACCACTGGAGTAAATCTGTCTGGCCTTCATTCGACTGTAATAAGAGCAGGAAATAATTCTTTGTTGTGTTAAGCAAGTGAGATTTTGAAGTTGACTTGTCAAAGCAGCCAGCAGTTACTTCTCCTGACTTGTACAGTATTCAAGCTCCTCCATATTCCATACCTCAATTTTTTATGAAGGTCTTTTTTTAAAAAAAAACAAATGTTTTTTAAACATTTAACAAACAAATGTTTGTTCTTTGTTTTTTATTGATTCCTAGGGGATCTAGGAATCTAGGAATCTAGGAATCACTAGAAGGTAAAGAACCAAGGAGCACCAGTACTTGCATTTCAATAATTTGGTCTGCTGACTACAAACTTCCTGATTCCTAGGGGAATCACTAAAAAACAGGGGGTAGGGTGAAGAAAAGAAAACGTAAAGAAAGTTTAACATGTGGCCTGAGAGGCATGCATGCAAAACATGGAAGAAGCTAAGAAGCCAACCAGGGCATTGTTTTAGTGTAGCTCCAGGCTTTTCTGATATTTTCTAAATGCTACCCTCTTTCCCACTACCTTGGTTCCAGGTTTATTTCATGGTACTCTCAAGAAGTGTTATATCACTGGGCATTGTAAAATTCTTGAAGCTGAATTAATTTTATTGTAGTTACACTAATTATCAGAAGAAAAACATTTCACACCAGGGATAAAATGGAAAGGCATGCAATATCTGACTCCCTTACATCATAGGATTGTTGTAAAAACCAAAATAGATACCAGAGATTGAAAACTGTGAAATGCTATGTATTAAGATGAGGTAGATGATGTGACGATAGAATAAGAAGTATATTGCAAAGGCACTAGAACTCATGAAAGACATAAGTTGCCTATGTCAGATATTCAGATTCTTTAGGGAAGGGAAGGGAAGAGACATATGAAAATCAAAATACAAAGCATGGTTAGAGATTTACATAGAAACATAGAAACTGCAGAGTACTTCTTATTTCCCTAACTATTCTCTTTCTTTTAAAAAAAGTTACTAAACTTAATCTATCAAGAAAAGAAAGAAACACCTTCTTCAAAATAATTGAAATTATGAGAGCAGTGAGAATGGTCTTTCTAAGCAGCTACATGTTTGTACATATCTGTATAGCATAAAGTGGAATTCTTTGAGTTTCCATCTATATTTTCTTACTTAAGAAACTAAGCTTAGTAGGCGTATATTGATGACATTTAAAAAATAATTATTGACTTAAATGTGAATTTCAAAAATAAGTAAATACTAGTGATTCAGCTCTCTGTGTCATTTATAAGATGGATTTGTCTAAATCATTAATGAGTAGGATGAAATGTCAGAAGAGAGACCACTGCAGCATCACAAACAAGATAGATAAAAACATCAGAGGGTGACTATTGACCTAATCCAAACAAATTATCTCCTGGTTCCATTGGTTGTTGCCAAGTCTCAGCAAAGTACTTAGGGTAAACATAGCACGAGAGTGGAAAGGGGTCTGCTTGTCTTTCCGTTTGTGATTGTTCAAGCAAATGAATGATAGAAATGTGAGCTGATCTCTGCCAACTGCACGGAAGTCATCAGATTATTGACGTCAATGCTATAAATGTTCTAGGCCCTTACAAGATAAAAGGAAAAGTAACATTGTGACTTGGAAAGAGAATGAGGCCCTGAGGTAATAGATCAGGTCACTGAGGCAGAACTAAGACTTTACTGCACCAACAGTCACCATTTAATGATGCCTCCTTGGACCTCCAGAGAGTGAGTTTTCTCAATCATATGAGAACTTGGCATATAAGATGAAAAGGCACTTAGCAGTACTGCATCATATCCAAACAGCAATGATTTACATGTTCTCTGAGCCTTTGAGCTCGGTACATTGTGTAATTTACAGGAGACTTGCTATTCCAAACTCTGGCCAACAGTTGGCCATTTCATCTCATATTGATATACTGAATAGACTATGATAGAAATAAAAGAGACAAAACCCATTTTAATAGTTGTCAGTGACTATAGATTTTTTTTTTGATACAGGGTCTGCTCTGTTGCCCAGGCTAGAGTACAGTGGCACTATCATTGCTCATTGCAGGACTCAGGTTAAATGTAACTAACTGCCAAGTGGATTCCATGATATCGATACACTAAATAGCTTTTTGGCTTTTCACCCAGTGTCTAGCAATCAGTGGAGGAATTACTACCAACAGGGACAGAGGACAGGGAAAGGGAGTGAGAGGAGTGAAGTGTTAAGAGCTGGAGAATAGAGGGAGAAGGTAAAGAACCAAGGAGCACCAGTACTTGCATTTCAGTAATTTGGTCTGCTGACTACAAACTTCCTGAGTGGAGGAGGGAAGTCTTGTAGCAAGTTAGACATACCTCTCTCTCCAAACAAACACCAAACAAACACACACACACACACGCACACACACACCACATACACACTCAAAGAACATTTAAAAAGTATCTCAGCTTGGCCAGGCGCAGTGGCTCACACCTGTAATCCCAGCACTTTGGGAGGCCGAGGTGGTTGGATTACCTGTGGTCAGGAATTCAGGACGAGCCTGGCCAACACCTACAATACCAGCTACTCAGGAGGCTGAGACAGGAGAATTGCTTGAACCCAGGAGGCGGAGGTTGCAGTGAGCCAAGATGGCGCCATTGCACTCCCGTCTGGGCAACAAGAGTGAAACTCCGTCTCAAAAAAAAAAAAAAGTATCTCAGCTCTATCTATAGGAAACTCAATCTTTTCAAACCAGAAAAAGATTCTCGTAGACTAAGACCCCAAATCTGTTCATTATCAGATTTGATCATATTGCTCGATACTTTGATGTGAAATATAGGATGATTGGATAGGACTCAGTTGCATTTCCACTATACCCAACATACTTATAATTTCTTTGCTTACCATTTTTTGTTAAGTCCATAGATTTTTCTGGATTTAATTTCCTTCCTGCTGAATTACATCAATCAGTAGTTCGTAAAGCAACGATCCATTAATAGTGAAACTTTTTAGATTTCTTTCTTATTTTATTTTATTTTGTATTTTTTTTTTTTTTTTTTGAGATGAAGTCTTGCTTTGTCACCCAGGCTGGAGTGCAGTGGCGCAAGCTCGGCTCACCACAACCTCTGCCTCCCAGGTTCAAGCGATTCTCCTGCCTCAGCGTCCTGAGTAGCTGGGATCACAGGTGTGTGCCACCATGCCTGGCTAATTTTTTATTTGTAGTAAAGACGGGGTTTCATCATGTTGGCCAGGCTGGTATGGAATTCCTAACCTCAGGTGATCCACCCACCTCGGCCTACCAAAGTGCCGGGATTACAGACATGAGCCACCGCACCCGGCCAACTTTTTAGATTTCTTGAGTTGTCTTTATTTTAATTATTCAATGGTAGGTTAGATGGATATGGAGTTTTTAGGTAAAAGTTTATTTCCTTCAGCACTTTAAAGATGTTTCACTGTTTTTGGCATCCATTGTCACTGAACAAAAATTTTTTTAGTCTAAATATTCCTTTAAAAGCAACATAATTTTTCTCTCAGCATTTGTGGTGATTTTGTTTGTTTGTTTTTTTTTTTTGTCTATTATGTAATATCAATATGAACTCCTTCAGTCTGGGGCTTTTGATCTCTCCTAAATTATGGAAAATAATTAGCCACGATCTTTGTAAATATCTTCTTTTTCCCATATGTTATATTCCTTATTTTTGGAACTCCACTAGACACAAGCCAGAGCTTCTCAAACTGTATTTCTCTTTCATATTCTCTGTTTCTTGGTGTTTTTGTACTGAATTCAGAGTGATTTTTCTCAGGTTAATCTTCCAGTTCATTAATTTATCCTTTGATGTATATAGTCTACTGCTGACACATTATTGATCTTTTTGATAGAAGTTTTATTAAAATATAATTCATATACCATACATATCATTCATTTAAATCCTATAAGTTAATGGTTTTTAGCATATTCTGAGTTGTGCAAGCATCACCACAATTTTAGAGCATTTTCATCATGCCATAAAAATCCATATTCTTTTTAGCTATCCTCTCAAATCCTCCCAGCCCTAGGTAACTACCAATCTACTTCTGTTTCTTTGGATTTGATTTTCCAGACATTTCATATGACTGGAATTATACCATATATGGTCGTTTGTGACTAGCTTCTTTCATTTACTAAAATGTTTTCAACATTTATCCACATTGTATGTATGATGTATCAGTACTTCATTCCTTTATATTGCCCAATAATATTCCATTGTATGGCTATACTACATATTTTTTATCCACTCATCAGCTGATGAACATTTGGGTTGTTTTTACTTTTGGCTGCCATAAATAATGCTGCTACAATTATTCATGTACAACCTTTTTGTTTGGATATATGTTCTCATTTCTTATGAATAGGATTGCTGGATCATAAGATAATTGTATGTTCAACTTTTTGAGGAAATTCAGGATGTTTTCCAAAGTGGCTGTACTATTTTACATTCTACCAGCAGTATATAATGGTCCTAATTTCTTCACATCCTCACCAATACTTATAATTATTTCTTTTTATTATAGTCATGCTAATGAATGTAAAGTGGTGTCTCATTGTGGTTTTGACTTGCCATTTGTATATATTCTTTGGAAAAATGTCTTTTCAGGTCCTTTACCATTTTTTAAATTGTACTGTTTGTATCTTTATTATTGAGTTGTGAGAGTTCTTTACATATTCTGAATACAGTCCCTTATTAGATATGACTTGCGAATATTTTCTCTCACTAAGTAAGTTATCTTTTCACTTTCTTGATGGTGCCCTCTGCAGCACAAAAGTTTGTTTTGATTAAGTCAGTTATTTTATTTTTTCTTTTGTTATTTGTGCTTTTGGTGACATATTTAAGGTATTATTGCCAAATCCAAGGTAATGAAGATTTATGCCTATGTTTTCTTCTAAGAGGGTTAGAGGTTTTGCTCTTACTTTTAAGTCTATAATCCACTTTTACTTAGTTTTTATATACAATGTGAAGTGTGGGTCCAACTTCAATTTTTGCTGACAGATAACTAGTTGTACCAGTATTGTTTATTGAAAAGACTATCCCTTCCCCTATTTGTTTTAGCAGTTGTCAAGAGTCAATTGACTGTCAATGTGAGAATTTATTTTTAGACTCTAAATTCTAGTCCATTGATCCACATGTCCACCCTTCTTGCAGTACCACACTGTCTTGATTATTGTAGCTTTATATGAAGTTTTGAAATTGGAAAGCATTAGACCTCCAAATTTGCTCATTTTCAAGATTATGTTAGCTATTCTGGCTTTCTTCAATTTTTTAAATGAATTTTAAAGTCAGCTTGTCAGTTTTTGCGAAGAAACCAGGTGGGGTATTGAAAGGGGCTGTGTTAAATCTATAAGCCAATTTGGGGACTATTGCCATTTTACCAATGTTAAGTCTTCTGATCCATGTACATAGGATGTCTTTTCACTTATTTCAGTCTTCATTGTTTTCAACAACATCTTTTTCGGCTTCAGGGTAGCTTAAGTTTTGCTAATTTTGTTCATTTTTTCAGAACCAACTCTTAATTTCATTGATTTTTCTGTATTTTTAAATTCTCTATTTCATTCATTTCTGTCCGAATCTTTACTATATCGTTTCTTATTCTTGCTTTAGGGTTAGTTTGCCTTTGTTTTGCAGTGTCTTAAAGTGGAAGGTGAGGTGATTGACTTGTAATATTTCTTCTGTTTTAATATAGCCTTTAGCTGTATCCCATAAGTTTTGATAGGTGGTATCTTCATTTTCATTTATATATAAGTATTTTCTAATTTTCTCTTTTATTTCCTATTTAACCCATTGATTTTTTAGGAGTGTGTTGTTTAACTTCCACACAATCATAGATTTCCTCAATTTCTTTCTCTTGTTGGTCTCTAACTCATTATGGTTGGAGAATGTACTCGGTATGATTACAATTCTTTCTAATTTAATGAGACCTGTCTTATAACTAGCATATTATCTATCTTTGATAATGTTCCATATGAACTTGAGAAAAGTATATATTCTGTTGTTGTTGCATAGAATGTTCTACAGATATCTGTTAGGTCTGGTTGGTTTAGAGTGTTCAAATCTTATATTGCCTTGTTGATCTTCTACCTACAATCGTGACTACCAAATCACAAAACTTCTTAAACAAACTTCAAATTATAACTTTTCCTAGAAGATAGCTTGTGAAAAAAGAATTTTTTCACAACTCAATCTAATGAATAAAAAATAAGCCAAACCCCAACCTCATACTATTAGAAGGTTGATTATTGATTCAAACCATCCTAGACCTTCAAGGTCAGGCACCTACTGCATAAGTTGGTTTATGTATATACAAATCCAGAATCCAAAGACTGAGAGGAAGATTAAAAAATGTCAACCTCTGACAGTGCTCCTCATGAAAATCACCGTATAATGAAATCAGGTAGTCTTCTGCAGAGCTAGCCTTCACTTGTTCTCCTTCAAGTGAGTTTGTGAGCCACTCCACTAATCAGACTAAGGTGCATCCACATCTAACTAAAGGACTGGAGAACTTACTCAAAATCTTTTCACCACAAATGTAACTTTTTAAAAAATTTTAGTTTATCTGTGCCTCTCATGTCAGTGGAATCTTCAAATGATTTTGTCTACCAAACAAACTGCGTATGTATTAAGCAATAAACAATTTGTTCTGCCTGTATTATCTCTCTTTTTTGGTCATTGTTAATCCAGATCACAAATGATTTATTAGCAGCAAAGTTTATGATAGTAGCATTATGAAATCACATAAGTGGTTATCAAGATTGTAAGATTACTAATAAACAAGATTAAGTAATAATCTCATCCTGTAGAACATAGAACTCTTGGTTGCTCAATATTGGCCACCATGGAGGCAGGATTCCACCTGTTAAAGTCAAACACCATAACTCCTTGATGTGTGCTCCAAGAGTTACTTATGGCTCAGTGCTCTTGTCTCAGGAATTCCTATGATATCATCAATGGCCAAATTAAATTCAAGCAACCTGGTCTTAGTAAAAGGGGAAAGACACACTGTTTAGAATCTCTTATCATCTCCACGGTTCCCAAAATGTGTGCCAAGGCACTCTATATTACCTCAACAAATTCATAAGGACAGTACAAGCTATTCTAAATTTTCTAGGAAAACATAACAACATCTCTCAGATACCATATAAATTATTACTATTAAGTCATTTGGATGTAAATATTTAATCAACAGAACTGTTAGGATGTTTTTGGGGCTGGGAACACCATGAAAAAATTACTGAATTATTGTGACCTGAGAACGTTTGCAGCCTCTGAATTATTTATTCTAGTTTTCCCCTACAGCCTTATTAAGGATAGTGGGATGGATTTTACTGGGCTTTGTGAAATATTAAAAGGAGCTCCAGTAACTTTTCTGGCCTTGTGAACCCCAAGTTGGTAACTGGTGGACTAAGGTGTCACCAAAATCTCATCAATATAATAAAAATCTGTGTTACTGATAAGTGCATTCTTCATGGTGATATCATCAAGGCAATACAGCACCTCCTGGTCTTGGCCATATTTCCCAAAAAAAGCTTTTCTAGAGGTAGAGAATGAGCAAAGAGAGCAATTAACTTGTTGTGTCACATTGGGAGGACAGGTCCTTCTTTCTACAAAAACTGGCTAAGTATCTACTGTGTGCCAAACACAGGTTTACAAAACAAACAAGCCCTGCCTAACATTCTAAAATCTAAATGCCTAGTATAATGCCAGGTAGTAGTAAATGCCAAGAGGAAAAATAAAACAGATTGATAGTGTCCACGGAGTGACGTATGTTGCTTTGAACAGAATTGTCAGGGAAAGCTTTCAATGAGGTGATATTTTAGCAGAGACCCAAATGAAAAGGGAAAGAGCCAGTTAAATACAGTTTTTTTGCCCCCAGGGGTAGCGGGGTGAAAGATGCAAAACTGTCTCAATTTCTCTTTATAATATCAACACAAATTTATTTTAAAATAACTACTTTTCGTCAAGCACATTCACATAGATGCACATCTTAGCTTCACAAAACCCAGTGAAGCTGGTATTTTTGTCATCATTACCTTCATTTTTGAGCTGAGGAAACTAAAGTACAGAAGACTAGGCAGGTGACCGCTAGTCTCTCAGCCAGCTGTGAATGGAGGTAGAATAGAACTCCAGGCCCCCATCTCCAAGTCTGGGCCCCTTACCAGCAGCTACAGAAGAAAATGCACAGCTACTGTCCTCTCAATATGAAGAATACAGCCTGAGCCTCTATGGCATAATGTGACATACAATGAATTCCCCTTTTGGTTTAGAAAGCATGACTTGCCTACATTGTTAAGGGGGAAAAACCTCTTGAAGAATCTCTCTTTGACCATATTGAACAAAGAAAAGAAATGTTTGAGTAACCTTGGCCTCTGGTATGTGTGCTCCCAGCATCTGCCTGCCTGATGTTCCATGGCTCTACAGAGCACAGGAGACCTCATTAGCTGTCTTTAAGCTCTTGCTAACTTCTTCCCTTCTTTCCTCCTCTCCCCTCCCTCTCTCCCTCCCTCCCTCCTTCCCTCCCTCCTTCCCTTCTTCTACCAAATGCTATTGAAAGTTCATAATGCATCATCCACTATTCTGGGTTCTTACTATCCAGCACTAAATAAAAAAGACATGGCACCTGCCAACTTGGAGTTTACAGAATAACAAACTACAGTCATTTGTAAACAAAAAAATCCCAAGTGTGATAAATATTAAATGCTTGTGCAGCAAACCTGGACCAAATTGAGAGACAAATGTTCAATCAATGAATCAATGTTTGAATGAACAAAGAAATAAAGAGATGAATTGACTGGCCTTTCAGATTTTATATAGCAGGATGATTATACCTTTCATCCAATTCCCATTCTCTATTCCTATATTGGTGGGAGTGAAAAATGTTGAGGAAGAATCAGGCACAGTCTGTCAGTCAAAAAACTTCATAGGAAAATCAATTAAGTAGCTCAAAATCATTTCTGTACTTTCAAGGAGAAAAGAAAGCAGCTGCCTGATGATATTTTTTAATTGAATGAAGAAGCTGTTACCTACAATAACCTTTAATTTATTCTTAACCAGTCAATCGAAAACAATTTAAGCAAAGCAAAATCTGTTTTCTTCTAAGTTGCAACTGAGCTGAGAGTTGTCATGCCAAGTTTCACCCAGTGTGAATTTCAGCAGCTGAATGACAAACACCAGTAAAAGAAACCCTTTTCTAGAATGCTAGCAGGACTGCTTTAACCAAACTTATGCTACTAGGCAACAATCTAAGAAAACCAATATTCTATTGTTAATTACCCATCTAAAAGGCTAGAGAGGAAATTACAGAAAGAAACAATCTCTAAATCATTCCCCCATTACCCTTATTCTGAATCTTCCCTTATCCACAGTGAACATAGAAGTTTCAGAAATCCCAAATTTCATACATGTGGAGAAATTGAGGGATTGCCTCCATAAAGGAATGAGCTTAGCAGTTCCATGCAAAGGTTTTACCCTCATGTAGTAAATCACAGATGTAGTGACAGAAAGTGACAGAGATGGAAGGCTGAAGTGGTGGGAGCCACAAACCCCAAATTGATGTCAATGCCATCAGCCACAAGGCAATCTGGTCCCTCTGCTGGTTCATTCATTCATCAATTACAGATGAAAAAGACAGAAAAGCATACAATCTTATGCGGGGGTCATATGAGAAATAGGTAATAAACAAACAAACAAGATAATTAATGATAATTGCGCCTTGAAGAAAATTCCCACAGTTACACGGTAAAGAGTAACATGGGAGCCTTATCAATTAGGTGGTCAAGAAAAGTCTCTCAGAGTCTTCTTCTGGTATAAAGTTTAACATGTTGTAAGTGTTCTGTGTTCTTTTTAAATTGCGACTACCATTGCCCTGTCATATTAGCTGGTGTAGATTTCCCAACAACCAGAAGCTTACTCTCTTTTCCAGCCAACTCATGTTGAGTCTGTGGAAAAGTAAGCGGGGAAGGGAATGGGAGGAAGTCTGAACATGATGGCTGAAATGAGCCAACACAAGAGTACAAGGAGAAAATTCACTGCTTCACTTTGACCATGGAGCAGGCAAAGATGCACTAGGAAGGCTTTTTAAAAGGCAAGCAAGAACATTAAAGAAAAAATTAGACTTCATCAGAATTAAAAGCTTCTGCTTATCAAAAGATACCATTAAGAAGTAAAAAGTCAAACCACAGACTGGGATAAAATATCTAATATATATCCAAAATACTATATATGCATATATATGTGTGGTGTGTGTATATATATGGGTGTGTGTGCATATATGTATATATTCATGTCTGTGTATATGCATATATGTATTTGAATCATATATAGTTAGATACATGTAGGTAAATAAAGAAAGAACTCTCACATATTAATAATAAAAAGACACAGGAGGCTGAAGCGGAAGGAGTTTAAAGCTAGAGTGAGACATGATCGCACCACTCTGCTCCAGCCTGGCTGACAGAGTGAGATGCTGTCTCTGTAAATAAATAAATACATAAATAAAAGAAGACAAACAACACAATTTAAAAATAGACAAAAATTTGAACAGGAACTTCACAAAAAGGGATATATAAACGGTCAATAAGCACATGAAAAAATGTTCATTATGAGTCATCTAAGTTACCAATTAAAACCACAGTGAAGTATTTCTTCACACCCACTAGAATGGCTAACATTTAAAAGACTGACCAAACCAAGTGTTGACATGGATGTGGAAAAACTAACTATCATACACTGCTGGTGCACACACAAAAACTTACACATAAATGTTCATAAAAGCTTTATTTATAATAGCTAAAAATGAGAAACAGTCTTATGGCCCATCACAATTCAATGGATAAACAAGTTGTGTTATATCCATACAGTGGAATACTACTCAGCAATAAAATAATGAACCACCAATACATAGAACATGGATGAATCAGAAAAACATGCAGAGAGGCTACTCAGGAGGTTGAGGGGGGAGGATCACTTGAGCCCAGGACTTTGAGGATGCAGTGAGCCATAGTCACGCCACTGCACTCCAGTGAGACTCTGTCTCTAAACAAATAAACAAAAGTTTCAGACACAAAAGTACATTGTATATGGCACCACTTACATAAAATTCTAGAAATAAGGAAATATAATCTACCATGACAAAAAGACCATTCATTGCCTGGACCAGAGATTCGGAGAGGATTAACTGCAAAGGGGCATGAGAGAATTTTGCAGGGTGATGGAAATGTTCTAAATCATAACTATGGTGTTAGTCACAGAGATGTATATATTTGTCAAAACTCATAAAAATGTACATTTTAAAGGAGCACATTTTATCGTATGTAAATAATAATAAAACTGATTTTAAGTCAATAAGTTGATTTTTAAAACTGGCTTATTCCAAGAAATGGTCTTAATATTTGCTCATAGCACTGTTACATGTGTGTCATTCATTAGATCAAAATTTGAGATTAGTAAGCTAGGCTGATAACCATAGTCCCAAAATATTTACTGACACAGTTTTACCAAATTTACCACACCAGTGTTGAAAGATGCTCTATGAAAAAAGAAGTCTCTGTGGTCCAGTTGATTGTAGAAAGACTGAATATTCTATCTATAGGGTCTATATATTCTTAGATATTTATATACCAAAAATTTTTTCAATTTTTAAAAAGCATCTTTAAAATTTTTTAGCATATTTTTTAAAATGTGTAAGCTATCATCAATTCTTACAAGGAAGAAGATAGGTGTGGGAAATTAAAAAGATGGCTATGAGTTCTTATTTTTAAGTCTTATTTTAAGTGCAGGGGCACATGTGCAGGTTTGTTATATAAGTAAACTTGTGTCATAGGGGTTTGTTGTACGGATTATTTTGTCGCCCACGTATTAAGCCTTGCACCCATTAGTTATTTTTCCTGATTCTCTCCCTCCTCCCACCCTCCACCCTCTGATAGGCCCCAGTGTGTGTTGTCCCCCTCTATATGTCCATGTGTTTGCATCATTTAGCTACCACTTATAAGTGAGAATGTGCAATATCTAGTTTTCTGTTCCTGCATTAGTTTGCTAAAGATAATGGCCTCCAGCTCCATCCATGTCCCTGCAAAGGACATGATCTCATTCTTTTTTATAGCTACATAGTCTTCCGTGGTTTATATGTACCACATTGTCTTTATCCAGTCTATCACCAATGGGCATTTAGGTTGATTCCATGTCTTTGCTATTGTGAATAGTGCTGCAATGAACACATGTATGTATGTGTCTTCACAGTAGAATGACTTATATTCCCTTGGGTATATACTCAGTAATGGGATTGCTGAGTTGAATGGTATTTCTGTTTTAGGTCTTTGAGGAATTGCCACACTGTCTTCCACAATGGTTGAACTAATTTACATTCCCACCAACAATGTATAAGCATTCCTTTTTCCCCCTGAATCCTCCCCAGCATCTGTTACTTTTTGACTTTTTCATAATAGCCATGCTGACTGGTGTGAGATGGTATCTCAATGTGGTTTTGATTTGCATTTCTCTAATGGTCAGTGACATTGAGCATTTTCTCATATGATTGTTGGCTGCATCGATGTCTTCTTTTGAAAAGCGTCTGTTCCTGTGCTTTGCTCACTTTTTAATGGAGTTGTTTTTCTTGTAAATTTGTTTATGTTCCTTATAAATGCTGGATATTAGACCTTTGTCAGATGCATAGTTTGCAAAAATTTTCTCCCATTCCGTAGGTTGCCTGATCACTCTGTTGATAGTTTCTTTTGCTGTGCAGCAGCTCTTTAGATCTACCAAGTTTTGCTTTTGTTGCAATTGCTATTGGCATCTTTGTCATGAAATCTTTGCACATACCTATGTCCTGAATGGTATTACCTGGGTTGTCTTCCAGAGTTTTTTATAGTTTGGGGTTTTACATTTAAGTCCTCAATCCATCTTGAGTTAATTTTGGTGTATGGTATAAGAAAGGGGTCTAGTTTCACTCGTCTGTATATGGCTAGCCAGTTATCCCAGCACCATTTATAGAATAGGGAGTCCTTTCCCCATTGCTTGTTTTTGTCAGGCTTGTTGAAGATCAGATAGTTGTAGGTGTGGCCTTATTTCTGGGTTCTTTATTTTGTTCCATTGTTTTATGTGTCTGTTTTTGTACCAGTACCATGCTGTTGTTACCGTAGCCCTGTAGTATAGTTTGAAGTCGTATAGTGTGATGCCTCCAGCTTTGTTCTTTTTGCTTAGGATTGCTTTGGCTATTTGGGCTCTTTTTGGTTCCATATTAATTTTAAAATAGTTTTTCTGGATCTGCAAAGAATCTCAACTGTAGTTTAGTTGGAATAGTATTTAATCTATAAATCACTCTAGTCAGTATGGTCATTTTTGCAATATTGATTCTTCCTATCCACGATCATGGAATGTTTTTTCATTTGTTTGTGTCATCTCTGATTTTCTGGAGCCGTGTTTTGTAGTTCTCCCAGTAGAAATCTTTTTCCTCCCTAGTTAGCTGTATTCCTAGGCTTATTCTTTTTGTGGCAGTTGTGAATGGGCTTCTGTTCCTGATTTGACTCTTGGCTTGACTGCTGTTGGTGTATAGGAATGCTAGTGATTTTTGCACATTGATTTTTGTATCCTGAGGCTTTGCTAAAGTTGTTTATCAGCTTAAGAAGCTTTTGGGCTAAGACTATGGGGTTTTGTAAATATAAGATCATGTCATCTGCAAACAGGGATAGTTTGACTTCCTCTCTTCCTGTTTGGATGCCCTTTATTTATTTTTCTTGCCTGATTGCCCAGGCCAGGACTTCCAATACTATATTGAATATGAGTGGTTAGAAAGGGTATCCTTGTCTTGTGCTCATTTTCAAGGGGAATGTTTCCAGCTTTTGCCCATTCAGTATGATGTTGGCTGTGGGTTTGTCATAGACAGTTCTTTTTATTTTGAGCTGTGTTCCTTCAATACCTACTTTATTGAGAGCTTTTAACCTAAATGGATATTGAATTTCATAGAAAGTCTTTTCTGCATCTATTGAGATAACTGTGTGGTGTTTGTTTGTTTGTTTGTTTGTTTGTTTTAGATGGAGTTTCACTCTGGTTGCCCAGACTGGAGTGCAGTGGCACAATCTCGGCTCACCACAACCTCTGCCTCCCAGGTTCAAGCGATTCTCCTGCCTCAGCCTCCTGAATAGCTGGGACTACAGGTGTAAGCCATCACACCTAGCTCATTTTTGTGTTTTTAGTAGAGATGGGGTTTCACCATGTTGGCCGGGCTGGTCGTGAACTCCTGACCTCAGGTGATCCATTTGCCTTGACTCCCAAAGTGCTGAGATTACAGGCGTGAGCCTCCATGCCCGGCCCCATGTGGTTTTTGTCTTTGATTCTGCTTATGTGATGAATCACATTTATTGTTTTGCGTATGTCTAACCAACGTTGCATCTCAGGGATAAAGCCTACTTGATTGTGGTGGATAGGCTTTCAGATGTTGCTGGATTTGGTTTGCCGGTATTTTGTTGAGAATTTTTGCATTGATGTTCATCAAAAATATTGGTCTGAAGTTTTCTTTTTTTGGTGTATCTTTCTCAGATTTTGATATCAGGATGATGCTGGCCTCATAGAACAAGTTAGGGAGGAATTCCTTGTCCTCAATTTTTTGGAATAGTTTCAGTAGGAATGGTATCAGCTCTTTTTTTGTACATCTGATAGAATTCAGCTGTGAATCTGTCTGGTCCCAGGTTTTGTTTTTTTGTTGTTGTTTTTTGTTTTGGTTGGTAGGCTATTTATTACTGACTCAATTTCAGAGCTCACTATTAGTCTGTTCGGGGACCAATTTCTTCCTGGTTCAGTTTTGGGAGGGTGAATGGGTCCAGGAATTTATCCACTTCTAGATTTTCTAGTTTATGTGCATAGAAGTGTTCATAATAGTCTCTGGTGGTTGTTTGTATTTCTGTGAGGTCAGTGATAATATCCCTCTCATCATTTCTGATTGTTTTCATTTGAATCTTCTCTCTTTTCTTCTTTATTAGTCTAGCTAGCAGTTTATTCTATTTTTTTTTCAAAAACTAGATCCTGGATTTGTTAATTGTTGAAGGATTTTTTGTGTTTCTATCTCTTTCAGTTAAGCTCTAATTTTGGTTATTTCTTGTCTTCTGATAGCTTTGGGATTTGTTTGCTCTTGGTTCTCTAGTTCTTTTAGTTGTGATGTTAGGTTGTTAACTTGAGATCATTCTAACTTTTTGATGTGGGCATTTAGTGCTACAAATTTTCCTCTTAACACTGCCTTATCTGTGTCCCAGAGATTCTAGTATGTTGTATATTTGTTCTCATTAGTTTCAAAGAACTTCTTGATTTCTTCCTTAATTTCATTATTTACCTAAAAGTCACTCAGGAGTAGGTTATTCAATTTCCATGTAATTATATGGTTTTGAGTGAATTTCTTAGTCTCGATTTCTAATTTGATTGCACTGTGGTCTGAGAGATTGTTATGATTTCAGTTCTTTTGCATTTGCTGAGGAGTGTTTTACTTCTGATTATGTGATCAACTTTAGAGTATATGCCATGTGGCAATGAGAAGAATGTATATTATGTTGTTTTGGGATGGAGAGTTCTGTAGATATCTATTAGATCCATTTGATCCAATGCTTAGTTCAGGTACTGAATATCTTTGTTAATTTTCTGTTTTGATAATCTCTTTAATATTTTCAGTGAGGTGTTATATTCTCCCACTATTTTTGTGTGGGGGTACAATGCTCTTTGAAGGTCTCTAAACCCTTGCTTTATTAATCTGGGTGCTCCTGTTGGGTGCATATATATTTAGGATAGTTAGATCTTCTTGTTGAATTGAACCATTTACCATTATGTAATGCCCTTTTTTGTCTTTTTGGATGTTTGTTGGTTTAAAGTCTGTTTTGTCAGAAACTGGGATTGCAACCCCTGCTTTCTTTTGTTTTCCATTTTCTTGGTAGATTTTTCTTCATCTCTTTATTTTGAGCCTATATATGTCACTGCATATGAGATGGGTGTCTTGAAGACAGCATACCAATGGGTCTTGGTTCTTTATCCAGCTTGCCACACTCTGTCTTTCACTTGGGGGCATTTAGTCCATTTACATTCAAGGTTAGTATTGATATCTGTGGATTTGATCCTGTCATCATAGTGTTAGCGGGTTATTTTGCAAACTTGTATGTGTGGATGCTTTATAGTGTCACTGGCCTGTGTACTTCAGTGTGTTTTTATAGTGGCTGGTAATAGTCTTTCCTTTCCATAGTTGGTGCTTCCTTCAGGAACTTTTGCAGGGCAGGTCTGGTGGTACCAAATTTGCTCAGCATTTGCTTGTCTACAGATGATCTTATTTCTCCTTTGCTTATGAAGCTTAGTTTGGCTGGATATGAAATTCTGGGATGGAATTTGTTTTCCTTAACAATGTTGAACGTTGGCCTCTGATTTCTTCAGACTTGTAGGGTTTCAGCTGAGAGGCCCACTGTTAGTCTGATGGGCTTCCCTTTGTAGGTAACTAACCTTTCTCTCTTGCTGCCTTTAATATTTTTTCTTTCACTTCAATCTTGAAGAATTTGATGATTATGTGTCTTGTGGATCATTTTGTTGTGAAGTATCTTACTGGAGTTCTCTGAATTTCCTGAATTTGAATGTTGGCCTCTCAATCTAGGCTGGGGAATTTCTCATGGATAATAGCCTGAAATATGTCTCCAAGTTGGTTCTATTCTCCCCATCTCCTTCAGGGACACAAGTGAGTTTTAGATTTGGTCTCTTTACTCAGTCTCTTTAGTGAGTCTATTTCTAAGAGCTTTTGTTCTTTCCTTTTTTTCTTTTTTCTCTATTCTTGTCTGATTGTCTTATTTCAGAAAGCCATTCTTTAAGCTCTGATTCATTCATCCACTTGTTATATTCTGCTATTAATAGTTGTGATTGCATTATGAAATTCTTGTATTATATTTTTTGACTCTATCAGGCCAGTTACAGTCTTTTCTATACTGTCCATTATTGTCTGTCAGCTCTGGCATTGTTTTATCATGATTTTTCACTTCCTTGCATTGGGTTTCAACATACTCCTGTAGCTCAATGATCTTCATTCTTATCCATATTCTGAATTCTATTTCTGTCATTTTGGCCATCTCAGCTCAGTTCAGAACCTTTGCTGGAGAGGTGATGTGGCTGTTCGTAGGAAAGAGGGCACTCTGGTTTTTCGAGTTTTCAGTTTTCCTGTGCTGACTCTTTCTCATCTTTGTGAGCTTATC
This sequence comes from Homo sapiens, assembly GCF_000001405.40. Lineage (NCBI taxonomy): Eukaryota > Metazoa > Chordata > Mammalia > Primates > Hominidae > Homo > Homo sapiens. The sequence goes on along the minus strand of NC_000007.14, from coordinate 95,613,551 downwards.
TGTCTTCAATCTTGGATGTTGCTGACCTTTGGATTTTTTTTTCTTTTATCCTATTTGATGATTTGATGACCTTGAGGGTTTGACTATAATATAAGGTGGATTCAGCCACCTGGCTTTGTTTCTGGGAGATTTTAGAAGGTCAACACTCAGCTCTCAACTCCTGGACGGCATGTTGTAATTCTGGGGAATTTGTATTGGGCCCCATCTGTTCTTTGACTCCTTGAGGTTTGGAATCCACTGTACTGGGGGAGCCAAGGTGCAACAGCTGTTGCAGAATGCTAGTGGGTGCTGGGGTGCCTGCCTCCCTGCAGGTGCTTACCGGAGTAGCAGAGGCAAAGCAGCTAGGGGAATTGGGGGAAGCCCTGCTGGAGACTGTCTTCCTGAAGGTGGTGTTGGCTCAGTGATGGGGTGCTGGTGGGCACAGGTCAGTGCCTTCTCTTGTCCCATGAGCAAGAGTGATGGCTCTTGACAAGCTTTCTTACTTATTTCATCAAGGAGTGCCTAGTAGAACACAGTTTGGGAAATTCTAAATTAGTTTATGAATGTCAATCTGGAGGGAAGTTTCCAACTCAATTCTACTTGTTTTTAATCATCAATGTATATTTTAAGTCTCAAAAAGGCTGATTTAGTATGCAGCATTTTTCACATGTATTTGAGCATGGTATTATTTTTTCAGCAGCATTTTACAAAACTGGTATTCTATTACATTTTCTTCCAGAAACAGTTTTCTATGGTTTGTTCTATCCTTAAAAACAACTTGTTCAAATGGCAAAAACGGAATTGTCAAATTTTCAGATAACGCAAACTAGTTTTGAAAACAAAGTTGGTCAATATGAATTTGAATTCATTAATATCTGGACAGGCAAGATTAATGAGATATAAAAAACTTTTATTGGCCTTGAAAAATCAATTACTTAAGTGTATATGTTTTTTGAGGGACAGGGAGAACCAGGCATTGGAGTTTTAGTTGACAATAAACTCAACCAAAAGTATAATGTTGCTGCATCAAAAGCCAGTTCAACTCTAGTCTACACTATTAAGAGAATCATGTCAAAAACAGAGAAGAAAGAGAATGTAGCTAAGTACCATTGTAAATCTACAAGATGCTGGAAGGTCTGGGGATGATATTAAAGGAAGTGGGTGAAAAGTTTGGAGAAAAGAATACACAGGCATAATGGTACTGGCCTCCAAATATGTGGGAGAAATTTCATGGAATGTAATTCAAGCATCTTAATTGCCAGCTTCTAGGCCTATTTTTTAAAGCTGTGGTTGTACCTAACTAGAGCTATCTTATTCAAATGGGAAATTTATTCACAAAATCCACAAGTGGCGGGTGGATAAGGCTTAGCAAAGATGAAGGGAACTCTGAGACAGGGCAGGCAGAAGCCCAGCAGGGCCACAAACAGGAGCCGTATGGTCCCCACCACTACCTTCCTCCAATGTCACTAGTGATGAATGACCAGACCTGCCCTCAGGTTCTTGCAGTTGCAGCACTCACTTAAAATTCAAATCTGATCAAGGAGTTGGATCAGGTCGGGTGTCTGGCCCTGGCTATAGGAGGGAATGAAGAAAAGAGAGATCCCAGTGTCTTTTATGGGAGGTAAACACTTCCTCTTCCAAGACAAAACACAACAGGGGTGTTCCCAAAAGGAAATCAAGGCACAACTTGGAAGCTAGAAGTTTGGCTATGAGATAGCCAAAATTACTGAATGTTAGATGAAGAAACTACAAGGGGTTAAATTCAAGTTCTTCCAGAGAGCAGAACTAGAAAAAAATGAGACAGGCAGAGTGAAGTCAATGTTTTAGCATAAAGAAATAATAACAATTCTTTCTGCACCAGGAGGAAATAAAGTTCCTTACTAGTCAGGGAGCACTGTGCCAACTGAAGTATCCCAGCAGCAATGAGAGGGTTGTTGGTTTGGGATGCTGTAAGGATGTCCCACTTGGAGAAGGAGTTTATGCTAAATGAACTCTAATCAAAGATACTTCCTCAATAAGGGAAATGCAACAATTATTCAGACTCATTCTGTGAGAATTTTAAAATCAATAATGAGCAACCAAGGAGATTTGAAAAGTGGAATGCACCCTAGAGGTCATCTAGAACAATAAAATTTTTGTCAGTATGGAAGCTGAGATGTAGGGAGATGAAATAATTTTCCCCCAAGGGCTTTCAGTGAGTAAATAGCAAAAGAAATGTAAAACAGGATTCCTACGTCCTCAACTCATACTTCTCTGCTACAAAATACTCCTTCTTTTTTTAAACTGAATAGTTGCACTTAGTGATAAGACGTATAAAACTTAGAAAAACTTATAAAACTAGAAAGAAATCTCCAAATCTATACATTGTTAACAGAATGACCATGAACACAGGAAAGCGTGGTCATGTGGGGGAGGGGGATGTGGCCAAAGGGGGAGAAGGAGACAAGACAAAAAATTCATTCAAACCAAAATGAATTTATTTTTCTGATATGGCCTCTAAATTACCAACATGTCCTTTGTTTTGATGCTAACCTTTTCTGGTAATTAAAGTTTGGGTGTTAAAGAAAAAACAATGCCTTTAAGTACTAGCAAGACGTCAGGAAAATGTCACTGTGAAGGCAAATTATTTTCATCTGCTTAGTAAACTTTTTGATTGATGAAAAGTCAATACTTCACCAATTCTTCTTGCAGGTGTTGTTTGTCTGATATGTCTCCTGTGTCATCTGGATACAACAGTTTAAACAGTATTTTAATGAGAAAAATTGCCTGTGGCTGACCTGGAACTGCCTCAAATGAATTTGTAGCTGATAAGATGTTTGCTTGAAATGTTCTTTGAGGGACAAATCCATTATTCGTTGCCACTTTTTCCAAGGTTCATGGAGAAATTAGCTTAATTATTCCTTGCCAGAAGAAAGCAAATGCTGCTTTTTTGAGAAAGAAGGGCAAATGCTATTATTCACTGGGTTTCAGCAATTCTTTCATAAATCAGCATAGTGAAGTTGGTAGACTAGACCATTAGACACCTTTCTCTGAAAGATAGAGTACATTATATTAATTATTCTTCCTCAATGTAGAGGCAAAAGAAAAATATGAGTTTCCTTAAAGGCTGTGTCAAAATATTGAGATAAAATGTAGAAATCTCAGTCATTCAGAGACGTCCTAAATATGTCTAATATTTCTATGGCCTCCTATCTCCTTTCAAATTGATGTAGGGTATAGATTTTCCAATTGCATCCTGAAATACCATATCCGTTAGCAGCCAAGGAAGGATTAGCATAACTCAGAAGCACTCACTTAAAAGAAAATCAAAAGAAAAATAAGAAAGAAGAAGAAAGGACAGGGAAAAATAGGCCATCCAAAAATTAAAGCCATGCACCATTACTGTCCTCTCCATACAATTTCTGGGTTCTTTCTCTTATAATAACTTAATGGTCCTCTATGCTGTTGCTCAGCTGCTCCAGTGGGAATGCCCCATCCTCTCAGAGCACAAATCCTACCATCTAGCTGATTCTAGACATTTTCATGACAGCCTGTTTACCACCCCATAATCCCAAAGTTAAGAGAGGCTATCACAGCTCCTTCTTAGCTAGCTCAGTTTTCTTTGAATGAAGTTTACACCAAACACGTTTTCATCCAGCCTTGTGAGCAACCAAAGTCTTTCTTGCTTGAATTAATTTACCTTTGGGGGTTGGTAAATGGAATTTATTTACCTTTATTTAGATTCCCGATGTTTCAAGAGGAAATGCTTGTAAGGAACTAACTCTGGAAACCATCTGAGAGGAACACTGTTTGCACAGCACTTTTCAAAATAATAGCATGGCAGGCTTCCCAGTTCACAGCCACAACATCCTGCGGAATCAGCTGAGCTTTTAAAAAAGCTAACAACCAGTTTGAATTTGAGCAATTATTTGGGGGTTCAAGGCAGCAAAGCTTTTGTTCTTAAAATCTAGAACAGTGGTCTTCTTACATCATCATTCAGATAGACCTGAAACAAAAATTTGACACCAAAAAAAAAAAAAAAAAAAAAACTGCCCTTACCACAAAGATGCTTTTTTCCCTTGATTCTATTTCATTTTAATGCTGTTCGTGACTCATTAAACTGATTTCATGATCCACTAATTAGTTACAACCCACAATCTAAAAAGCACTTGTCTAGAACATGGAGAAGTTCTCTGCTGACCTGGAGTCATTTCAAACACCATGTTTTAAAGATTTCACAGCAATGTTGCAAATTAAACTACCTGAAGATTAGGAATCATTGCTCTAGAGCAATTGATAAGAAAACCTACAGGTTTCTTTATTGAAATACACTTTTGAAAAGAATCTCACCTGGCAGTTATTTTAAATAATATAAATGTAGCAGTAAGTAGGCTGTTGATCAGTTTGCCATACTCAGTACAGGGTGATCTATGAAGTACTTTGCAATCTGTTTTTTCCACTTGAGCAGCAGAATTCCTAACAGCCAGGAGACTCACGCAAGAACACAGTGAGTAGCTGAGCCTCATGCAAGAACACAGTGTCAGATCAGGGCTATGATAGAGACGCCTTGGTCTCCCCGACCTTTCCCCTAGTGAGCTCTATTTCCATGAACAGAAACTAGATGCCTGGGAGCTGAGGCATGGAAAGTTATTGCTGCTCGGCAGCAGTGACCCTTCACCTACTAAACTTCCCCTTGTTGACTCTGCAGCCAGGCAGTCCCGCCCAGGCTGTGGGTGTGGGACTGACCTTTCACCAACTTAGCCTGCTCGAGAGAGCCCCAGCATCTGCTTAGCTTCCGCAGGCCAGCTGCTTCTTCCTTCCAACACAATGTTGGTAAAAATTGTGCATAGCAGAAAGTAACTTTCTTTTTTCCCTAGGGCATTAATTTATAGGTTTCATTTCTTATTTAAAAATAAAAATAAACAATCCCTCACTCCCTTTGCTCCAATACACAGTGCATTTTGAGAAGCCTATTTGAAAGAAGAAGTGAGAGAACCCTAGTGTGCAACGGGTGGAATAAAGAACAAAAAAAGAGGACCCTTAACCCTTCCTATTTGTACTTCCTTTTGAGATTCTGCACTGACTGTTGAAACACGGTCAGGCAGGCCTGCTTTCCTCAATCAAGAACACAGCCATGTTGCCCAAACTCAGCATTTGTCAGGCCCTCGAGTTATTTTCAAAATGGGAAACTAAAGGGGGAAAGAAGTATGTGTCTGTGTGATTATTGTTAAAGTTGCAGACAGTCTCGTTTTCTCTCTGGCAAAGTCTAACTGAGCTCAAGAGGACATCAGGTAAAATCAATTTTGTTCAAGAAACAAACGGTTGAGTTTCCAGCATCTGTTTAGTTTGTTTTAGCATTCAACTGTTTCACACAGTTGCCTGGTTTTGGCCAACAGGGCAAATAGGTATTCTTCTAAAGTTTCAGAAAGGCAATTAAAAAAAAAAAAAAAAATCTTACGCTTCTCAATCCCCAGAAGAGTGTGACAAGGATTTCTGTTTAAACTGAGATTTAGAGAACCCATTTTTCCTACCAGCTGTATGACTCTGGTGACTTAACTCTTCTGCTTGTTTTTCCTCTGCGATTGAAAATGTTGGATTAAATGAATGATTTTCATGTTTTCCATTGACAGTCTCACTAAAGGACAGTTCTTCTAAATGTAAAGGGGAGGGTGGAGGTAGGGTGCTGCTGCAGGGCAGAACACCCCACCAGCAGCTGCTTGGGCCCCCAGCCCAGTAACAACAGGGGTTGCATCTCCCAAACATAATTCACTGATCCACTGATCTCTGGAGTCCTGCGTTGGGACGAATCCCAAGGCCGCATCAGATCACACAGGAGAAGATGTTATGATCCATTATTACTGGTGGCAGCCAAGCTGGAGAGGGAAGGACTAACCACTTGCATAACATGTAATTGCTTAAACTAGTATTTTCAAACAAATGCAGAAATTTTAGTATGACATCTGGGTATCTGTCCTTTTACTGCCAAATATGTAATGTACAATGCATTGCTCATACCAATAGGCCAGTGAACATAAATTGCAAGTAGTAAGGAATATTAGTATAACTGACTGAATTTTCCCATTTTTACCTAGACAGTGAATGCAATGGTGATACAGCTTTGACTGCCCCTGCACTGGGTTAAGCAACAAAATCACAAAAGAAAGTGACGTCTAAAATTTGTCTTTCAGATGACCTGGTGCTTGATTGTGCTCCTTTTACTATCTGACACCCCCAAAAAATTAGTCTAAGGCAGCCAACCAGTGCTACACAAACCAAGGCTGGAACTTAGCAAAACCTGGAGTTTTCCAAGTAAAATAATTCTATTTGAACTCAGTGTGTGTAGTAGAGGATACAGGAAAAAGAAAGGTCCTATTCAGTGATAATCTCAGGAAATTCATGCAATGATCAGCAATCAGAGGAAAGGAACAGGCCACAAAACTGTAAGCAAAGTTTCATGTTCAGTATTAGTCCACAGAAGACAATGAGCAGGAATAGTAAGGGAGAAATCTGATTGCAGGCTCTTCAGGTTTTGAGTCTCCAAGCCTCGTGGTATGCCCGAGCTTGTGAGAAATCGAAGGCAGGAAGTTCTCGCCATGGTTTTCAGCTCCATCAGGTCATTTAAGGTCTTCTCTACCATCAGAGTGAACAGATAACCTACAGAATAGGGGGAAATTTTTGCAATCTACCCATCTGACAAAGGGCTAATATGCAGAATCTACAAAGAACTTAAACAAATTTACAAGAAAAAAATCAAACAACCCCATCAAAAAGTGGGCAAAGGATATGAACAGACACTTCTCAAAAGGAGACATTTATGCAGCCAACAGACACATGAAAAAATGCTCACCATCACTGGCCATCAGAGAAATGCAAATCAAAACCACAATGAGATACCATCTCACACCAGTTAGAATGGCAATCATTAAGAAGTAAGGAAATGACAGGTGCTGGAGAGGATGTGGAGAAATAGGAACACTTTTACACTTTTGGTGGGAGTGTAAACTAGTTTAACCATTGTGGAAAACAGTATGGCGATGTGTCTGGAATTGGTGGGTTCTTTGTCTCACTGACTTAAAGAACGAAGCCGCAGACCCTTGCGGTGAGTGTTACAGTTCATAAAGGTGATGTGTCTGGAGTTTGTTCCTTCTGATGTTCGGACATGTTTGGAGTTTCTTCCTTCTGGTGGGTTCGTGGTCTCGCTGGCTTCAGGAGTGAAGCTGCAGACCTTCGCGGTGAGTGTTACAGCTCTTAAGGCGGCGCTTCTGGAGTTGTTCGTTCCTCCTGTCTGGAGTTGTTCATTCCTCTCTCTGGGTTCGTGGTCTCGCTGGCCTCAGGAGTGAACCTGCAGACCTTCGCGGTGAGTATTACAGCTCATAAAGGCAGTGCGGACCCAAAGAGTGAGCAGCAGCAAGATTTATTGCAAAGAGCAAAAGAACAAAGCTTCCACGAACAGGTTGCCACTGCCAGCTCAGGCAGCCTGCTTTTATTCCCTTATCTGGCTCCACCCACATCCTGCTGATTGATCCATTTTACAGAGAGCTGATTGGTCCGTTTTGACAGGGTGCTGATTGGTGCATTTACAATCTCTGAGCTAGACACAGAAGTTCTCCAAGTCCCCACTAGATTAGCTAGACACAGAACACTGATTGGTGCATTTACAAACCTTGAGCTAGACACAGGGTGCTGATTGGTGTATTTACAATCCGTTATCTAGACATAAGGGTTCTCCAAATCCCCACCAGATTAGCCAGATACAGAGTGCTGATTGGTGCATTCACAAACCTTGAGCTATACACAGAGTGCTGATTGGTGTATCTACAATCCCTTAGCTAGACATAAAGGTTCTCCAAGTCCCCACTAGACTCAGGAGCCCAGCTGGCTTCACCTAGTGGATCCCACATGGGGGCTGCAGTCAGAGCTGCCTGCCAGTCCCACGCCATGTGCCCACACTCCTCAGTCCTTGGGCGGTCGATGGGACCGGGTGCTGTGGAGCAGGGGGTGGCGCTTGTCAGGGGACCCAGCGCACCTTCTGCAGCTGCTGGCCTAGGTGCTAAGCCCCTCACTGCCCGGGGCTGGCAGCACGAGCCGGCTGCTCCGAGTGCGGGGCCCACCGTGCCCACGTCCACTCAGAACTCATGCTGGCCCATGAGAGTTGCGTGCAGCCCCGGTTCCCGCCTGTGCCTCTCCCTCCACACCTCCCTGCAAGCAGAGGGAGCTGGCTCCGACCTCGGCCAGCCCAGAGAGGGGCTCCCATAGTGCAGCAGCAGGCTGAAGGGCTTCTCAAGCACGGCCAGAGTGGGCGCCCAGGCCGAGGAAGCACTGAGAGCAAGTGAGGGCTGCCAGCATACTGTCACTTCTCAGCAATTCCTCAAGGATCTAGAACTAGAAATACCACTTGACCCAGCCATCCCATTACTGGGTATATACCCAAAGGATTATGAATCATGCTACTATAAAGACACATGCACACATGTTTATTGAGGCACTATTCACAGTAGCAAAGACTTGGAACCAACCCAAATGTCCATCAATGATAGACTGGATTAAGAAAATGTGGCACATATACACCATGGAATACTATGCAGCCATAAAAAAGGATGAGTTCATTTCCTTTGTAGGGACATGGATGAAGCCGGAAACCATCATTCTGAGCAAACTATTGCAAGGACAGAAAACCAAACACCGCATGTTCTTGCTCATAGTTGGGAAGTGAACAATGAGAACACTTGGACACAGGGTGGAGAACATCACACACCAGGGCTTGTCGTGGGTTGGGAGGAGGGGGAAGGGATAGCATTAGGAGAAATACCTAATGTAAATGACGAGTTAATGGGTGCGGCACACCAACATGGCACATGTATACATATGTAACAAACCTGCACATTGTGCACATGTACCCTAGAACTTAAAGTATCATTAAAAAAAATAAAAAAAGAAATAGAAGGCAGGAGGGCTGCTGACCCATTTCCTGGTCCCAATTTTGCCTTCCAAGTCAGTGAAAAGCCTATTTTGGACAGATATTTGGCAACTTCCTCTGTCTGTTCTCTTGCTACATCTATTTTCATTTCAACTTTTGGAATAACATTTATTTTCTTTACAATTAAGAAGTAACACATATTTCATGGCTTATCATTTGAAAACTCATTTCAAATGCAAATATAAATACTGGTAATTCCATTGCCCAAAATTAACCACTATGGATAATCTGATACATTTTCCTTATGCATAGATTTGTATATATGTTTGTGCATATAATATTTAAAATATTAACCACGTGTGTTTTCCACCAATATTTCTAATAATCTCAAGATCCTCTCCCCAATTTGGGCAACTGGACCATGACTCACAGAAGGAGCCAAAAATACTTATACAAGTTTTGAGAAATCTGCTTTACTGAGGAATTGAGATGTAGGTTTTCCTTTTTCTCAGATCCACAAAACCTGTATATGGTTTCTGTGATGCACCCACTAACCCCCTTTTGGGGCTCATCTGGGCTACTGTCAAGTCTCCTCCAGTTTTTATTCTCTTCTGCACCCCTATAACAAGAGAGTCTCTTCTAGTTCAAGAGGCAATAGTGAGAAACCTGATGTGATTTATTGTAGTTTCACTATGCTACAAATCCCCTCAAGGACTACACTTTTGAGACTCATTCCCTATGCCAAGACCTTAGAAAATAGCAGGAATAGAAATGGCCTCATGAAGGATTTAGGCAGACAGGCCTGTGACAGCCTTGTAGAGTTTCCTGTAGTCCAATGTATTACAGTCCCAACAGAGGGGGCACTAAGGTAGATGGGGTATGAGACTATGGTTCAGTATATTTCAGGTACAGAAAAATGGAATGCTGTCCTTGGATCCAAGAATAACCAGAGGCCACAAAGAGAGCCAGGCGCAAATGGGTCTTTTGGATGGGAATGAGACCTGATGGAGTGGCAATCTGCACGAACCAATAATCTAGGACTAGATTTGATAGGAATCATCTCGATGGAAGCTAGCATGGCTACTTGTCTACTTTCCCTGATAACTTGGGCCTATATACACTCCTGGGAAAATAGATGCCACTCCAGGGGAAAAGAACAGTAAAATCCCACATTAACCAAAAGGCCTTTAATAGACATTATACTGACTTACAGGAAATCAAAAGAAAAGAAAATATCAACACATGTACACTTGACACTTATGGATTGAAATTTGTAACCACTCTCTATATGTAGAATTTTTTTTTTTTTTTTTAGACAGAGTCTCGCTCTGTCACCCAGGCTGGAGTGCAGCGGTGTGATCTTGGCTCACTGCAACCTCTGCCCCCTGGGTTTAAGCAATTCTCTGCCTCAGCCTCCCGAGTAGCTGGGATTATAGGCGGGTGCCACCACGCCCAGCTAATTTGTGTATTTTTAGTAGAGACGGAGTTTCACCATCTTGGCCATGCTGGTCTTGAACTCTTGACCTCGTGATACACCTTTCTCGGCCTCCCAAAGTGCTGGGATTACAGGCATGAGCCACCGCATCAGGCCATATATTTAGAATGGTTTTAACTAAGGCTTAGTGGGTTTAACTAGAGTAGTTTTAATTAGATTTGCCAAGTGAATGTAACAGAGAGAGAGAGAATTAAGGGTTTTCCCAAGAGCCTAATTATAATGTTGGTTCATGGAGTCCATGCTGGATAAGAGGGGAAGAAAAGACATAAGAAGAACGAAGGAAAGTAAAATGGTAACCTCAATGAGATCAGGAAAGGCTAAGGGGTATAGGAAGCAGTATTGGGTGTGGAAAGATTTCAGGCTATGATGTCTGTGATAGAAAAGGGAGCATGGAAAGCAGCATTGAGCAGGGACAGAGATGCCAATCTGACAAAGTCTCAGCTCGGGTCTCCAGACAAAGAATTCCCATCAGAGGGATCCTACATTGAGGAAAAATGGCCAGGCCCTTCTAGATCCTCCTCCTTCACTGTGGGGGCTGCCTGAGAAGGGCGTGGCGTCAGCTCAAATGCTGTCTGGATCCCAAAGTTTCTGTAGCTGAAGGCTGTTAGCTAATTTCATTCCTTGCAACTAACGGCAAGCACTTCCTTAAAAGAAATCTCAGGGCAGACCTCAAAGCTGCTACAAAAATCTATGTCATTCATTATATCAGCTGCATAGTGTAGTGCATGGGTGTATCATTTATTTACACTATGGATTATTGGCTAAACAAGTTACTTTTCAATTTTTGTTTTTACAGGTAATGCTACAATGAACAATCTTGTACATCTATCTTTATTCTCTCTGTCAGTAAAAGTGTAGGATAAGTTGCCAGAAGTGAAATGGCTGAGACATGGGGTAGCTATCTTTAAAATTTCTATAGATTCTGCCAATTGCCTTCCAACAAAAATTTGCCAATTTCACCCCCACAAATAATATAGGAGAGTGTTCATTTCCCCAGGCCTTGCCAAGGAGATATTAGCAATCTTTTCTTTATTTGCCAGTCTACTGTTAGAACAATCGTGGCTTATTATCTTTTTACTTTTTATTTTCCCATTCACTCATTAGTTTGAGCATGCTTTTATAGGCATAGTACACATTTGTTTTCCTTCTTCGGTTATTTTTTCATTTCCTTTATTCACCTTTCCTTACTATTTTATAAAAGCAAACGTCAAACACAATTGAGAAATTCCTTGCAGGGGGAAAAAGAATGCTTAACCTATATTTGAAACTGATGCAAAATTCTTCTCTTTCCACAAAAAGTCAAGATGTGCTAGCTTCAGGATTTGCTTCCTTTTCTTTCCAGATAAGACTGGAGCCGCAAGTGCAAAAAGAAGAATGAACCCATTTGCTATGATGTAGGGAAAAGATTTTGGCCTTGATAAGTAAAAGGAGGCCAAGAATGAAACAAAGAGCTGCCCCAGAAGGAATATTGTGCACAGAAAAAAGGTAAGATATAGCTGTAGGCTGATAGGAGAGGGGAGCCTTGTATAAAGAAACTGGGGACAGAATCTCACCCATCTATCTTCACTTCTCAGCAAAGGCTTATTAGCCTTTGAGTTCTCATCTTCCCTTCACGGTAATTAGTCATGACTCTCCTACAGTTTCTCATTAACTCAAGGTGTTCCCAGACAAACCCGTCACTTGCACTACTGGTCTTTCCTTAGTCAACCTATCCTTTTCTCCTGACGCTTTTGACTTCCCTGCTTCTATCAATAAAATCACCTCCTCCCAGCAGCACAGGTTTAGAATATTAGAGAACTTTAAAAAATTATTCATTAACAGATTTGACAAAGCCTAGAGATACTACCAACAGATGGCTCTTTTCGTTCCCTCTCCTCACTGCTCCAATGCCTTTCTTCTTTGTCTGCCTATGAATGTCTGCTCCACCTTTATAAGTCAGATGACCTATGACTTCCTCCAAGGAAGCCTCCCCTGGCTGCTGCTTGTCCCCCCAGTACACATACCATATATGCCACATTCTATTTTTTAGATTATTTTCATGTCTGTCTCCCGTCTTTGAAGACAAACTATGCCTTCTTCATCTTTATGTCCTCAGCATTAATCACAGTGCCTAGTACATAGTAGGTGTTCAATAAAGTTTAGTAGAATTATTTAACTGCTAACAAATTTAAACAGAAAACACATTGCTCCCTGATTTAAAGGCTTCAACAGTTCCCTGCTGCTTACTCTAGAAATCTCATAGACCTCATACTAGCATTTCAGGCTTTCATGAGATAACTGAATCTTCCTTTCCTTCTGCCCTTAGGGTACTCTAGACAGCAGCCAGGTGAAACTAGTCATTATTTCTCCAATGTATCTCTAGCTCCTACATCTGTGCTTTTACTCAGTCTTGGACATTTTTCCCCACTGTCTACCAATTATTTGCCAAAATCTTGCTCATCTTTCTACAGCCATCCCAAATGCCAATTCTAGTAGCATTTCCTGATCCCCAACATAGCTCTTCCTCCAAACACCCCAGATCACCCTTAACATATCCACTGTCTGGCACCATCACTACTACCACCAATACCACCACAACCAGCATTGCCCATGGCGTGAACCTTTCTTATGGGCTGCTTTTTAAATGCATTTAATTATAGCATTTTGCCCTGAGGATTAAATGAAAATCTAATAAATTAAAAATAATTAGTTATTGTTTTCCATCATCAGCTAATAATCTGAGGTGCATGAGAGCAGACGCTTTTGCACCCATCAGGGCACCCAGTCCAGCTCCTGGCACCTAGTATCCTCTAGGTTAACAGTAACTATAAGAAACATCAGAGACCAAATTGTGGGTTAGATCCTGCTTTTCCCAGTAGCTTCACCAATATGCTTTCACCAGTATTCCCTCTCATCCCCAATAGAAGCTCATTCCATTTCTTTTAATTGTCGTTTACTCAAGAAGACCTTCCTTGACCACCAAATCTAAGGTAGTTCCAGCCTATTACACTCTTCACAATCATTTTCTTCTTAGCCCTTGTCCTATCTTAATGTATAGGCTTATTGGCCATATGCTTTTGTAATGCCAATTTCCCCCACAAGTCTATCATCTCCATGAGGGAATAGATCATGACCGAATGGTTCCCTACTGAAACAGCCATCTCTTAAATCATCATTTGTCTATTACGTATTCTGTAGATATGTTCTCCAAGTCTGCTGTTCATATTTTAACTTTAATATTCTATGGTCAAGTCTGTTAATCTTTCCATCATGTCTTCAGAGTTCCTGTTACGGGCATTTTAAATTGCTTCCTTGGAATACGATCCTGAGGTGGAAAAATTGTATAGACTTCCCTTTAAGGGATCTGATGGATTTTATCAAATTGGCCATCCCCCACCCTCTGGAAAAAGTGTGACTTGCATTCTCAAAGTTCTACCCGTGGCCTTTTGTTATTAGATTTTTTCCAGGCAAGCTGGACAGAACTTATTTAATGCTAGGTAAGGTGCCACTGAAAATTTTAGGAACCAGGTATCTCAAGCAGGGATGTTCAGCATTGTATGCAAGGGAACAGCTTTGATTACTTCTTCTATTCCTTAGCATTAGTCATTTAATAGTCTTCTCATGGTTTACTTTTACTCAAATGAATGCATGGATTTGTCATATCCATTGCCCCCAAATAATATTTTTGCTTCACCTCTGTCCCAACTGGATCACCTCCAAGATTTGTGTTCAACCTGAGAAGAGAAGTGCCACTCTTTTCCCAGGTCACTCTCTAATCATGGTAATACATAGCATCTTAGCCAACTGGGTAAACAACTTGACCTGACCTTTCTAGGCCAGCTATCATGAATGCTGCCAATTATAATAACAGTTCCCATCATACAGAAATGACACAGAAGAATGCAATGCACTGTGAGAGTAACTTCATAAATATTATTAGAAGGGATGACATAGAGACAAAATTTTGGCAACCTCAGTTCACATTTAGCCCTAGGTCATCTCTGTGAACATCATATGATTTCACCTGATCTTTAATCAGCCCACAGCACATAGAATAGTAGTGCTGGGTAAGCTAGGCTGGGCAATCAATGTACTTAGGGACATGGGACTTTCCTAAATTAGACTTGCCTGTAATGCATAATTTCCATTGCCTTTCCTCTGAAAATCAGAGTATAATTCTTTGTAATATATATTTTTGCTTATTCCAGGTTCCATATACAGTGAGAAAAGCAAATGCATGCTTTACTTTTACTTATGTTCTTAAGACCCAATCTAAGAAAAAGAAGGGATTTTTACCTTAAATTTACTTGCTTCATCAAAGAGAGTCTTATTCAGTTTTTTGGCTACTTGAACACATTTCGTTGCTGCATCAAGCTATGCAAATATTTAATAAAGGATTCCAAGTACAAAAATATAAATAATAGTGGCATCAAAACCTGTCTACAAGTGGAGATGCAATTTGGAACTTGCCCATATTCCCACAGCTGTTTCAGCTTAAGATAAGTGCTTGAGCTGTTGTGTTTTTGGTTTTTTTGTTTTTCTGTCCCACTCAAGTGCAACTGCTAGAGTCTATACTTGGATCATCCTTGAATATTCTCTAAGAACCCAGGCCCCATCCTCTTCATTGGAAGATCATAAATATTGCATGTCTTCACATAGCTGTTTCTCAAAGGTCTGAAAAAAATATTTGGTCATAACAGGAAGTCTCAAATTCTCGACCATCTATAGGTAATGTATAGACAATGGGAGAAATAGTAGGAGAGCTAATATGGTGCCTCCAAACAGGCCACATAACTGACACAGGGTTTGCCAGGACTGTTTCAGATCCCTCATAATGGTGTTGATTTTAGAGAAGCAAAATTGATACCTATTAGACATCCAAATGGAGAAACCAAATAGGCAATTGAATAGGAGAATCTGGCTCTTGGAAGAAAGTTTGTGCTAGAGATAGAATTGGAAATCTGTCCTGTGATTTAATGCAGTCTCCTAGACGAAGAGGGCAAAGGATGACAGCAGAGCCTAGGATCACTCATGACTTTCAGAGTTGCCCGTTCTGCTTATAAATGCAGGGCAGGCTGGGCGCAATGGCTCACTCCTGTAATCCCAGCACTATGGGAGACCGAGGTGGGTGGATCACTTGAGGTCAGGAGTTTGAGACCAGCCTGGCCAACATGGAGAAACCCCATCTTCACCAAAAATAGAAAAAATTAGCTGAGTGTGGTGGCGTGTGCCTGTGATCCCAGCTACTCAGAAGACTGAGGCAGCAGAATCGCTTGAACCTGGGAGGCCGAGGTTGCAGTGAGCCGAGATGGCACCACTGCACTCCAGCCTGGGAGACAGTGTGACTCTGTCTCAATAAATAAAGTAATTAATTAATTAATTAAAATAAAATAAACGCAGGGGGAGGAGGCCAAAAAGGTTTTTTATAACAAACTATCATTTTTAACACCTCATAAATTCCCATTCTATTACATTTGTAACCAACTCTCTTACTCCCAACTTTCCCAAACACGGTGGCTTCATTCCCTAGTCCTTTTAGAGTGTCGGGAGAGGAAAAGGAGGTTAGTATGACAGGGTAATGTGTCTCAACCACTGTCATTAATTTAATAAATATTGAGTAGTGAAAAAGTAGGAATCACAAAGCTGCATCAGACAGGGTCCCTACCCTGATCTCTTTCAGGAAAGGGGGGAGTCAGAGAGGGATAATATAAAAACATAAATAGCTATAGAATAGTACCATGAAAGACCAAGGCCTTATTTGGAAGAAGTGAGGAGAAGTAATCAAGGAAGACCTTTTGCAGCAGACAGCTTGTGCCAGACATTTGAGGGTAGAATGGAATGTCTTAGGTAAAGATTTGGAGTAAGGACATTTCGTACAGGGCAGAGTGAACAAATTCTCTGATCACCGCAAAAGGTAAGGCAAACTGACAAATTGATCCCTTTTTAATTTTGTTTTTAATTAACAGAACTAAACCTAACGGAAAGAATGTGTTGCCGGAGAAGAACGAATTGATGGCCTTTTATTACCACAGGAAAAAGTAAATGTATCTGGGCAGCCCCTCAAGTCTCAGCAAAAGGAACGTACAGTTCCTGCCATGTGCCGGTCTCTTCTGAAGAAAAGGGGGCGGTGGGGGTGGGGGCGCAGGTCTTTAGGTTGTTTATTCCTTTCTCTCTGTCCAGTGGCAGAGAAGCCCATACTTTTGAACGCAGCTTGTTGGCTACTGTAAAAGCCCTGCTCTGAGCAAGGACCAATGAGCACGCGGAGTCCAAACTCTTGGAAACAGTTTGTGGCCAGGAGTACTTGACATTGAGACAGCCTCCGAGTTGTAAACAAGGGCGAGCCTGGGCGGGACCCCAGCCCACGCGACTCGGAGCCCCGTCCCAAGAGGCTAATCTTAAGCCCACGTTGCCCCAGATACCTGTTTCTGCTTCCTCTTCCCTGTTCTTCCCACCCTTTTTCCGTCACAGCCGCGGGCACCGGTGCCAGGGCACTCCGTGGTCACCGTGCCAGGCCATTCTGTGATGACCGCGGCTGGAGGGGCGGAGCCCATAGTTCTTTCTCTGATCTGATTGGCGCGACCTGGAGTTCAGGACGCGTTTCCAAGTTCCAGTGACTCCTCCTGTTTGGGACTCGGGGGGAGAGTGCGGGGAGACAAATAAAACCTCGGGCGGCGGCGGCTGGTGGGAAGACTTGAACTTGAATCTCGAACCACTGCATCTCCGACTCTGCCCAGACTCTTCACTCCGCGGCACCCTCAAACCCCAGCCCAGGCCGGGGCGCACAAGCCAGCCAGCGCACCTGCAGTCCTCGCCCGGACGCGCCGCGCCCCCTCGGAACCAGGCTCTGCTCCGAGCAGCCTTCGCCCCTCAAGCCAGCCACAGTCCCCGCCAGGCCGGGTGGGCGTCAAGATGAAGGCGGCCCGCTTCGTGCTGCGCAGCGCTGGCTCGCTCAACGGCGCCGGCCTGGTGCCCCGAGAGGTGGAGCATTTCTCGCGCTACAGCCCGTCCCCGCTGTCCATGAAGCAGCTACTGGACTTTGGTGAGAGGGGACACAGGGCCCAAGCTGGGTCCTAGGGTTGGGGAACTGCCTTAACTTTCAGCCTTGGTAGAGGGAGGGCTAGGCTCAAGCTAAAACAACTGGGGTTCACTTTGCTGCTGAGCCCTGGAGCCTCGACGCCAGCACACCTTTCCTTTTCCTAGATTTGGTTACTTTCTGACAGGGGTGCCTCCAGGTCAAGGCCACCTGCAAGCCTGCCGACGCTGGATGGTTTGACTTCATCTGCACACTCTTCTTTCTGACCCGCTCTTCCAGTCAAAATACTTTTTGCTTTCGGTCACCGTTTAACAATGGACTGGAAACTTTATCCTCTCCTTCACAGCATAGTACTGCTTGGAGAAGTTTCTGAATAGTATTAAATAGCCTCAAATTAACAGATTTTATTCCTTAGCCACCTGGCATCCTTCCACAGGGTACATCTCTCTGCATTCCTGACAGATTTCTTTGTCTCTTTATCATTATAGTTTTCCATATATTTGCATTGTTGCTGAAAATATTTACACATTTGTTGCAGTAATCTTATAAGGAAGATTTCAAGGGTTTAAATGTGATATCACTACTCTGGAAATATCACAGCTCCCCCTCCAGCCTCTTATCCCCCAACTCCAATTCCATGTCCCCACTCATTAAAGGATGTTGTGTTGTTGACATTGTGGTGTGACCGAATCCTGCAGTCTTTTATAAATTCTAAGAACTGTGGGATATTCTTACTTCTTGGAAGTGAATCCTCTTCAAAAAGAGAAGACAATAATTCTCCTATATCTGTCACTTTTTAAAAGAAAGAAGGAAAGACGAAAGGACGAAGGGAATTAGTCAATTAAGGAGACAATCGCCCCTGAATTATCGATTAACAGTAACCCAACTGAGAGTGAAATATAATTTTATAATATATGTGTGTTCAATATTTGATAGTTAATGCTATTTAGATATATCATTTAGACACACTTTTTCTCAAAACTAAATTGATTTCATTTATTATAGGTTCAGAAAATGCATGTGAAAGAACTTCTTTTGCATTTTTGCGACAAGAATTGCCTGTGAGACTCGCCAACATTCTGAAGGAAATTGATATCCTCCCGACCCAATTAGTAAATACCTCTTCAGTGCAATTGGTTAAAAGCTGGTAAGTGGTGAACCATATTGAAGTCTCTAGTTTTGAAACAGTTACCCGGGTATGAATTCTTATACTATGTTAACATCATAATTGGAAAACAGGTGATCTGAATGGTAACTACTTTTGAAAGATGTAAGAATTTTAAAATTAATTTAGGGTAAGTTATCATTAGAGAAGTTATAAAACTATAAACAGACATTTTTACCCTGAAAAAGTAGATTACTTTATAATAAAATTTTGAGTTCTAGGAAAAATTTGAAAAAAATTGGCATGCAATTTTAATTTTCAATTATAGAAGAGCACTTTCAATAATAAAAGAGTTTGATATTGCAAAAGAAATCCTATGCCTAGAAACCAATTCACATGACTGCTATTTAGGGAAGGCCTAATCTTTGTAACTTACAAAGTGATTGACAGAGTGGGCTCTGGGTTCAAATCCTGCCTCTGTCACTTCTAGTTGTGGAATCCTTGGCAAGTGTCTTAAACTCTTTATGCCATTGAGTTATTATTCCCATCTGTTATTAAAGAGATTAAAGTATATGCCTCAGAGGGATGTTTGAGTGTAATGAAATGAGATAATCCATAAAAAAGAAAAAAAAAACCACTTAGGACAGCACTTGGCACACAGCCAGCAGTCAGTAAGTGTCAGTTGTTGTCATCTCATTTTATAAATGAAGATACTGATGCTTAGAGAAGGTAGGTAACCCAAAACAGCAAATTTTTGGGTCACAGAAGCAGGATATGCACAGGTAGCAGACATGCATGAGACCCTTATCTTAATCCACTGACTGCACAGCCTTTTGTTCATTGATTCAAGAAATACATGTATTATATACCTATAAGACAATTACAATCTAAAACATATATTCAATCTGTAGTATTTACTATTGCAGTCAAGACTTACACTCTTCTATGAATGAATGTAGTAGAAAAAAAATAAAAAGCTTTAAAAAAAGTTGTTTCTAAGTATTATTGCTAGAAGAAATGAAAATATTTGCCAAACAAAACAGTCAGGAAACTGAATACTGACCTGAAATAGTTAAAGAAACATTTTGCGTTAAATTTTAAGTTTGAAAGTCAAGGATTAAAAGTTATAGCATTTTAAATTTATATTATTTTCCAAATGTTCTGGAGGAAAGTTTTAAGTTTGAACATAATGCTTACTTTCTCTTTTCAAATTATTTGAAAAAGCTATTCTATTTTCAGCCATTTGTATCTGACTATTAATTTTAAAACTTAAAGCATACCTGTTTCTTTACAGGTATATACAGAGCCTGATGGATTTGGTGGAATTCCATGAGAAAAGCCCAGATGACCAGAAAGCATTATCAGAGTAAGCTCTATGCATTAGAATAAGTGTTTAAAACTTTGGTTCTTTCCAGATAGATTCCTAAGATATTTTTAGACCTAAATTAAAGGAATTCAGCTCTGAATAATAAATCACTACCCTCTTACACATGACAAGTTTTGGCTTGTTGGTTTTTCAGAAGCGAAGAAATATGGCATTGAAAATGATGCTGAGTGTGAAGAAATGTAGAGGACTCATTTTTGATCCCCCAGGGAGACCTATTTTTACTATAAATTTACTCCAATAATGAGATGTGTAGGAGGATTTACCATTACATAGTTTTAATACATTTCAGCGTCATTGGAGACTAAACATTTTCTTTCAGAGTAACTGATAGTTTCTAGCTACCTAAATAAGGATCTTTTCTAAATCTGACAAGAAATTTTGAAAGTTTTTTCACAATGGCATTCTAGAGTCATCTCTAGAATGATGATATTAGATATTAATCATTATTTTATAAAGAGAAGACTTAATGAATACATCTGATGAATGCATTGGTTATAAGGCTAATAGTTTTACATATAAGCTAGAAACAAAATGAGTCTGTTTGTGAAATTATCTCCTCTACTCTAGTGGAAGAATCTGTAGTGAGATTACTAATAAAGGACTAATGTTTTATCATTTGATTTGTTCAGATGGGTAATGCAAAAAAAACTTTAGCCTTCTGTGAAGTAACCTTAGGAGTATAAGTGAATGAAACGTATTTGAACTTTTACTAACCATAAATATTGTGGCTTAGCTTTGTAGATACACTCATCAAAGTTCGAAATAGACACCATAATGTAGTCCCTACAATGGCACAAGGAATCATAGAGTATAAAGATGCCTGTACAGTTGACCCAGTCACCAATCAAAATCTTCAATATTTCTTGGATCGATTTTACATGAACCGTATTTCTACTCGGATGCTGATGAACCAGCACAGTAAGTTAGCTCATCATGATCATGGTATATAGACATGGGTGTAGAATATAAGCCATACTATAACTAGATGTCTCACTAATCAGCGGGTCACATTCTCAGTGATAGTACTAATCATTATCCTGAATTTTATAACAATTTTTTTTTGTTTTTATTTTTCAACAGTTCTTATATTTAGTGACTCACAGACAGGAAACCCAAGCCACATTGGAAGCATTGATCCTAACTGTGATGTGGTAGCAGTGGTCCAAGGTATGTTCTGTATTTCTGCACTTCCCTTATTGAAAATGTACAATATATGATTGACATATCTATAATTGAGGTGACTCTGTGAATGAATTTATATTCACAGAGTGTTCCATTTATTTTATAAATGTTATCTTCAAGGTCCTTTGCTTTTGAGAGTCAGTAGTATAAACATTCCTCTAAAATATTATTTAAAAATCCAAATATAAGTGACTAACATGCCATATTTTATATGTTGTATTTAGTCTCTGAAGTGCACATATTGCTAAAACTGCAATGCAAACACTGTCTTAATTTTTCTTCAATAAAATATTAAAATATATTTTTATATACATAAACCTGTACCTTAGTGAATATTTTAGATTAGGGTAATACAGACACTGAAGATTATTTGAGAACTGTACTTGGCATAAACTCATTTCATTGTTATAAAAAACAACTTCTATTCCAGATGCCTTTGAGTGTTCAAGGATGCTCTGTGATCAGTATTATTTATCATCTCCAGAATTAAAGCTTACACAAGTGAATGGTAAGTTATAAGTAAAATATATTTTAACCTGTGGAAAATTCTGTGTTCTCCTAATATTATTGCTTTTTGTAAATATAAAGCAACTTCTGTGTTCATTTTTTCTCTTGCCTAAAGTTTGTACACATTTTTTTTGAAGACAAGGTTCTCTTTAACTATCTCAACTGGAAGGCTCCAATTCTGCCTATTCAGTTGCTAATGAGGATTCATAAAGAAGAATGTTTTGAACAAATAATATGGGATTAAAGTAGCAACTATATTCCAATATCTTAGATCAAAGAAAGATTACTTCCTATAGAATATGAGGGATAAAGAGACCAGAAGTAGGGAGGATATAGCAGTGGAAATATCCTCTTAAAGAGGTTACCCATAAGACCTGGAGACAAAAATACTTTAAATTTCACTATAAGAAATAAGCCAGTGACAGATGCATGATTCCACTTATATGAGATGTATAAAATGGTCACACTCACAGAAGCAGAGTAGAATGGTAGTTGTCAGAGGCTGTGAGGAAGGGGAAAATGGGGAGTTGCTATCCAACAGATAACGAAGTTTCAGTTATGCAACATGAATAAATCCTAGAGTTCTGCTGTTCAACATAGTGCTTATAGTTAAGGATATTGTATTGTACACTTAACATTTTGTTAAAAGGGTAGATCTCATGTTAAATGTCTCCACCCCAATACAAAAAAAATTGCACTATTGTTTTATACTACTGTTTTGGAAGCAGAACATACTTCAAAAATCTTCAGCTCAGCTGGGTTCAGTGGCATACACCTGTAATCCCAGCATTTTGAGAGGCTGAGGTGGGAGGTTTGCCTGAGCCCAGGAGTTCAAGACCAGCCTGGGCAATAAAGGGAGACACTGTCTCTACAAAAAATAAAAATTAGCCAGGCATGGTGGCACACACGTGTAGTCCCAGCTGCTCAGGAGGCTGAGGTGAGATGATCACTTGAGACCAGGAAGTCAAGGCTGCAGTGAGCCATGATTGTCCCACTGCACTCCAGCCCAAGTGACAGAGTGAGACCCTGTCTCAGACAAACAAACAAACAAACAAAATTTCAATTCTGACAAGGTCTTCCCATACTGTCTGAATGACTGAAGTGACTACATGATGAACGAAAGGCACTATTTTCACCCCTTCCCATTCTGTTCTGGTAAATAGTTGCATCTTAAAACAAAACAGTATACTTAAATTGGAATTACCTTCTCTTTTCTATTTAAAGTAAACATCTTTCTCAAGTAATATTTATACAGGAACAGTTTTTGTTTATGGTGACAGTTAAAATCAAGTTGCTCAAAGAGTAGCCTAACAGATTAGGGACAAGCAAATGTAAATAAATACCAAAAGTAGAAGAGCAAATAAAGAATGGAACGTATCTCTGAGCATAAACAGGGTTGTTGCATAATACTTGTAGATAAACTGCTCCAACTGTTGGACAAAATAAAGAGGGGATTGTGCCAGACCTTGTGTTTTCTGATTCGAACTTTGCCAAGGCCTGGAACGCTGAAGAATAATACTTTTATTTTTCTTTTCTTTCTAATTTTATTTTACTTTTTATTTTTCTTTCCAAAAAGCATTAAGAGGTTTTTGTTTGTCTGTTTCCTTTATCCTCTTGGTAAAATTTTAGCATATTTAACATATAAGATTTAATGTTTGGGTGATACAAAAAACAAGAAAAATCAGGTGTGTTATTTTACTAAATATTAAAAATATGAAAATTATAGTTAGCATTAATTTCAATATTATGCTATAAGCACAGTTTTCTCCCTTCTGTCTTAAAATACATAAAATTTTGACTCTGAAATTGTGCAGTACAAAAATGTTGAAAATAGAAATAATCCACAAAATCTAATTTATAGCACTGTTCTTCCACACTTACCCAACTTCACACATTTGTGGAGAAATACAAAAATTAATCATATGGAGCAAGGTGGTTCATGCCTATCATCCCAGCAGTTTGGGAGGCTAAGGCTGGAGGATCGCTTGAGGCCAGGAGTTTAAGACTAGCCTGGACAACATAGTAAGACCCTATCTCTACAAAAAAAAAACAATTAACAAAAGAGCATTATGTAGCAACTACAACAACATTTTGAATATAAGCCAGTAATATTTACTGTTTAAGTGGTAAGTTTCTAGGGCAGGATTTGGGGATGGGGAAGGTAGAGAATATGCCAACCCTCTTGAAGTCTAAAATGTTAATCACATGAATGTGGTGGTTTATTTTAGTGAAGTATTTGTTTACAAATTCTTAATGAATTTTATTTTTCTAGGAAAATTTCCAGACCAACCAATTCACATCGTGTATGTTCCTTCTCACCTCCATCATATGCTCTTTGAACTATTTAAGGTATGATACTTCACAATAATTGAAATTTTACCTTTTAAAAAGGTTTAACAGTTATATTTTTATCTCCTTTATTATTCGCCACAAAACAGAAGCCTCAATATCTTTTCCCAAGAATGCTTCTAGTCCTCCTAAGAGAAAGAAACTATACAGTCAATGTTTGACAAAGTACATGTAGCTCATTGTAGCATCAACACATATTTGAGAATGCATCATACAATTCATGATGTATCAATGCTTTACAGCCAAGAGGAAGTTCTTATTATTTTTTCAGGTGCCCATTAAAGAACTAGTCATTTATTCATTCATTAAGAGAGGTCATGGGGTGAATGTTTCAGTGAATGAGGCCTTGTTACCTCCACCCCCACAGGCTGGTCCTACTCCTAACTCAGCAGTTCAGGTCCAGAATTCCTGTAGGTGGTATGGCTCCATTCAGAGTCCAGAATGTGCTAAGAGCACAGTCAGTAGTTCCTTCAATCATCTACTTTAAAGTGCATATGAATCACCTGGGGACTTAGTTAAAGTGAAAATTTTGATTCAGGAAGTCTAGAGTGGGGCCTGAGATTCTCAATTTTGAATAAGCTAAGGGGTGATGCTGCTGGTCCACAATGCACACTTTGCCTAGCAGGCCTGTAGAGTTGTGCTTCTCAAACTGTAATATGCATTAGAATCGCCTGCAGGGCATGTTAAAACACAGATTCTTGGGCTCTACCCCAGAGATTTTGATTCTTCAGGTCTGAGAATGTGCATTTCTAACAAGCTCTCAAAGGATACAGATGTTACTGGTCTGAGGCAGCCAGGTGCTAAGAATCAAATCCTTTCATGCGTCCTAAGATTAAGTTAAATTAAGATCAAATTGAACTTAAACCAAAAAATAGAAAAACACCTTAAGCTTTTTGATGCTTCCCAAGAGTCCCCTGAATTGGAGAGAAGGAAGCCTAAAAAAGACAAATCTGCCTCTAATTCTGACATAACTCTTTCCAGAACTTCCTGTTTCCTAACTTATTCTAATGTTACTGCTGTGAGGTACTGACTGTACTACAAACATCTGATCTACTTTATTTCACTACAGCTAATGACTAGAACTTAATATTATTTAAAAACCA
The DNA here is from genome assembly GCF_000001405.40 of Homo sapiens. Taxonomy (NCBI): domain Eukaryota; kingdom Metazoa; phylum Chordata; class Mammalia; order Primates; family Hominidae; genus Homo; species Homo sapiens. The sequence goes on along the minus strand of NC_000007.14, from coordinate 95,588,536 downwards.
GAAAGCAGAAAGTAGACAGGTGGTGAGAAAGGAAAATGGGTTAAGAAAACCAAGACTGTATCTGTATGAGATTCAGCCAATAGACGGAAAACATCTTTTAGTTTGTTCTGTGTTAAAGGACAAAGGATACTTTTTCATTGATTTGATTTATTTTTAAGTTGAATGATACAACTCATAGAGTTATTCTGCCATCATTGGTAAAAGTTAGATGATAATCAAATGCAAATTGAAATTCAATTTAGAATTATTGACTGTCCTTTTAAATAGTAACAACCTTTTCACAGCAAGTTTTATGAAAGCCAATAAATTGGTTCAATGATTTCACTGTTCATTTGTTATATAGTAGTCTTTGGTGCTTGGATGTAAAACGTAATAGAAAGATAGAAAAGGGAGAGCTAGGAAATGGACTATAAAAACCAATTTCTACATTTAAATTAAGCTTACAAATAAGAACTTGACAGCTAGCAGAATTGGTTTCCATTAGACATTACTCCCAGGAGCTATATTACATAGTAAATGAATATTTTTCATTATACATCCTACATGACCCATTCATAAATGGCTATTTACAAAGCTGTTTTACTACTAACTTAAAAAAATAGGAACTTTGAATTACCCTCTGTGCTACTTTTATTTTAAACATAAAAAAAAAAACATTTATTGTCCCTCATTCCTCTGCCATTGAATTCCTTATGGTTTGCTTTGTTTTAGAATGCAATGCGGGCAACAGTTGAACACCAGGAAAATCAGCCTTCCCTTACACCAATAGAGGTTATTGTTGTCTTGGGAAAAGAAGACCTTACCATTAAGGTAACCATTCTCTGTTTTCCTTTTGGGTGTCTCTTGAGAGAATTAAATAGGGTCAATAGTAATAAAGCTGTCTGCTTTTTGCAATAGATAACAGTCATATATGCCAGGTGATTTTTAAATGAAGGAAAGCCATTTTTATTTAGACAAATGCACATTGTTTTTAATGTGTGGCTTTGATGACTTGTTTGTTTGTTTTAGATTTCAGACAGAGGAGGTGGTGTTCCCCTGAGAATTATTGACCGCCTCTTTAGTTATACATACTCCACTGCACCAACGCCTGTGATGGATAATTCCCGGAATGCTCCTTTGGTAAGAACAATTATATGGCTAAATTAATCTCAGCCACCTAGTTCTAAATGTAGAGCAAGGATTGCAAGGGATTATTTAGACAAGTTCATCAATTAAGTAAAATTAGACATGAAGGATATAAGAATGAATGATAAAGCAAGCTAAAAATGGTGAAACAAGGGATGTCTGATTGGAAGTAGAAGATATTTATTTAGGTTCTAGGACATTAGTATCAGTGAGGACAGTAATTTCCTGCTTGTTTGTATTTCAGTGATCACATACACTTCTTTACCTGATAACGTCTCTCTTCTCTAGGCTGGTTTTGGTTACGGCTTGCCAATTTCTCGTCTGTATGCAAAGTACTTTCAAGGAGATCTGAATCTCTACTCTTTATCAGGATATGGAACAGATGCTATCATCTACTTAAAGGTATCCCTTGAATTCAATAGCAAAATCCTGTTTCTAAAACCATTGCTCCTTTTATAGCCTTGAGTGCTATGGTCTGGAGTGAATTCCCCAAACTGAGTTAATGCAAATAATGACTACAGGTCATTCATTCTCTTCTCTTTCTGGGTGTGTGTACATTATTTAATATGATAACTTACCAAAGAGGAAGCTGGGCCATACTACCTGCCTCAAGTGAAGCAAAATTGTTTCCTAAGAAGGTTAATACATTACCAAAGTTTCAGAATGAGGACATGTTCATGTGAATTTTTTAAGGCAACTCCTTTTGGCATCTATGAGAGTAGCTGTGCTTTTATTTTACTTAGATTTGTGGGAAATATATGCTAATAATGTTCCAGCCTGAAAAAATAACAGGTATCAAGATACTCAAGTCCTTAAGCTGACCTTGTTAGAAATCCTGGGAAAGGAAAGCTGACTGTTCCAAAGCTGTCAGTGGGGTGCCAGACATTCACTGTTTGAACTTAAAAACTTGGTGCATGTTGGCTGGGCACAGTGGCTCACGCTTGTAATCCCAGCACTTTGGGAGGCCGAGGCAGGTGGATCACAAGTTCAGTGGTTCTAGACCAGCCTGGCCAACACAGTGAAACCCCGTCTCTACTAAAAATACAAAAATTAGCTGGGTGTGGTGGCGGGTGCCTGTAACCCCAGCTACTTGGGAGGCTGAGGCAAGAGAATTGCTTGAACCCGGGAGGCAGAGGTTGCAGTGAGCTGAGATCGTGCCCCTGCACTCCAGCTTGGGCAACAGAGCTAGACTCCGTCTCAAAAAAAAAAAAAAAAAACCTTGGTGCATATTTTCCTGTTTCTGGTAAAGCCTCAATTTCTTTGTTAAGATCACTGTCTTGATTCTGTTCATTTGCTGACTATTTCAACTGAAAATATAGATATTAGCAACTAAAACATTAAACTTTCAGGCTCCCATTTTTTGCACTGGAATTACTTGCCAAATGGCCTTTTCACCATCTGAAATAGTTAATGTATTCACTTCTTAAATGAGCAAAAGTCTTCAAACTATTAAGAAAGAGCCATAGACTGAGTGCAGGCACCAGTGTGCTCTTATTACTGTGTCAATTAAATGAATGTATTTGAATGTTTGGATACTTACCTCTGAATGTATTTTGAGTAATAACTTCAAGTGCAAATTATGCCATGCATAATTTCTTTGGTCTCATGTTTTTCCCCCCTTTTCTTTTAGGCTTTGTCTTCTGAGTCTATAGAAAAACTTCCAGTTTTTAACAAGTCAGCCTTCAAACATTATCAGATGAGCTCTGAGGCTGATGACTGGTGTATCCCAAGCAGGGAACCAAAGAACCTGGCAAAAGAAGTGGCCATGTGAAGAGGGACACTCAGGACACTTTACGGGATCAAAGTGGGTCTACACCAGTGCTGCTTCCTGAATGTTTGTGTGTGAACCCTTGTTTCCTCCAAAACAAACGACAGCAACGAAAACTCCTTAATCAGAACACTGATCCAATGAGGAATGGAGCTTGTTTCTGTGACCCAGGAGAACTTAGTGCAAGACTACAGGAGTTAACAGATGGCCAGCTCCTTATTTTTTAATGTAGAATAACTCCTGAGTTTATATCAAATCCTGAAGAAATAAGCCTCAGTTTTCCATCTGTTTTTGATAAGAATAAGAAAGGGAGTGAGTGTGAAGATGGTGGTTAGCAGTTTCACTAAGACTGATATTTTAGGCCTCTTGTTCACATCAAAAGATATTGGTGTCAGAATACCAGCATTTTCCTGCCATGCAAAGGATTAAAACTTAGTTTACACTATGTGGTTACAAATATATGTCAATGTACATTTTGAACATATTTATGTGCTATGGAAGGAAATGCTGGTGACTAAAATAAGGTTTACTCTGAAAGAGGAGGAATTTTATTCAAAGCATTCAAACATTTTATTCAAGTGTTTCAAAATTCAAAGCATTGTATTCAAAGTTGCAGTGAAGGCATCAACTTATGTAAAAACTCAGAAGGAAGGCTCCTCTGATAAAAACACAGCTCCTTTATTATGCTGCTTTTCTTGTTCACTTTACACACTAAGTAAACACTTATTGTCAGGTGCCTAGTCTTGAGTGAATTGTTAGATGTGCACTGAACTCGGGATGTTGGGGATTGGAGAGAGAGAATTGCCAAAGTAACAGCAAAAATATCTCTTACTTTGCTTTGTTTATAAATAAATTAGTAGATTGGAAAAACTAGTGTTAGGGAAAGAAATCACATGTTCAGAGCCTAATTCAGTAGGAAGGGCTTTTCTCTACCCTGAAATGAAGGTAATCCAAAGGCATCCATTTTCTAGGCTTAAAAGATATATTTTTGATATATTTAATTATATTCTCTACACTCCAGCATTAATATGTCTGTTTAAAAATTACTAATTCTCAAATGGCTCAAGAACATTAGAATTTAAGTACCTTTTAGAGTAATTATTTTAAGCAAATAGCCTGGACGTAAGAGATTCTCATGCCAGCATGCTTTCATTTGTCAGTTGTTGTGACTGAGAGATAATGAATGACACCTGAAATGCATATGGTATTTTTGGGAGAGTTAAGGTATAATTTGAAGGTTGGCAGACCAGTTGCGCTGATTACTCTTAGAGAAGAAGAAATGGAAAAATGAAAGAAGGCAGGAAGGAAAGAAAGGATATAGGAAGAGAGGGAAGCAGAAGGCAGGCATTTTTCTATTTTCCCCACAAATTATTTCAAAAAAAATCTGTATTTTCTGGGATATGTCATTGGCAAGAGGAAGAACTGGTGTTTTGAAAGCAGTATGGATTCTTTAAATGCCTCTCACTCTTACAAGATAGTAGGCTTTGAGATAATAAACTTACCCGTGTCAATTAACATTTAAACTGGCATATAGAAAAAAAGGAGGATTTTTCTGCATTGTAAAATAATCAGTATGGTTTATATGTTGAATTTGACATTTGTGTGTAATTTCATGGTGGCCTAGTGTTGTGGTGCTTCTGGTAATGGTAATAGAAGCTCAACTATTTTTTTGTGGATTTCAGTTTTTATCATCAGAAGTCCTAGACAGTGACATTTCTTAATGGTGGGAGTCCAGCTCATGCATTTCTGATTATACAAAACAGTTTGCAGTAGGTTATTTGTCATTTCAGTTTTTTACTGAAATTTGAGCTAAACATTTTTACATGTAAATACTTGTATTTACCAAAGATTTAAATCAGTTGATTAATTAATTAACTCAAATACTGTGAACTATCTCTAAAACACTAGAAAAAAGAAATGTTAGTATCTCAATTACACCAACTGTGCAAATGAACTTTGATAAAATAGAAATAATCTACATTGGCCTTTGTGAAATCTGGGGAAGAGCTTTAGGATTCTAGTAGATGGATACTGAATACTCAGGCCCACTTAAATTATTAATGTATACATTGTGTTTTTGTCTTTATGCTATGTACAGAGAAATGTGATAATTTTTTATAATAAATATTTTTTATGATGATAAAAGACATTGTGTTTTAAAGTTCTTTTCTCAATTTACCTCAAGGTACTAAGAATTTGAGTTACAATAACACAGTACAATGGTGTGTTTGCCTACAAATTTGTATTCAATAATCATTTTTGCAATGCATATGTTTCTGCATATTTCTGGAAATTTAAAGTTTCATTTTATGTCTGTGTTTGCATACAAACAGTGGAGTACCAAAATAATTATCTAGATAGCTTAGGTTCCCAATGACTTCTGGATTAAATGTCAGAGTAATAATAAGGTGGAAATAGGATAGAGATTACTAAGTTAAATTGTGGTATGTATTATCTTTGCTCTCTTTAGTGCTTTTCTTTACTATTTTAATCCTACTTTATCATAGACAACTTCCTTTGCCCACCTTCCTAATGACCTTACTGGCAAGGTTCTACAAATCGGGGGCTGGGGTGGGAAGGAGGGAAGGGAAGGAGGAAAATAGATTAGAATTAAATGATAATAGTGGAATGACTTTGCCATAACTAAATTATAAATCTTGTCAAAATAATCATATTTGAGTCAAAAATGCCATCAGCCTAAGGCATTAGACCCTAAAAAATCTATAGTAAGGTTGACATTTTACTGAAAAACCTTTAGTGAGGTTGACAATGAGACTCTCCATTCCCTTGACTGCCTTCATTTCTTCCACTTCTGTTGAGGAAGCACTGCACCATGTGCAGCTAAGAGGAGCGCACACCTGCACACAGGCACAAGATCTAGCTGTACAGTTTCCTTGGACTAAGCTGTCAGGGAAGTAGGGAGTTAGTGCACTCCACAGTCTGAGAACCTTCGCTCGTGTTCTCTTAATAGCTGTAAAACTTTGAATCCTACAACTCTCCATGTCTGCACATGTATCTTTTTGACTCAAGTCAATGTGTATACTCCAAAGAAAACTAATTTTCAACTTCAGTCAAGTGGGCCGAATTTCCACCAAAACTATCTTTAGACCATTTCTCTCAAATTCCACATTTGGCTAGGAGTAGTGTTTTATCTCAACTACCAATACATGTGCAAAGAAAGAGAAAGAGATCATGTGAGCTAGTAACCTGGACATCAATCTTGATAATTCCTTTATTCTCCTACTATACTTTCAGGGATGCACTTACATTTAGATGTATACCAACACTGAAAATGTGTGTGAAATCTCCTGAACATCTTGGTCTGTCCTGGTGGAAGAATTAAGAGACTTTTATAATTTCATAGGAGCCTATATAAGAAGTCACTAAGCCCTACTATGAATACCTAGAGCAGTAGGGTTCTATCTTCATTAGCATTCCATCCACAGATGTCTTTTTTTTTTTAACAGTTATCCCTTTTTTATCTTACATCACAGTTACTTACGCACTCAATAAACATTCACTGCCTAAATACATAAATGAACACATGAATAAACTTCTGGCCATAGAACAGTATCCCTGCATTTAAGGATAGGTTGGAACTCTGTGTTAAGTAATAGTACATCAAATTTTATAAGATCTCATGCTGGAAGACGTATTCAATAAGTTTTATAATATTGCAGACACTCTGAGATATGTTTCCAAACCAATTAAACTGCAACTCATTTTTGTTTAAATGTCACTTTCCTTTGGTGGCCTTTGGCTATGAAATTATTACATATATCACAAGAAATTAAATAATGGCTAACGTTATCACTTATAAGGAAATTTCTTGAGCAAATGGGCCAGGGCTTCAGATTTTATGAGTATTCTTTCTTTGTGTTTACCTTGGACTCAGATGAAAACGTATTACCATCCATACATCATGGCTCCTTAATGGAAATGAGTAACTGTCTTTTGGTGACATTTTTCAGTTCCTACCCAAGTGCAAATAAACATTAAAAGCCACTCAAAACCAGCAGAAATGTCAGTAGCCTTGAAAACATGTTGAATCTACTAAATGATGTGAAAATGATGTGAGCTGTCTTAATAATAAATCCAGCAACAAAATAATAAAGCTCATCAACGAATCATGAGACATCATTTTCATGTTTACTGCTACCATTAATGTAATGGAAATTACACATGACTGGTTGTCAAATAATGCAATATAGCTAGAAATTATTTATTAGCATACTGTTTTCCATAAATGTAAAAAGATACTTTAATATCTAAGACAAATAGTCTATTGAATGGCAAAATCTCAAGTTTTTATCCATTTCATATAGCTATGTTCTTTACTATGTTTCTACCCAAATATAGACAGATAGATAGAGTTATACATAGATATTTGGTAGAATTGCCCTTGATTCAATCTTTTTCTTTTAAGTTCATTTTTAAAGATAATGATTTTTTAATTATAAATATATTATTAAAAACAGAAATAAACTTTAAAACAAAAATATTTTATCACGTTCTCATGCAATTCTCTTTACCTTTTTGAGTTTCTATCTTCTCTTCTACCTAAATGAGCCTTGTACAAGAAAGGCATGCCAAATTCTAAAGTCTCTGAATGTAAGTTTTCTAGTAATTCTTTACTAAATACCCTGCCTCCAATCTCTCTTCAGTCTACCTGCACTATAATGCCAGATTCATTCTCCTAAACCAGCCTTCTCATAATATTACTGCCAACCTCAAAATCCCTTACTGGCTTCCCAGGGCCTAAGAATCTGAAATGTATATGATAGTTATAGTTTTATGCACTTCAACCTTACAATTTATATCTTCCATTACTGAACCATTCAGAATACTATTTTCTAAACATGTAACAAACATGTTTCTTTTTGCTCATTGGAAATATGCCTACCTGAAATACCCTTCCTCTGTGCTCTGTTTTTTACAATCTTCTGGGCCCAGGTTAAAGCTGACTTTCATGGACTGGGCATGCCAACATCTTGTAAACTCTCACATGGTCAGGACAATTTTAGTACTTAAAATTGCTAGGGGTGCTAGTTATATGTTATAGATAGGTATAAAGTCCAGAAGCCCAACTAGATTGTGTGTTCCCTGCAATCCAGGACTGTGAGTTACACATACCTAGGTAAAGACCATGACATTAAGCCTGTCTTTCATATAGCAGATATTAAAAAGCATTTCTTGATTGATATGTTTTCGATGAGTTGGGAAGACAGAGAAAAGCAATGGAATAATCTCTAATTGAGCAGTTTATTCTACTGACTTAAGACCAATGCCACCCATCTTAATACTTTTTAATGGCCCTCAGCATTTCTTTTTCAATCTGGGAAGGATTTATGCTTGTTTCCAGATGGATCATGGCTGAAACATATACACACAATAATTTAAACCTTTTATTTCAGGCTTAATACAAGGTCTTTGCCCTCAAAGAGTTCAGCATCCTATTAAAAATTTGAAGAGTCAAGATACAAACACGTAAGAACTTCAATTGTGACCAATGATTTTTATAACACTCCAAGGCAATGAGAAGATACCATAATACTATATATATATATATATATATATATATATATATATATATATATATATATAAAATAAAATATTTATACCTATATATAGAGAGAGAGCCAGGTAAATGCACTCACGTGAAATACTATCAAAAATTTAAAGAAAGAAAAGTGATTTCAGACTAAAGTGACTAGGTGAAAAGAAGACAATTTATGTACGGAAAATGGAAAGAAGAACTTTGAAGAAAGTATCTGGGGAGAAAGTTGGGAAGGTAAATGGGAGTTCAACTGAAGATAGTTTGAATGTCTGAATGTGGCACCTGGGGTATCAAGGAGATAACAGAATGGTAAAAAGATCCAAATAGCCCTGTTGAGTAAAATCTCAAGACCACGTATTTTGTTGTCAGTTCATTTACAAAATACAGTGTAGCAATTAGTACAACTTTCTGAAATGAGAATGTAATATTCAGATAACTAAAAAGAGCATTGATATACGTTGACTGATGAGTTGAAACAATGGATTTGCACCCAAGTGTCGTAGTTATCAGACATGTAGACTCTGGAGCTGGACTGCCTAGCTTTCCATCCCAGCTCTGCCACTTCATAGCTATTGGGAGTTACATAATTTCTCTCTTCCTCAGTTTTCTGATCTGTAAAATGGGAGTAGTATTACAGCCTCTTCCTTATAGGGGTGTCATGAAAATTAAAATGAGTTCATATACATAAAGTATTTATAACAGTGCTTGGCACATAAGAAATATTATATACATGGCCGGGCGCGATAACTCGTGTCTGTAATCCGAGCACTTTGGGAGGCCAAGGCGGGTGGATTACCTGAGGTCAGGAGTTCGAGACCAGCCTGGCCAGCATGGTGAAACCCTGTCTCTACTAAAAATACAAAAAATTGTCTGGGCGTGGTGGCTGGCACCTGTAATCCCAGCTACTCAGGAGGCTGAGACAGGAGAATCGCTTGAACCTGGGAGGTGGAGGTTGCAGCGAGTGAGGTCATGCCATTGCACTCTAGCCTGGGCAACAAGAGCAAAACTCTGTCTCAAAAGACAAAAAACAAAAAAAGAAAGAAAGAAAGAAAGAAAGATATACATATTAGCTATTTTATGAATAATGCTATTTAAGCATTAGAGACTGGATCCATATATTGTTCTTAAACAAATGAGTTGATTGCAATAAAAATAAAATATGATCTTTAAGATATGAAGTCACACAGTGTAAGCATGCAATGTATCAGTGATAGCAACAAATTTGTTCTAATACACCCTATTGCTTGTTTGTGACTCTTGGGTTCAGTTTTTAGGTCAAAGTATGGTCTGTGACCTGAAACTGCTGAGCAAGGCTGAAACCTGTTCAGACAGGGATCAAACCGAGACCTTGGCCTCTTCAGTAATGCTATCCAACCAAACCTGGGTGGATAGTGGTGCCATATGTTACCTAATGAGATCTATTAACTCTTTTAGGTCCCTTTGAGAGCACTGCAAAGCTGCACCTCCCTGAACACAGAGGAGAAGCTGGCTCACTACACATTATAAACATATACCTAGACAGCCTAACACAGCACTTAGCCCAGAGCGCACTCTCAATAATTGTTTGTCTAGCGGATGAAAGGAGGCTTAAGAGGTTAAAGTAACAATTAGGCTTCAGTTTTTCCCTAGGCAGCCTCTTTCCCCTTCTAAATATCATATTTCATCTTGTGAAAGTAGGACCTTCAAATGATAACAAAAGCAAAAAAACAAAGTTCTTTAAAAGCTTTGAAAACAGTACCCTGGCTTGTTAGAAAGCAGAGAATATTTTCTTACTTTTTTTCTTAGAATATCTGACAATAGTTCTTTGTAACTAAAAATATACCTTGCAATTTATGTAGAATCAGATGTTATTCTTTTTATATAATTCAGATAGTTCCAGGCAGAATCTTCATTTATCATGCACTAATTTGGGGGAAATTAGTTTAGGGATAAAACTTGTCATAATACTTAAAGAAAAGCTTTCTTAACCAGACAATAAAGTTGATCTGATTTCTTTTGAACTATATTTTTCAGTAGCCGTAAAATATGTTTTCAGGTATTAAAATAGAAGTTGGCTTCACTAGACTTTCTTTTCTCTCCGAAATCTTTTTAAATTGAATAGTAAATAGGAAAAAATCTATAGAACTTATGTGTCCTGTACTTTTCTAAGGATTTTGGGCTCGCGCCTGTAATCCCAGCACTTCGGGAGGCCGAGGCGGGTGGATTGCCCGAGCTCAGGAGTTTGCGACCAGCCTGGGCAACACAGTGAATCCCCAACTCTACTGAAATGTACAAAAATTAGCCGGGCGTGGCTGCGTGCGCCTGTGGTCCCAGCTACTCAGGAGGCTGAGGCAGAAGAATTGCTTGAACCCGGGAGGCGGAGGTTGCAGTGAGCCGAGATCGCACCACTGCACTCCAGCCTGGGCGACAGAGTGAGACTCGTCTCAAAAAATAAAAAGAAAAAAAGAAAAAAAGAAAAAGAAATTAATACTTTTTTAATCACAACAATCCATTATGTTAACTCCTACATACAAATTGACTCCTTTTATTCTCACAATAACTGTGTATTTTTACCCCACCTCATGTTACAGATCGGACACTGAGCCACAAAGAAGTCGAATAAACTGGCCCTATGGAGGGGCAGAGCTGGGATTGGGGAACTAAGGCACTATATACTCCAGAGCCTTTGCTCTGTAGAAACAGTCCTTCTTCAAGGAATGCACCCAGGACAGCACCAAGGCAGCGGAATGCCCGAGGCCATGCAAATGAGTAACCCATGACTAGTCTCCAGGGGAGAGGAATACCCACACTGGCCTCATCAGACTTGACCCAATTCCACCAGCTTTAGGTCGCTGGAATTCTTCAGACAAATATTTCAAGAAAGCCCTACCTACTTGCAGAGCCATCAGCAGCTTTGGGTTGTTAGATCAGCTCCCACATTCTACTGAATGACATTTACCTATTCTTCAGGCACTAAGACAATTCACTTACCTCTTCAACCAGCCATTAACAAAGATTTAAGTACCACATACTGCCAGGCACTAGGAACTCCATAATGAATCACAAGGATTCCTACACCCAAGGGCATTGTAGCCTATTTCTGAACATAAAAATTCAATTTACAAATACTGTTGTTTTAATATCTATATTTATTCATGATTCTGAGAATACAAACATGATTTCTGGGGCTGGGACTAATTATTTGTACTTACTTATATTAATAATGGCATCAGCTTCCCTTACCCTAATTTATCCCCCATTATAAGGTAACGCAATAAAACCCAGATGTCACCTTACACTTGCTGGGGTCTGTAGTATAGGTAAAGAATTCCATAAGAATCTGAGAGTTCTTATAGAAGAGGGACACTTATCTCCCTCTTCTCCTTCTGAGACAGAGAAAGAAGCCTATGGTTCCTAATGTACACAAACTCTCTTTTGGGAGAGAATAGGAAGGATCCTGGGTTCTAACCCTTCAGCATGTAAGTAAATGTCTATAGGGGAATATAAGACAAGTTTCTCCCTGTTTTACAACCCCTGGATTGTCTTCATGCTCCACCTTTTCTCATGTCTTCTCATCACCCCTTGAAATAGAAGCATATCTCTAGGGAGGCAAGTCTCTTACTATCTTATTCAGTTATCTTTAAGTTTCAAGGCTTGTCCTTGAATCCAAATCCCAGTAAAATTTGCCCCAAAATCCCTAACCATGCAGAGACATGAAAATGCCCATGCTTCTTTACTTCCTTCTGGTATTTGGTCTTCAGAAAGGTTCTCCAAGAGGAAAAGATGGCAATACCTTCCCCAGGACAATGACTATGCCCAGCTTTGGTTACATGCCTTTTTCTGAATCAACCAATGTCAGTGTAAAGGAGAAAAACCAAAAACACCTTTTTCCTTGACCATCTTAGATTCACTGTCTGGGGCCCTGCAGATTGGACTGACAAACGACAAATTAACAAGATAAAAAGCAGAGTTTGTTAATACATGTCTCATACAGTCCCAGAGGAAAACTCAGTGATGAGTGACTCAAAAGGATGCTTAGAACTTGGGCTTATATTGCATTTTAAAAAAAAAAAAAAAACAATAAATTTGTAGGAAAGTGACAAGACAGAGAAAAGTCTTTGGATTCCCAGGGCAGCAAACCATAAAATGGTTAACATGTGGGTGAAACTAACAGAACAAGTTTTGTGTGTCCAGGTTGATCTCAGCACCCATTTTCTATCTTCTTCATGGCCATAAAACTTCCCTGAAAGAGGATATTTGTGAAGTCTTCATTTTTCAAAATTTTCTGCTTTTAGTCAAATAAGGAAAGCTCTGAGAAAACTTCCTTCTGCATTAGTTAAATCTCAAATGTCTTTAAGCTCAAAATGATCCTTATGCCAAAGTGGCATAGTTGGAGTTGGCATATTCTGATCCCCTATGCAGTCATGTGGCTGGAACATTCTGATTGTCTAAGGTGGGGCCATGTGCCTACCACCCATGGGGCTACAAGAATAAGGATGTGGTGACAATTGGCACAATTCAAACCATTTAAACTGAGCAGGATGATTATGAAATATGGAGAGATGCCTCCCCACAGGAAAGGATGATGGCAAACCGAAGACATAGATCCACTCCAGCAGGAAAGGCTGAGGTCCAGAGCATGGCTGGGAGGATTTTCACTAGCTCCATTATAGCAAAACAAAACAATGTGAGATATAGCTAATTGTATTTGGGGCTGTGAAACTTATCTGTAGAGAAAAGGAAAGATGAAAGGATCAGAGGTTAGAGGATAGGGAATAGCTTTGAAATAATGGCAGAAAGTGAGAAAGTGAGCTGATAAACATGGTAGATTCAGTGGGGATAGGAGAAAGGTTGTTGACTAATCTGCTTAATTGCGTAAATTTTTTTCATTGTATGCTCAATAGTTTGGATTAGGAGTCAGCAATTTTTTTATTTTTATTTTTATTTTTTATTTATTTATTTATTTATTTATTTATTTATTTATTTATTTATTTGAGACAGAGTCTCACTTTGTCACCCAGGCTGGAGTGCAGTGGTGCGATCTTGGCTCACTGCAACCTCTGCCTGCTGGGTTCAAGCAATTCTCCTGCCTTAGCCTCCCAAGTAGCTGGGACTACAGGCATGTGCCACCATGCCCAGCTAATTTTTTGTATTTTTAGTAGAGACGGGGTTTCACCATGCTGGCCAGGCTGGTCTCGAACTCCTGACCTCATGATCCGCCTGCCTCAGCCTCCCAAAGTGCTGGGATTACAGGCATGAGCCACCGCGCCCGGCCAGCAAATTTTATTTTCTGTAAAGGACCAGATAGAAAATATTTTAGATCACACATAGCCTCTTTCACGTATTTTTCTTTGCTATTTTAACAATCCTCAAAAAGTAAAAATTGTTGTTAGCTCCCTGGCCAGGTTCTAGTTTGATGCAAGCAAGGAAAGCATGGAAGCTTCCACTCATCTACAGTTATGAATTTTCCTGGTAAATAAAATGAAAAGAAAGAGGCAATAAAGTTTAGAGTATAGTGAACAAAATAATGGAAACGTTGAGTCCACTGGACAGTGAAGTCACCAATCATTCATTACGTATGAACAAAGCAATTACCATTGGTTAGGTATCTGCCATGTGCTGAACACAAAATTAGACGCCGGGATATAATGATAGTCAAAAAAGGCATAATCACTACCTCATGGAGCTTAGCATTTAGTGGGCAAAACCAAAGATTTTGTTTGTTTCTGCTTTTGCTTTTTGAAACAGGATCTCGCTATATAGCCCAGGCTTGTCTCCAACTCCTGGGCCCAAGTGATCCTCCCACCTCAGCTTCCCAAGTAGCTGAGATTATAGGCACATGCCACCTCACCTGGCTAATATTAAAATAACACAAATAAAAATATAATTATGCCTTGATTAGTATACAATGGGTACAAATTTTGCACTATAAAATTGCAAGAAATATCATAGTCCTTTATTCCAGAAGTTTAATCCATAAAAGAGAATTGGTAAGTGGGACTTTATCAAAGTATAAAACTTCTGCTCTGTGAAAGTCACTGTTAAGATATTTAAAAAGAAAAAACAAGCCATAGACTGGGAGAGTATTTTCTGTGAAACATATTTAATAAAGGACTTGTATTTAAAACTTACAAGAAACTCTTAAAATTCAATAATAAGAAAACAGATATTTAAAAATAAGAGATCTGAACAGACACATCAATAAAGAAGATATAGAAATAGCAAATAAACATATTAAAAGACTCAAGCACCATTTTGTAATTAGGAAAATGCCCAAATTAAAACAAAAATGAGAAACCACAACACACCTATTAGAATGGCTAAAATCTTAAACACTGACAATATTGTATGCTGGCAAAGACACAGAGCAACAGGAACTCTCCTGGTGCAACCACTTTGGAAGACAGTTTGGCAATTTCTTATAAAGCTAAATATAGTCTTACCATACAGTCCAGCAATTATGCTTCTAGGTATAGGTATTAACCCAAGTGATTTGAAAACTGTCCACACAGAAATCTGTAAACAAATATTTATAGTGACTTTATTAATGATCACCAAAAACTAAAAGTAGCCAAAATGTCTTTCAATAAGTGAATTGATCAATAAATTATACATTAATAAGATGGAATATGTATGGAATACTATTTAGCAATAAAAATAAATGAGCTCTCAAGCAAATGCTAAAAGGCATGGATAACTCTTAAATATGTATTTTGTAAGTGAAAGAAGCCAGTTCGAAAAGTCAAAATACTATATGATTCTATTTATATGATATATGAAAAAGGCAGAACTTGAGAGATGGTGAACAGATCAGTGGTTGCCAGGGACTCAGAATGGAGGCATGGAAAAGTGACTAGGTGAAGCATGGGGCTTTTAGAGCAGGGAAGCTACCTTGTATGATTCTGTAGTGGTGAAGACATGGCACAATGCATTTGTCAAAGACCATGGAACTTTACATCACAAAGAATGAATCTTGATGTACGCAAATTTTTTAAATCATTTAGAAAGTCAGAGAGATCCCAGGATGGAATACAGTATATGAGAAAAGAATGTGTGTTACTAATGTGTGTACCAACTCACTGAAGAGGGTGGGAGAAAACGGGCTGACCTAAGTGATTTTGGAAATGAGAGGAGCCTGTAAGACTAAAGGCAAAAGGAATTGCACATAAGCACTGCACTCTAGTTAATAAAGTTGCTTCTATTCTGAAACCAGTATACATGTGTACTGGAATTAAATACGTACATTTATGGATGACAGATATGGAAGCCAGGTTTCTCACTGTTGAAGTGGAAAGTTATAGATAAGCAAGGGGAAAAGGTTAGAATGATCTGAGTGATAATGGATTAGAGCTGAAGACATAACTACGAACTCATAATTAGTGCAGTATATAAAAAGATATATATGGAAATATAAACACATTCATAAATATACATATATATATATACGTGTGATTATATACCCATATATTTTCTTGCTTTGTCATCTCTGAAATAATGATACCCCAGTAGCAATGAACACACCTAAGACCCAGATCTTAGTTACTAACATGGAGTTGTGCTAATAATGAATCAATGTATCAATAATATATCAATAACATACCAATACATCAATATTGGGTTCATTAATTGTGACAAATGTACCACACTAACGTAAAGTGTTAATAACTGGGGAACTGAGCATGAGGTATATGGGAACTCTCCATACTATCTTCAAAACTTTTCTGTAAATCTCGAACATTTTAAAATAAAAAGGTTATTTTAAAAAATTAAACAAGGGAGCTCAAGTTCTCCAGCCTAGTGGCTCCTCTTTTAACTCAACAACATAAAAGTCCTTGAGCCAAAAAACCCACTGAAGCTTGACTATGTTTTTGATTGGGACAGGGGAAGAAATTTCTACAGAGATAAAAGCAAAGCAAATAATATTATTTCAATACATTTTCAGCTTTCAAAATTATAAAACAGAAAGTACAGCTTATTCTGACCTTAAACAAAGGAGTGCCTAACCTAGTAATTGGAAGTGAGCAAAGGCTTCTCTGAGAAAGGAGAAATAGAGGCTAACCAGGTAAAGCAGACACTGAGGAAAGTGTTCCTGAGATGAGGGGATAGCATATCCCTAGACCCCGAGGTAGAATCAGGAAGAATCATGGTGAGTCAGAGGAAGTTAAGAATGGCCAGTGTGGCTATGGTTAAGATGTAGAGTGGGACAAGAGGGAAATTTTAAGACATTTTAAGTGGTATTCCATCATAAGTGGCCCAGTCAACCAAATTAAGAGCCATGGTCTTTATCAGAAAAGTAACAGGAATCTATCGATGGGTTTTGATGATCAAATTTAAGTTTTGAAGATAGCACTCTGGCTGCACCAAGTGGAAGAAATTGGAGCTGGGTTGGAGTAGGCAGGATGAGCACTAGGAGTTCTGTTTTGTGTTTGTGATGACTGAATATGGTAACCTGAGATAGGATAGTAGTGATAAATATGGGGGGAGATGAAGGATTCAGTGGCCAGTTAGAGTTAAAATTGAAAAGCACCTAAGATTAGGAGGAAGGCTAGGATGTTTACTCCTACCACCACGATTTGATATTGTGTTATATGTTCTAATCAGTATAATGAATCACAAAAGAGAAAAAAGGGCATACAAATTGGAAAAGAAGAAGTAAACCTGTCTTTCTTCACAGACAATGTGATCATATATATAGAAAACCCTACGGAATCTACAAAAAAAGTTGCAGGAAACAACAAGTGCGTTTAACAATGTTGTAAGTACAAAATTGCCATATAAAAATCAATCATATTTCTATAATCTAGCAATGAACAATTGGAAATTATAATTTTTAAATAAAATACCATTTGGGTAGCATCAAAAACACAAAATACTGGATAAAATTGATGAAAGATTTGTACACTGAAAACTATAAAACATTGCTGAGAGTAAATAAAGGTGATGCAAATAAATCGAGATATATTATATTTATAGATCAAAGGACTCATTATTTTTTAAAAAATCAATTCTCTTCAACTTACACTTTTGATTCAATGCAATCCTAATCAAAATCCCAGTAGGCTTGTCAGTGAAAATTGACAGACTTATTCTACAATTCCTGTGGAAATATAAAAGATATAGAAGAGCCAAAACAAATTTGAAACAGGAGAACATAGTTGAAAGACTAATAGTATCTGACTTCAAGATTTATTATAGAGCTGTAGTGATCATGACCATGTGGTTTTGGCATCAAGACAAAAAAATCAATTGGTGAGAATTGAGTTCAGAAATAAACCCACACATATATAGACAATTGATTTTTGACAAAGGTGCAAAAGCAATTCAACAAAGGAAGGATAGTTTTGTCAGCAAATGAGCCAGGTACAATCAAATATCCATATGGGAAAAAACTACACTTCAATCTCAACATATACAAAAATTAACTCCAAATAGATCAGTAACCTAAGTGTAAATCTAGAACTATAAAACGTCTAGGAGAAAACATAAAAGAAAAGTCTTTGCATTCTTAGATTAGAAAAGATTTCTTAGACATGCCACAAAAGCATGATGTATTGTAAAAAAAAAAAAGATTTGATTAAAATCGTAAATTTATGCTCTTTAAAAGACACTATAAAAAGACAAGCTACAGTCTGGAAAAATATTTGTGTATTATATATATGTTAAAGGAATTCTATACAAAATATATAGAAAGTTCTCAAAGCTCAATAAGAAAACATATAATCCAGTTTTTAAAAGTCAGCCAAAAATTTGATTAGACACTTCATAAATGAAGATATGTGGATGGAAAATAATGTTATGAAAATATGTTCAACATTATTAGTCATTAGGGAAGCACAAATAAAAAATAGGGAATACAACTACATACGTATTTGAATGACTAAAACTTGAAAGCCTGAGTATACCACTTGCTGGCAAGGATGTGGAGCAACTGGAACTCTGATATACTACTGGTGGGAATATACAATCACTTAGGAAAAATAGTCTGGTAGTTTTTCTTTTAAAGTTAAATATACATCTACCACATATTCCAGTTTTTCCAGATATCCAGAAGAAGAAAAAATAATACAGCTATACAAAGATTATATGTGAATGTTTACAGTATTTTTTCCAATAGTATCCCAAAGTAGGAATCAACTGAATTGCCCAGCAACTGGTGGATAAACACATTTTTATGTGTCTGTATGATGACATATGACTCAGCAATAAAGAGAAAAACAGTCGATATACACAATTCAAGGATGAATCTCAAACTAATTATACTGAGTGAAGAAGCTAGAACAAAGAAAAGTGTATACTTTGTGGTTCCATTTATATAAAATTCTAGAAAATGAAAATTAGTCTTTGGTGAGAGAAGCTGATCCATCAGTGGTTGATGTGACGGTGGGGGAAAAGTGGATGGGAGGGAATAAAAAGGAGTATGAGGAATTTGGGGGGTTGTAGAAACATTCATTTTCTTGATTGTTGTGATGGTTATATAAACATATCAAATTTACACCTTAAATATGTACAGTTTATCATATATCAATTTTTAAAGTATGTGTTCCAAACATTAATTTGAAAGGACTTGGTGACTGACTGGATATGCTTGGTAAATAGAAATAAACTATCAAGAATGATTCCCAGAGTTCTGGTGTAGACACCCATACACCAGTTCTGGTGTTTTGGCAGCTAGGATTCCTCATGGGGGTGCTTTGCGTTGAGTCATTGCTGCAGCACTCTACAGACAGGTGGAAAGAGGGCTATTGAAATTGAATGTTTGTTGATTATGCTCCATTGTATGCCCAGGAAGGACTGTGGGAGATGCAAAGGAAGCTTAAAAATCACAACACAGGCCGGGTGCGGTGCCTCACGCCTGTAATCCCAGCACTTTGGGAGGCAGAGGCGGGCAGATCACGAGGTCAGGAGATGGAGACCATCCTGGCTAACACAGTGAAACCCCATCTCTACTAAAAATACAAAAAATTAGCCGGGCGTGGTGGGCGGCACCTGTATTCCCAGCTACTCGGGAGGCTGAGGCAGGAGAATGGTGTCAACCCGGGAGGCAGAGTTTGCAGTGAGTGGAGATCTCGCCACTGCACTCCAGCCTGGGCGACAGAGCGAGACTCCGTCTCAAAAAACAAACAAACATGCTGTTTTGGTTACTGTAGCCTTATAGTATAGTTTGAAGTCGGGTAGCGTGATGCCTCCAGCTTTGTTCTTTTGGCTTAGGATTGACTTGGCGATGCGGGCTCTTTTTTGGTTCCATATGAACTTTAAAGTAGTTTTTTCCAATTCTGTGAAGAAAGTCATTGGTAGCTTGATGGGGATGGCATTGAATCTACAAATTACTTTGGGCAGTATGGCCATTTTCACGATATTGATTCTTCCTACCCATGAGCATTGAATGTTCTTCCATTTGTTTGTATACTCTTTTATTTCATTGAGCAGTGGTTTGTAGTTCTCCTTGAGAGGTCCTTCACATCCCTTGTAAGTTGGATTCCTAAGTATTTTATTCTCTTTGAAGCAATTGTGAATGGGAGTTCACTCATGATTTGGCTCTCTGTTTGTCTGTTATAGGTGTATAATAATGCTTGTGATTTTTGTACATTGATTTTGTATCCTGAGACTTTGCTGAAGTTGCTTCTCAGCTTAAGGAGGTTTTGGGCTGAGACAATGGGGTTTTCTAGATATACAATCATGTCGTCTGCAAACAGGGACAATTTGACTTCCTCTTTTCCTAATTGAATACCCTTTATTTCCTTCTCCTGCCTAATTGCCCTGGCCAGAACTTACAACACTATGTTGAAG
Organism: Homo sapiens; assembly: GCF_000001405.40. Classification (NCBI taxonomy): domain Eukaryota; kingdom Metazoa; phylum Chordata; class Mammalia; order Primates; family Hominidae; genus Homo; species Homo sapiens. The sequence continues at coordinate 95,568,320 of NC_000007.14, read as the reverse complement.
AGGAGTGGTGAGAGAGGGCCTCCCTGTCTTGTGCCAGTTTTCAAAGGGAATGCTTCCAGTTTTTGCTCATTCAGTATGATATTGGCTGTGGGTTTGTCATAGATAGCTCTTATTATTTTGAGATATGTCCCATCAATATCTAATTTATTGAGAGTTTTTAGCATGAAGCGTTGTTGAATTTTGTCAAAGGCCTTTTCTGCATCTATTGAGATAATCATGTGGTTTTTGTCTGTGGTTCTGTTTATATGCTGGATTACATTTATTGATTTGCATATATTGAACCAGCCTTGCATCCCAGGGATGAAGCCCACTCGATCATGGTGGATAAGCTTTTTGATGTGCTGCTGGATTCGCTTTGCCAGTATTTTATTGAGGATTTTTGCATCAATGTTCATCAAGGATATTGGTCTAAAGTTCTCTTTTTTGGTTGTGTCTCTGCCAGGCTTTGGTATCAGGATGATGCTGGCCTCATAAAATGAGTTAGGGAGGATTCCCTCTTTTTCTATTGATTGGAATAGTTTCAGAGGAATGGTACCAGTTCCTCCTTGTATCTCTGGTAGAATTCGGCTGTGAATCCATCTGGTCCTGGACTCTTTTTGTTGGTAAGCTATTGATTATTGCCACAATTTCAGAACCTGTTATTGGTCTATTCAGAGATTCAAGTTCTTCCTGGTTTAGTCTTGGGAGGGTGTATGTGTCGAGGAATTTATCCATTTCTTCTAGATTTTCTAGTTTATTTGCGTAGAGGTGTTTATAGTATTCTCTGATGGTAGTTTGTATTTCTGTGGGATCAGTGGTGATATCCCTTTTATCATTTTTATTGCATCTATTTGATTCTTCTCTCTTTTTTTCTTTATTAGTCTTGCAAAACAGCATGGTACTGGTACCAAAACAGAGATATAGATCAATGGAACAGAACAGAGGCCTCAGAAATAACGCCGCGTATCTACAATATCTGATCTTTGACAAACCTGAGAAAAACAAGAAATGGGGAAACGAATCCCTATTTAATAAATGGTGCTGGGAAAACTGGCTAGCCATATGTAGAAAGCCAAAACTGGATCCCTTCCTTACACCTTATACAAAAATTAATTCAAGATGGATTAAAGACTTAAATGTTAGATCTAAAACCATAAAAACCCTAGAAGAAGACCTAGGCATTACCATTCAGGACATAGGCATGGGCAAGAACTTCATGTCTAAAACACCAAAAGCAATGGCAACAAAAGCCAAAATTGACAAATGGGATCTAATTAAACTAAAGAGCTTCTGCACAGCAAAAGAAACTACCATCAGAGTGAACAGGCAACCTACAAAATGGGAGAAAATTTTTGCAACCTACTCATCTGACAAAGGGCTAATATCCAGAATCTACAATGAACTCAAACAAATTTACAAGAAAAAAACAAACAACCCCATCAAAAATTGGGCAAAGGATATGAACAGACACTTCTCAAAAGAAGACATTTATGCATTTATGCAGCCAAAAGACACATGAAAAAATGCTCATCATCACTGGCTATCAGAGAAATGCAAATCAAAACCGCAATGAGATAGCATCTCACACCAGTTAGAATGGCAATCATTAAAAAGTCAGGAAACAACAGGTGCTGGAGAGGATGTGGAGACATAGGAACACTTTTACACTGTTGGTGGGACTGTAAACTAGTTCAACCATTGTGGAAGTCAGTGTGGCGATTCCTCAGGGATCTAGAACTAGAAATACCATTTGACCCAGCCATCCCATTACTGGGTATATACCCAAAGGACTATAAATCATGCTGTTATAAAGACACATGCACACGTATGTTTATTGCGGCACTATTCACAATAGCAAAGACTTGGAACCAACCCAAATGTCCAACAATAATAGACTGGATTAAGAAAATGTGGCACATATACACCATGGAATACTATGCAGCCATAAAAAATGATGAGTTCATGTCCTTTGTAGGGACATGAATGAAACTGGAAATCATCATTCTCAGTAAACTATTGCAAGGACAAAAAACCAAACACCGCATGTTCTCACTCATAGATGGGAACTGAACAATGAGAACACATGGACACAGGAAGGGGAACATCACACTCTGGGGCCTGTTGTGGGGTGGGGGGAGGGGGGAGAGTTAGCATTAGGAGATATACCTAATGCTAAATGACGAGTTAATGGGTGCAGCACACCAGCATGGCACATGTATACATATGTAACTAACCTGCACATTGTGCACATGTACCCTAAAACTTAAAGTATAATAATAATAATAAAAACAAACAAACAAACAAACAAAAGATCACAACACAGTTTATATGTTCATTAAAAAAGAAACACTATAAAATGGTATTTAGGCAAGTCTTGGACAGTGTCACCCTAAATAAGTAACAGGAATAAGAAAGTGGCCTAGGAGTGGTGGCTCATGCCTTTAATCCCAGCACTTTGGGAGGCCGAAGTGGGAGGATCATTTGAGCCAGGAGTCTTGAGACCAGCCTGGGCAACACAGCAAGATCTTATCTCTACAAAATAAATGAAAAAATAAATAAATAAAAATTAGCTGGGCATGTTGGCATGAGCCTGTGGTTCCAGCTACTTGGGAGGCTGAAGTGGGAGGATTGCTTGAGCCCAGGAGGCCAAGGCTGCAGTGAGCTGTGATCATACCACTGCACTCTAGCCTGGGAAACAGAGCAAGACCCTACCAAAAAAAAAAAAAAAAAAGTGGATGGATAATGTAGGTTACGGTCATCGGGGAGCTTCTTGGAAGAAAGTAGAATTTGTGGTGACTTTTAAAGAAGTTTAGATGTTGCTAAGAGAAAAACTATACATACGTAGACATCAGAAAAGGAAAAACGCATAAGTAAAAGTCCCAAGGCCAGAATATGCATGAAATGTGTGTGTGTGTGTGTATGTGTGTGTGTGTGTGTGCATGTTTTATATACAAACCCTTATGTGTTGCAGTTGACAGGGACAGAGAAAGGCAGTAAGGTAATAACAAAGATTATTATAGGGAAATGTGAAATAGAATGTAGGATAGGTAGGATGGAGGCAGATTATTAAGGGTCTTGAAAAGTATAGACATGATCTGAAACACCATAAGTCATTATTGATTTTGATCAAGCAGCTGAATGATCAAAGTAGCATTCGATAAAAATTAGAATTGCATTTGTGTACAGCATAGCCTGGAGAGGAGACAGGCAATTTTATAGCTCTATAAAAGCGCCTTTGAAAGTTAAAACATTTTTAAAAATCTCTATAGGGCTAAACTGAAGAATTCCCAACCACATGTCATTTTCTTTCTTTCTTCTCAAAGGAATGTCAATGTGATAAGCAAAATAGTTTCACCATGTCTTCATACTTTCTTTTTTAAAAGAGTGTTAAATAACTGCTATGCTTTTTAATCTAAGGAGCTCAGGCACAAGGACTTGAACTTCCATCTAGAAATTTTATTGTGGGAAAATTTCCTGTGAAAATGTATACCACTTATTTTCACTTGGTGTGTAAAAAATTCATTTCCAGGCACGGCGCGGTGGCTCACGCTTGTAATCCCAGCACTTTGGGAGGCCGAGGCAGGCGGATTATGAGGTCGGGAGATCGAGACCATCCTGGCTAACACGGTGAAACCCCGTCTCTACTAAAAATACAAAAAATTAGCCGGACGTGGTGGTGGGCGCCTGTAGTCCCAGCTACTGGGGAGGCTGAGGCAGGAGAATGGCGTGAACCCGGGAGGCGGAGCTGGCAGTGAGCCCAGATCGCACCACTGCACTCCAGCCTGGGCGACAGAGCTAGACTCTGTCAAAAAAGAAAAAAAAACTTAACTTCCAGTTTGGTTATTTAAATCTTAACATGGAGAAATTGATGTGAGATCTTTCCCCCAAAATTCAAATAACTAAAAGTTGAAAGCTAAAACCTTTAAGATTAGAGGAACTAGGGTTAGTTTGTGAAGAGCAGAATAACTGAAAACTTTTATCCCCAATAGACATGGATTTATCTTAAGGTTTATCTTATCACATAGTTCTTCTCTCTACCAAAAATAATGCAAGAACAAACACATTTGTTTTGAACTATGGTTTCAAGGAGAACTCAAAAAAGGATATTCTTATGGAAAGTGATAACCTGGGACAGATTATTAAGAAATATTATTGCACTTTCTAAAAGAGTTTTGCTAAGACTGTGGAGGTCCAATTTGAGTTTAGGCGAGACTCAAACATGTTATATGCAGAGGAAGCAGAGGTCTAGGGAAATTTGGGTTATGAATTTGAATTTTATTTTTTATTTTTATTTTTATTTTATATGAATAATTTTTATTTCTAATTGGCAAGGTGAAAAATTGTATATATGTATGGTGTATAACATGATGTTTTGATATATGTATACACAGTGGAACAATTAAATCAAATTAATATATCTGTCACTTCTGCATATATTTATCATTTTTGGTGATGAGAACATTTAAATCTACTCTCTTAGCAACTTTCAAGTGTACAATACAATATTATTAACTATAGTCACATGCTGTACTATAGTTCACCAGATCTTATTCCTCCTGTCTATTTGAAACTTTGTAGTCTTTGACCATAACTCCCCATTCCCTGCTCCCACCCCTAGCCCCAGTCCCTGGCAACCACTATTCTACCCTTTGCTTCTATGAGTTAAACTTTTTTAAATTCCACATGTAAGTGAGATCATACAGTATTTGTCCTTCTGTGCCTGGTTTTTTTCACTTAGCTTGTTGCAGATGACCCGATTTCCTCCTTTTTAAGGCAAAATGGTATTCCATTATATTATGTATACCACATTTTCTTTATTCATTCATCAGTTGATTCCCTATCTTGGCTATTGCAAGTAATGTTGCAATGAATATGGGAATGCAGATATCTTTTTACCATACTGATTTCATTTCCTTTGGATACATATTCAGAAGTGAGATTGCTGGATCATATGGTAGTCCTATTTTTAATTTTTTGAGGAACCTCCATACTATTTTCCATGAGGCTATACTAATGTACATTTCCACCAACTGCGTGCAAGGGTCCTCTTTTCTCCACATTTTTGCAAATGCTTATCTTAGAGAGGTGAGATGATAGATATCTAATTGTGGTTTTAATTTGCATTTCTCCAATGATTAGTGATGTTGAGCATCTCTTCATATACCTGTTGGCCTTTCATACATTCTGTTTGCAGAAATGTCTGTTCAGATCTTTTGCCCATTTTTAAATTTTCTTTTTTTTTTTTTTTTTGCTGTTCAGATGTTTGAATTTCTTATATATTTTGGATATTAGTTCCTTATTTCATGTATGATTTACATATATTTTCTCCCATTGCATAGGTTTTCTCTTCACTCTGTTGATTGCTTCTTTTGCTGTGAAGCTATTTTTTTGGTTTGATGTAATTCCATTTGTCTAGTTTTGCTTTTGCTGCCTGTGCTTTTGGGGTCATATCCAAAAAATCTTTGCCAAGACCAATGTCAATGTCTCTAGGTTTTCTTCTAATAGTTTTATAGTTTCTGGTCTTACATTTAAGTCTTTAATCCATTTTATGTTGATTTTTGTATATGGGATGAAATAAGGGTCCAATTTCATTCTTCTGCATGTGGATATCAAGTTTTTCCAGCACCATTTATTGAAGAGACTGTCCTTTCTCAGTTGTATGATCTTGGCACTTTTGTTGAAGATCAGTTAACTGTAAATGGGTGAATTTATTTCTGGGCTCTCTGTTCAATTTCATTGGTCCATATTTCTGTTTTTGTGCCAGTACCATGTTGTTTTGATTGCTATAGCTTTGCAGTACATTTTGAAATCAAATAGTGTAATGCTTCCAGCTTTGTTCTTTTTGTTCAAGATTGTTTTGGCTATTTGATGTCTTTGATGTTTTCATATAAATTTTAGATTTTTTTCTATTTCTGTGAAAAATGTCATTGGAATCTTGATAGAAATTGCATTGAATCTGTATATTACTTTGCATAGTATAGACATTTTTACAATATACTTTTTGATTTTTACATTTGAGAGACACTCAAATTCCAGGGCATGACTGGAAGCCAGATAAGGCAGGCATCAAAAAAATATACCCTGCAACGTGAAGCCAGGTGTGATGAACTTTGTTCAGGGGTAAGGACCCACAGTAAGAGGAAGACACAATTTTGAAAGTTTGAAATGTATTCTGTCAGTCAGATTTGTTGCCTATCTCAGTTCCTACTGAGATAGGTCAATATTTTGAAAAATATTGCTTAAGCTTTTAAGCACTGTTTTTCATGCTGCAATGCTTAGGAACTCCTCTCGCAGAATGTAATCATGGGGGTCCTCCTCCACTGTATTACTTTCCAGGGACTGCTGTAAGAAAGCACAAATTGGGTGGCTTAAACAACAGAACTGTATTGTTCTGAGAGTTTGGAGTCCAAAATTAAAGTATGAGAGAAGTTGATTCTTTCTGGGGGCTGTGAGGGAGAATGTCTTCCATGTCTCTCTCTCTTAGCATCAGGAGCCTCAGGAGTTCCTTCACTTGTTGACGGTGCTCTCCCTGTGTATTCACACCATCTTCTCTTCCTTCCGTTTCTATTCTATCTTATATGAACCCAGTCATATTAGATTAAGGCCCACCCCAATGACCTCATCTTAACTTGATCATCTATAAAGAACTTATTTCCAAATAAGGTGACAATCACAGGTCCTGGAGGGTAGGACTTCAATATCTTTTTTGGGGGATGCAATTCAACCCATAACACCCACCATCATCAACCTTATCACACACCATAACACAACTTTGGTATCAAGAGAGTTCCAGTGCTTCTGAGTTGAAGCACATCAGGACATGGAGACAGTGTAAGGTGAGATGAGAAAAAAGGAACTATTGGTAGCAAATTCAAATTGTTAAAAACCTTGGTGGATTCAGCCAGGATATCTGTGGACTATTAAAGCCAACCAGGTTGAAAAGCGTGCATTAAATTTTACCTAAGTCTACTAGACCTAAAATACTACAAATGCTGCTTTGTTATTTTTCTTATAATGTTTCCATTTTCCTCAAAAGACTTAGATATGGCTTTTTGAAATCCTTTTTTAAAATATAATTTCATAAAATTGGTTTCAATTTAGCATAATATTTTGTTTATCTTGAAAAAGAAGACGGTTGCTTTGAAAGAAAATATCATTAAGCTTTCATTTTTCTTTTTCATCCCCAAAAGAGAAAGAAAAATCACCATTTCAAAAATCAAAAACCTACTACTAGGAATATACTGTGATTAAACCTAATTTATCAGAAGCAACCAATAGCAAGGAAAACATTTGACTCCCTAGAAAGTTTTAGAAAACCTCATATACTCACATAAAGGAAAATTCCTAGAACTTAGCCCATTTCCCTTTTGCCAGAAAAATTAAAAAAAGGCACTAGGAGTTGACACTGACCTTGTAAATAGAGAGCCAAAGTTCCTGTAAAGCAAGGTTTGCTTTGTACACAGCTGAGAAGTACAGGAGCCAATAACAAAATCCAGATATTCTTCCACTCTGTGTTGCCTCACTACTTAGACTGGTCACATATTCAACAACCATGCTCACTTACAGAGTAAATCTCTGACGAGGGTAAGTTCTTTAGTCCTTCTTATTTATACCAGTTAGGAACGCTTTCAGCAGCAAATAACAAAGTAAATTAATAATAACATAAATAGATAGGGTTGTTTCTGTTTTCTTTTTTGCTTTGTTTTTACAAAATCTGAACTCTGGATACAGAGTTCAGGACATAAGTAGTGACTTAATGCTGTCACTAGGAATTGGGTCTTTCTATTCTTCCTCTCTACCATTCTCAGTAAGTTGACTTTTTGTCCTTGTTTTTATGATTTCATGGCTTCAAGATGGCTGTCATAGCACCAAGCATCCTGTCTGTGTGTAGGCTGAAAGAAAGGATCACAGGAGCCAATAAGCTATCTTTTTCATCCCTGTCTGTTTTATTATGGAACAAAGACTTTCTCATAAGCCTCTACTTAAACCCCATTTTGGTCAGATCTCAGTCATGTGATCACCCTCAGCTATAAACAAAAATGAAAAATTAAGTATATGGCAAAGGAACATAAGATCATCATGATTTTCTTAGACTAGGAATAAAAACACTACAACACAACCAAACTGTGGCTCTGTAAACAAAGGAGAATGTGGAAATGGCTGTCAGGTAGACAGAGTCTGCCAGAACCACATTGAGGGTATATTAGAAGGCTTTTAGAGAATCCTTAAATAGTAACCCATCACTGAGGCTGAAGTAACAACAAAAAGATGATTAAAACAATTAGCTACAAGAACATATAAGAAGAAAACAGAGACTGTTTACCACTTTAGGAAGCTCAAGAAAACCATTGGATAAAATGGTTTAAAATCAGAGCCCTTTATTAGAACAAGAAACATTGACTAAATTAATAACCCATATAACATAAATTAAAAACTCATATAATAATATCACTAATATGGACACAAATAAGTATTTGCTGATCCTTAATGGACATTGTCCATAACATATTTAAGTGCTGAATGCAATCATTTCAACAAGTGACCTTATGAATAATTTTACAGCATCTAGAACAGGACATTAGAAACTCTAATGTGCTTAAAAATGACCTGGCAATGTCAAAATGCAGATATTGATTCAGTAAGTCTAGGGTGGGGCCTAAGACTGAATTTCTAACAGTTTCCTGGGTAATATGAATGTTGCTGATGACACTTAAAATAGTACGGATGTAGAAAACAGTTCATATCTTTTAAATTATTTCAGCATAGCCAATATAAGTTTACTTTGGGTTGAGATTTCCGCAAATAACTATCCTTGCTTTTGGTGAGAAATATCAAGACATCAAGACTGGTCACTGGAATGTTATTAAAAAGCCTCTGATAATTGATTACTTCAAATGTCACCTTTGCTTCTTTCACATAGTGTCAGTCTTAAGTTACCAGTCTTAAGTAATTTTTCCTCTTAAAGTTATTGAAAGAAAACCCATTTCTACCATAACCTAAATGCCTTCTAAGGACACAGAATTCTTCAAAGGGAAACACTTTTTATTCTGTTGAGCCCTTTGATAGGTCTAGCTTTAAGGTTTTAGTCAAAAACCGTTTAGATGTAAACCAGTTATTTAATGTTTCTGGGTGTATTACCTTCCGCACACCTTCAGATAAAATATGAAATTAGGTACAAGTTGTTATTTACTTATCTAACTGCAGCTTCTTGAAAATAACCTTTTACTTACCGGCTAGGCAGAGCTAGAGCTGGGGGAGAGGAGGTCACATGATGCAATAAGGGATCAAGGTTTACCAGAAGGACATCAGAAGTTATGCAGAGTCCAGGAGCTGATGCAGCAATCTAACATTTACCTGCTTAAAGTGTGCAGGGATACAGAAGGCTTTCCCTTGAAAACAATAAATGTTTAAAATCAAAAGCTGCATCTTTCCTTATTTTTAGGTGCTAAAGTCCTTAACATGGAGCATGTTTTGTTGAAGTTCTTTAAATGTTTAATGATGACTGGGAAGTCAATTTCATTTGGATACCTTCAGGGTTCTCCTGTATTCTTCATACATGGTATCTATATGAATGTGTGCTGAGAGGAAAAATCAGATTTAATAATTGTGGGTAGTGAGTTGCCCACCATCTAAGAGCCGGAATTAATATCTCTACCCTCCATTTAGCTATTTCTATCTCTATTTTTATATTTCTTTCTCTCCACCCCCCATCCAGACTTCTCCAGCAAACCTTTAAAATATGGTCATTTCCTCAGAATAGAATCCACTCTAGCTGGTTTAGGCAAAAGGGATTAAATTTTTTTTTCACAGAGCATTAAAAGGTTTACAAATCACTTGAGAGATAAACAGTCTCTAGGTTGAGCATCCAGGAGAAATGTCCAAAGCCACAAGACACAACTGGGCACCTCTGAGACCAGTTGTCTCTGCCATGATAGGAAGTACCATAGTGGCTGCTGGCCACTTACCCAGCAGCTACTACCATCACAGCTCATGCTTCTCTCCCCACTTCCTTCAGTTCTAAATTCAGTTCTCATGAATACATCTCTTTGGTAGAACCTGAATCATATTCAGAACAGTAATTTCATTGAAGTCTGAAAAGTGTTAGTTTTAGCTTTCCAGGCTCAGCTGTTTAGGAAGAAAGTTGAGATGATCACTGAATTGCTAAAACTACAGGATCAGCCATAATAAGCACAACAAAATGGGCACACATCTCAAATTCATTCAAATCAGCCTATGGAATCCTAGCTTTTGGCCATTCCTAGAACGTCACTCCAATACTACATACACTAAGTTACACATTTGTTGAGACCTCACTCCTTCTAGACATGCTAAGTTTTCATCATCCATTTTCCTCACTCTTCCAGACCTATCTTGGACATTTCCTCAGATCCTCCTGGGCCTCATCTACCCTCAGCCCCAGACTGTTGCTTGCCCAGAGTCCTGATCAGAGGAGCTCAGCAATGGTTGATTGACTCATGCCATTCCAATGGTCATAAAACTCAGAAGACTCAGCATCTCTCACCCTGGTTTTTGCAGCCTTCCCTGCAAATCCTGGGGAGAAAAAGCCAGGCTTTGACATGGCCTCCATACCTCTCATCACAGCAGAAACAGCAGCAGCTCCAGTAACTAAGTTGGAGTTAGTTACTAACCCAGCAGCTGTCTGGAGGGAAGATGTGCAAGTTAACACTTTGTTAGGTCAAGTAAGCATGAGAAACAGGAGATGGAAAGAAGCCAGTAGATAGATTGTTTGCCCTTCTTTCCACCAAAGAATTTTTCTAAGGTGCCGTGAATTCATGAATCTCTCTGGAGATGTTCAGTGTAACTGAGTAACCATTTAAATTTCCTATAACCAGAGCTCAATAACATGACTTTTTGTTTCCTATCCTTCCTTTTTTGTCACACTTGCTTCTCTGGACTTGTACTCTACAATAAAGCATGTGCTCATAAGATTAACCTCAGACTCTTTTCTTAGGAACCCAAGCTAAGCTACCACCTTTGCAGAGACCACTCCCTCAATGTGGAGTGACAGTTCCTCTTCATCAGCCCACATCTAACTTCTCTTCAAAAATCTGTCTCAAGATATTCCCTTGCACAGGAGCCCATACTTCACTAATTATTTCATTACCTCTTGTCTTACCTCCTTCACTCTGTGTTTTTCTGAATATTTTTGTGATCATATTAACTTGTACTTTTCTTCACATAGTTTGCACATATTATGCATGATATTCCCCCATCCTCGAGCTGGTCAGAACATAGCCTTTTTTTTCTACCATATATTTTCTCAGTTGCACTTACGCAAAGGCTTTACAACAAGAGAGTGCCCAATTTGAATACAGTTATGGAGTATCCACCCACCCTCTAGGTTCTGCCTTACTTCAGTCAGCATTTTTTCCAAGCATGCTTTGCCTTCCTGATGCAGCTGCAGGCTTTCCAAGGCCAGTCTGCTATACCTCTCTCCTGGGGCCCTGTCCCACAATCACAATTATTCTCCTCATCCTTGTGCATAGTTCTCTTTCCACTGCTCCAGCCTAAGAAAAAAAGAAAGAAAGAAAGAAAGAAAAACACTTGTTCTGGGTCCTGTTCTTGATTACCTGGCAGATAAGTGATTTATGCCCAGTTATTAATGACTAAAAGGGTAACTCCCAGGGCAATATTCATATATTTAAGGACATCCTATGAACAGGTGCCTTAAACCAAAGTGAGCTTACTCTAAAAAGTGTAGTTTAATGGAGGAAAACCTTCTGAGCAAGATAATTTTAATTAATAATTGCACCATCAATGTTCAACATTCTAGAACTCTAGTAGATCATACTACAGACTCTTATGTACCCAAACGCCAATATTTTGTTAGTGTGATATCATTATTTTAACATTTTTAAAACCTGAGACATGAATTATTTATACTTTGAGAATTACCAGAGAGTTAAACCCAGCATTAAAAGAGAGACCTTACGATCTCTCAAGGCCTCTGAGCTAGAAAGCAAAGATGACTGGGACAGTAGCCCAAATTTTCCCAGATTAAATTCACCCTAGTTCTACTTCCTGAAAGAAGGTTTTTAAAAAACAAACAAACAAACAAACAAAAAACAATTTTCCCTGAATATTTAATGAAATAGGACCTCCTTAAAAGACAATTATAAGGAAAAAGGAGTCCGTCTTACTCTCAATATAAGGCTGCCTCCAATGGGGTAAGATTGATAGCTAAAACAGTCAGTGTTTGGTGGTAGAAGCTCTTGCCTGTCTGATGGATTTGTTTTGTTTCAAAAAAGGCTATTTCACAGCAAAAGCTAAGAACCAGGCATCCAGTAAGCTGACTTCTGGGCCTTAATAACAAAAACTACAGCTGTCAATAAAGACATCGTAGTCTTTAATACAATAAAAATAAAAATTTCTAAAAGATCATCTTTATACTCTCACAAAAAGATGGAATCATTTGTAAATAAAAGTTCCAGAGGAAGATATTTGGACTTAGTTGCTTTTTGTCTCGTCACTATTTTTCTGTCTATTTTAAATTATGGAAAGTGTTTCCAGTGGCTAGAAGAATATGCCCCAAAATGAGGCTCACCATCGAAGATAACACCATTGATACACGTTGTTCTTAAGATCATATTTGCCAGAAAATCCAATTTAATTCATTTTCAATTTTCAGGATTCATTTTCTTCATTTTGTGCAATGTTTACTTTATTTTATATACTTTTGTATTGCTTTTTATCCTGCTAATTCAAATTATAATAGATGGTTAATGTTTACATTTTGAAATTTAAGTTATAGTCAATAATGTAATATTTAGTTTAAATGATTTTTTAATTTTTCTGAATTCTGAACAGTTTTTAAACAATGGGTGTTAAAATGAGTACTTATATACATCATGAGATACATATGAAAATACAAATATTGTGACTTTGCTCCAATAGTGTTATCATGACTTTCTATGGATCATCTCAATACTGCTGCGTAAATGACCACCAACCTTGGTCAAATGTGCAAATCAATGTTGAGTTCACTATTTCTGGTGTCCTTTTGACTTTCCCAATGCCTTCCTTCTGAACAACAGTACTTTATGTCTTCTTAGGGGTGTCTTCTGACTCTGCAACCTTGGAAACGGGACAACAGCTATTCCTTAAGCTTCATCTATGTGCCTAGCACTGTGTGACATGTTTTCTATAATCATCTATTTACTCTTCACAATAACTCGATGTGGTCCTTGTCAAAACCCCTATTTTACAGGTGAGGCAATGGATGCTGCATGGGGTTGGAAAACACATAAAATATCACATTACTGGGAGCCGCTCTGGGTCCCCTGGCTCCAAAGCCAGTGTCCTCTCTCTTCTACTTCACCACATCTGGTCTCCTCTTTGTGTTATAAGCGTGTAGAAATTACTTTGTTTGCAAACCAGCACAAGACACTTTGATTTTAATAACAAAGTATTTTTCTAGTAATTAAATAATATTTTATCTTAACCAAATTGGAAACGAGACTAGATGATTAGATGACCTTTGTAATCTCCTCAATCCCTGGCGGGTAAAGTGGGAATGTCCAGAAAAGGTCAAAGAAGGCAAATGCCCAGCGTAGCAAAAGGCATATGGTCAAATAACACAGAAAAACGTCCCTTCGTGGGGGAAATGAAGACTTGAAGGCATAATAAGGGCATTATGCTTTATCTAAAGCAAAAATACAAATTGAATATCTTATTCGCTCTTTGATAGCAAAACATACGTAGACATTTTCTGAACATTTATTCTCTCTAGGTGACTAGAATAATATCTACTATTTGTGGAGCACTACCTACTTGTCTGAACACCTTGCATTTGTCAGCAATTTATTGAAAACTGTGAACTCAGCAGGGTTCAAACCTGAGAAGGTTTTTTTCTCCTATTGTGGCTGTAACATGCTCTGTCGAATCTCCCTTTCCCAAGACTTCATGGCTTCTCCAGCAAATGCCAATTTTGTGAACTTTTTAGGCTGGAAAAGAGTGGAAAAGAGGCAATCCAGTGCCATCCACTTCAGTTTCTTGTCCAATTCAAATGTCCATCTCCTCCCCAGGACACAGTGGCAGTGAGAGGAGGCTACTCGTAACTCTTTCCCCTCCCTTTTGCATTTTCTGAGCCCTTTCTATGTTGAGGAAGAAGAGAGAATTCTCAAAAGTCAGCAGAAATGTTTTGCTTACCAGTTGTTGTTGTGACCTCTGTCCTCCATGTAGCAGGCAGTCTCTTCATTGCACAACCTCCTTTCATAGGAAATCGACTCCTGTAGACCTCTTCCAGTCTCCTTATTTCCTGCATAACTCACCTTACAGGCTTTTGCTGCTGGGGTCTCTTCTCTTAGTAAGTCACAGTCTAGGATGAACTTGCTTCACAATAGTTCAAGCCTGGTACCTTTGTAGTATCTACTTGACATATGGAAGACTCATGCATCTTTTTTCTACCAGACAATGGGAGTGTGCCTCATTGCCCTATTGCTCATTTTCTCTCTCTTGAGTTCTGTCCCTATATTATTTCCTACTGCTGGAGTAAGCAAAAAGAATACTACAGATCCATGACATGAGTAGGTATCCAACTGAAAAATGAGATTTCAGGCTCAACTTATTGCAGGCAACCCCCAGTCATTAAAAATATTTTCCTTGGAATACTCCATTGGATTATGCATAAGGGGCACTGAGAAAGAGTAAAAGGAAAAGACACAGAACCCTTTCTGAGGCTGAAGATTTACAATTCAGTAGTCCCCTCAAGATTAGTGAGTACAGTGGTAAGCGGAGTAGCAGAATGAATTTGCCTCTTAATGACTGGTGTTTACCAATCATCTATTTGTCTCCTAATTTTCACCTATTTGTCTCTAACTTTGGAGCCAAGTAGACAATTATGAGACAAAAAAAAATCCACTTACAAATCCTATTACACATAACTCTGAAAGATAGGCATTGTTATGCCTTAGGGAGGTAGATTGCAAATAATAATTACTGTTACTTTTTGAGGGCAGGAGAATTTCCATCACCTCACAGAGTGCTTGGCCTATATAGGGCTCAATAAATATTTATTAAATGACTACATAGAGTGAATGAATAGCTCAAGGTCATGCTTAGGAAATGGTGAACTGGAGTTCAAATCCTTTTCTTTTTTACCATCAATATCTCTCTAAACAAAATGTCATCCTAACACTAATGCTCATTAAAGCCATAGTACAGTGTCATATAAGAGTTTCTTCAGTCTAACTCAGTCATACCTTTCAGTGAAATAACCCATTTCTCTCCTCATATTGGAATCCAGTCCTGGGATGGTTCCACACACATGTGAAACCAATTAGCAGGTCCTAATGAAAGGTGACAGCGTGCTGGCAGCCCTCACAGCCCTCGCTCACTCTCGGGGCCTCCTCTGCCTGGGCTCCCACTTTGGCAGCACTTGAGGAGCCCTTCAGCCCACCGCTGCACTGTGGGAGCCCTTTTCTGGGCTGGCCAAGGCGGGAGCGGGCTCCCTCAGCTTGCAGGGAGGTGTGGAGGGAGAGGCGGGAGCGGGAACCGGGGCTGCGCGCTGCATTTGCGGGCCAGCTGGAGTTCCGGGTGGGTGTGGGCTTGGCGGGCCCCACACTCGGAGCGGCCGGCCGGCCAACCCTGCCCCCCGGGACAATGAGGGGCTTAGCACCCAGGCCAGCGGCTGCGGAGGGTGTACTGGGTCCCCCAGCAGTGCCGGCCCACCAGCACTGTGCTGGATTTCTCGCTGGGCCTTAGCTGCCTCCCGGCGGGGCAGGGCTCAGGACCGGCAGCCCGCCATGCCTGAGCCTCTCCCTTCCATGGGCTCCTGTGTGGCAGGAGCCTCCCCGACAAGCGCCGTCCCCTGCTCCACCGCGCCCAGTCCCATCGACCACCCAAGGGCTGAGGAGAGCGGGCACACGATGCAGGACTGGCAGGCAGCTCCACCTGCAGCCCCGGTGTGGGATCCACTGGGTGAAGCCAGCTGGGTACCTGACTCTGGTGGGGACTTGCAGAACCTTTGTGTGGACACTGTTTATCTAGCTAATCTAGTGGGGACGTGGAGAACCGTTGTGTCTAGCTCAGGGATTGTAAACGCACCAATCAGCGCCCTGTCAAAACAGACCACTTGGCTCTACCAATCAGCAGGATGGGGTGGGGCCAGATAAGAGAATAAAAGCAGGCTGCGCGAGCAAGCAGTGGCAACCCGGTCATCCCCTTCCAGACTGTGGAAGCTTTGTTCTTTTGCTCCTTGCAATAAATCTTGCTGCTGCTCACTCTTTGGGTCCACACTGCGTTTATGAGCTGTAACACTCACCGCGAAGGTCTGCAGCTTCACTCCTGAAGCCAACGAAACCACGAGCCCACCGGGAGGAAGAAACTCCAGACGAGCCACCTTAAGAGCTGTAACACTCACCACGAAGGTCCACAGCTTCACTCCTGAGCCAGTGAGACCACGAACCCACCAGAAGGAAGAAACTCCGAACACATCCGGACATCAGAGCGAACAAACTCCGGACACGCCGCCTTTAAGAACTGTTAACACTCACCGCGAGGGTCCGCGGCTTCATTGTTGAAGTCAGTGAGACCAAGAACCCACCAATTCTGGACACACTAAGCCTAGAATGAGCTTATTGTGCCTGGGTTTTACATTCTATATTTTGTGGTTGCATATGGTTGGTGAAATCTCTCCATGGCAAAATCCCTGACATTCACAAGTATTATTTTCCCCTGAGCTTTTCTATTTTCAGTTGCTTAATAAACAATAAGGATCTGTGTGACATTTATCATGTTAATTGCCGTAGGTTCTCAAATTCAGTCATATAAAGGCTGGTTGGTTATTCTAGGGACTTTAAACAAAAAGTATTGGACAGATGGATAGATGCATGGATAGATAGAATGGACTAAATACCTACATTTCAGGGAATTGATACCTTATGAATGCATCTTGATTAATGGCAATTTCATAAGCCAAAAAAGCAGTTGAGTCTCAGAAACTTGGAGAACTATTCAAACAGCTTTAAAACAAAAAGCTGTACCCTATATAAATACAAGGGATATGTGAATAACTCATTTAAAGTGCTTTATTTAAAAACTGGTCAGGCGCAGTGGCTCATGCTTGTAATCCCAGCATTTAGGGAGGCCAAGCCGAGTGGATGTCCCGAGGTGAGGAGTTTGAGACCAGCCTGGCCAATAAGGCAAAACCGTGTGTCTACTAAAAATTCAAAAATGAGCCTGGCATGGTGGCATGCGCTTGTAGTCCCAGCTATTCGGGAGGCTGAGGCAGGAGAATTGCTTGAACCTGGTAGTTGGAGGTTGCAGTGAGCCAAGATCACACCATTGCACTCCAGCCTGCGTGACAAAAGCGAGACTTTTATTTAAAAACGCATGGTTGATTCTTCCCAGTATTATTATAGAGGAAAAAACATGGTAAATATTTAATTTTAGAGCTGGGGCCAAGTTGAAGACACCAAGGATTTAAGAAAACTTTGGGGAAGGGGTTGGAAAGACATCCTGTACATGGAAGAGAAGAGTCAAGTTTTTTCTCAACATTGCCTGCACTGGCTGAATTTCAAGTAACCTTTGCCGTCCTTGCTGAAGCTAAAGCAGAGGACTAATGAGGAACAGCAACAACTCAGACTCTTCCTGGGCAAATGGACAAAGTTGTTGACTATTTTCCTTGGGTTCTACCTCAAAGATCCACGGCCTGAGTCTCTGAGATGCAAAACAAATGCAAGCAGAGGGAACATATTTGCATTTGGGTTTGGACAACAAGATTACAGGTGCCCAAAGAGGTATAGCGAGCTCCAGCAATAATTTTTCGACTGATCAAGAGATTAAGAAGTGCAGGGAAACAGTTTCAGGTTTGCTTTTGAAGGCTAGAGGAGCACAGAGGGGCGGTAATAACTCAGCACCACACAGTGTCCCCTTCCGAGACAGGAGAGAAGCCTTGCTTGTCTATTCTTGGCACTGATCAGACTCTCTTATAAGTTTCTGGCAACCTCCCAGAGAGAACGGCGTGTTCCCTGCTGAGTGTATAAAGGGCTTGGAAAACATGTTTGTGTGTGCAACCCTGTGGGCAGGGCCTGGCTTAGTCTCTCTGTGTCACATAGTTCCTCTCTGGAGTGTCAGGAGGCAGCCTTGGACTTTTAGACCTGCTGTGCAAGTCTTCAGAAGCTAAGATAGTCCCCAGGTCCAGTCTGTGTACGTTGCTGTGTTTCCATCATCATGGAAGAGATAAATTTTTAGGGAACCTGGATGTTCCTGTAAACCATGGTTCATAAAGTATTCTGTTGCAAGGAGTAAATACAGGTTGGATTTCAGCTAACCTCCTATTATGGTCACAAAGCCTTCCTTTGGAAACTTGCACCTGTTTTGCCCAGTGAGATTTGGCCAGGCATGATTACTCACCCTGTGGGAACTAAGATAACACAGATTAACACCAGTGCTCCTTGCTGCCATCTTGGAGCTAGTGACTCACTCCCTGCTCGTCAAACTCCCTTTTCAGAAGAGTGAAATTTGAGCAGAAGGAAGGATTAGTCAGCTTGGCCTGACAAGCCCCTAAGGAAGCTCCTAGGGTTTCCAGTAAACAGAAAAGGGGTCTTTAGAGAAATTGTGAGCTCCTAGACCCTCTGGGCAGGCAACCTAGGTCCACCTGTCAGAGTCTAATAACAAACAGCAACCAAAATATTTTAGAGTATCTTAAAAACAGACTGTAAGATTTCATCATTACAGACCTGTTCTTGTGAACAACGTAAATCCATTTTAAAAATGGAGTCTCGGCCGGGCGCGGTGGCTCACGCCTATAATCCCAGCACTTTGGGAGCCCAAGGCGGGCGGATCACGAAGTCAGGAGATCGAGACCATCCTGGCGAACACGGTGAAACCCTGTCTCTACTAAAAATACAAAAAAATTAGCCGGGCGTGATGGCGGGCACCTGTAGTCCCAGCTACTAGGGAGGCTGAGGCAGGAGAATGGGGTGAACCCGGGAGGCGGAGCTTGCAGTGAGTGGAGATCGCACCACTGCACTGCAGCCTGGGCGACAGGGCGAGACTCCATCTCAAAAAAAAAAAAATGGAGTCTCCTATGGAACTTTCTGGAATGGAATCTAGTGAAATTCCTCCATCTTCCAATATTTCAGGCACTTTAACCACTTTCTTAATATGGTCTAGCACTGTAGTTATCAAGTGCACTCTCTTTCTATATCCCCATCCTCCCGTAACTCTCTCCTAAGTGTCAGGGATTTACTGGACATCCCCATCCTGCTATCCCATAAGCCCCTCAAAATCAACATGTCCAAAATTAATTTTGTCATAAGAAACAGGATAGCATAATGGTTTTAAAACAAAGCAAAACACACAGGCATTGGTATGCAAGTGATTGAGTTTGAATCCTGCCTCTACCTTTAATTACCTGTGAGATCCTAGGCAATTGCATAATCTGTCTATACTACAGTTTAATCGTCCATAAAATAAAAATAATAGTATTTTCCTCATAGGGTTATAGTAAGAATTAAATAAATTAAAGCATGTAAAGGAATTAGCATCATTATATTTTCCATGTCAGGTTTGCTATAAATAAGAGTTAAAAAATGAATGAAGCAACACAGTTAATGCTTAATCTAATACTTAGTCAAGCTACTGGTAACAAAAAACTCAAAACATGAAATACAGATTTGAGAAGTCCAGATTTCAGCAGCAATTTTGATAATTAGTAACTAGACCTTGATTAACATAACTTTTCTAGTCCTCATTTCCTCATAGTCAAAATAGGGATGGCACTAATAGCTACCAACTGTGGGGTGTTGACTATGTGTTAGGTACCATTGCTGAGTACTTTATAAGCATTACAAATAATAACACAAAAGTTTAGTAATCATTTTGGAATAATCACTGATGGACAATATAACATTCATTCATTCTTAAAACAGTATACACTGAGTGACTATTAAATGCTAGGAGTTGAGATACAAAGGGAACAAATGACAAACTATTCCAACAGACAGTTCACCAAAGAAGATACACAAATAGCAAATAAGCAAGTGAAAAGCTGTTTAACATCATTAGCCCTCAGAGAAATACAAATGAAAAGTACAGAGACTTATCACTATTTACCTATCAGAATGGCTAAAATTAAAAAGACTTACATCACCAACTATTGACAAGAATGACAGCAACCGGAACTCTCATATTGCTGGTAGAAATGCAAACATGTACATCACTTTGGAAAACAGTTTGGTACTTTCTTGTAAAATTAAAGTGGCTGACCTTGAATTTCACTTCTAGATATTTGCCCAAGGGAAATGGAAACATGCCCACAAAAAAGATTTGAACAAGAGTGTTTACAGCATATTCATCCATTGTATTAGTCAAGACTCTCCAAAGAAACAGAACCCGTAGGTTATATATACATAGAAAGAGAGATAAAAAATATGTTAAGAGATTGGCTCAGATGATTATAGGGACTAACAAGTTTGAAATCTGCAGGGGAAGCCAGCAGGCTGGAGACCCAGGGAAGAGTTAATGTTTCAGTCATGAATCTGAAGACAATCTGGAGGCAGAATTCCCACTTTCTCAGGGGACCTCAGTCTTTTTCTTGTAAGGCATTCAACCGATGGGATGAGAACAAACCCCATATTATGGAGAGTGATCTGCTTTACTCAAAACCTATTAACTTAAATGTTTATTACTTCTAAAAAATATTTCCACAGCAACATCTAAACTGATGTTTAACCAAATATCTGGATACACATAGCCTAGCCAAGTTAACACACAAAACTAACCCTCACATCTATTATTACCCTAAGCTGGAAATAACCCAAATCTTCATCGCTAGGAGAATGCATAAATATTTATTTTGGTATATTCACAGGATGGAACACGATTAAGCAATAAAGAAGTATAAACTACTAATATATGCAAAATATGGATGAATCTCCAAAATATTATGTTACGAGAATGAAGCCAAACACATAAGAATATATGCTGTATAATTCTGTTTTTGTGAAGTTCAAAACCAAGTAAACCTAACCCATGGTGATAGAAACAGTACAGTGGTTGCCTGTGGGAGATAGGAATTTACTAGAAAGAGACAAAAGAATACATGAAGATATTCTGGGGTAATAAATGTATTGTTTACCTTGACTAAAGTGTTGATTATAAGGGTATATACACTTGTAATCATTCATACAATTATCCATTTTAAAGTTGTGTATTTCACTATTGGTAAATTTTACCTTAATCTTTTAAAAAACTGAAGAGATTACAGTTCCTTCTTTTAAGGAGGTTACAGCCTGGTGGTAGAGACTGGCAGACAGGCATTTACAACATAGTATAAGTGAGGTACTTAACCTAATTCGCCTATTAAAGCTTTTAAAAGGGGACGTGGGAAATTGGAGTGGTATTTTTGAAAGCACCCCAGGTATCTGAATGTGCAGACTCATCAGTTTCCCAATGAAGGCCAAGACTTTGCCATTATTCACCTTTGAATCCACAGCAGGTACAGAGTCCAGCTCAATAAATATTTGTTGAATAAATGGCAAAATTCTATGCTTCTCCTGACCAAAGAAAACCAAAAGTGAAATCCTGTGCCGGCAGCCCTGCCTTCTAACTCCATCCAGCTTTTTATTTATACAATTCGAGACCAAGAGCCTGTGAGAGGATTGAGAATGAAATCCAAGGATGACAAATGTATTTCACCTTGCCTATCAACTCTAAGCAATTGGAAGTAACAGTCCTTACACTGTACTGAGAAGAACTCTGCGGCTGAGTCTGGGCTCAAAAGGAGAGAATATTTTGGTTGGTTATTATTGTCTGCCGTAGGTGTAAAAAATAACACACCCCACTTTTGCCATCCCTGAAGAGCTCAAATTCAAGCACCACATAATATCAAAATAAGATACAGACACAGCATATGTTCAATGAGTCAACCTTGCTCCAACGCAGAAAAAAAAATATTTAAGAATCATTGGAAACTAAATCAAATATCTACACATTGAAAGAGGGCCCATATTAATTTATTTAGATGCGGCCCATGTCTACAAATGGGCAGATTTCCTTCAGTGGGCTGCAACTGGAATATCACTGAATATCTATTCATATGCTCACATATTTTTGTTAGATATGTGTGTGTCTAACCATTTGTGGAATGTGCAGGGTCTACAAGTCAGTCACTTACAGAAATCTAGAATTCAAGCAGGGTGGGACTATAATAATAATTGCAATTTATTAAAAGTTAACCAGGTGCCTGACATTGTACTAAACAATTATTGCTCCTAGTTACAAAGGTGGGAACTGGGCCTCAGAAAATATTAAGTGACAGGGAGGAGTTCCAACTCTGGCATGTCTGATTCTATGCATTACTCTGTATGGCTACCTATTCAGCTATATTATCTCAATAACTAATTCTTTTATGATTTTCCAGAAGGGAGCAACTCTGTGACCATACCGGTGGAGATGTCTGACTATGTGCAAAAGTGCATGGGACACCTGTGACTCAGATGGCATGATTAGGCTTCTCTGGCATTGCCTGGGATGGGCAGAAACATGCATATCTCATTTTGGAGGCTTTTCTCCTGTCTCTTTGGTAGTTTTTAATCCTAGCTTGGTCCTGATCTCTCACCTGCAATCTATTGCTAGAAAGACAACAAATGCTATTCTTGCCAGTTGTTGACAGACCCTAAGAATATATCAACATTTACTCTACATAAGTACATGCTCACACTGAGATCCTAGCCACGAAGAAGCAAAACAAAAACAAAAACAAAACCACACCCAGGAATGAGAACAAGAAACAATAAGGGAAGAGAGAAATGGAGAGAATATGAAAGAGACAGAAAGAAAAACAGGGAGGAAGAAAGAAAGAAGGGAAATTGAATGAATGGAATTACTAATGAAATTGTCTATTTCAGTGCTACACAGAGAGAAACTAACTGCAATGTTGTTTTTTTCCTTCCAGATTATGTAACCACAGGACAGAAACCTATGGTTCTAAAATCATTTCCTGATACCCAGATCTCTTTCCAATGAAGGCAAGAGCAAAATTCTTTGAAACTGTAACCAGGAGATTAAAGAAAGGTGCCATAGAATACCTATTTACCTTTCTTGATCTTTCTGGTTTAATTTTCTTCAAGACGGCCTTTAGAAATGAAAGCTGTGTGTAATTCCATAGCTGTGATTCACAGCAGGGAGAAAATTCTCCTACAGTGCCTCCTTTAGGCCAAACTGCCAGGAGCAATGAACCCTTAACAAAACAGCTTGGGACAGTTTGTTTCAGAGAGTGAGTCTGTACCACGGGAAAATCGTTGCAGTTAAAATGCAATAAAAAGAAAAAAAAAAAAGCTGGATCTTTGGCCTGTGCACATAAATGTCTTAGAAACCCTGTCATATCTGGCTGGGCACAGTGGCTCATGCCTGTAATCCCAGCACTTTGGAAGGCCGAGACAGGTGGATCACAGGAGTTTGAGACCAGCCTGGTCAGCATAGTGAAACCCCCTGTCTATCAAAAAATAGAAAAATTAGCTGGGCGTGATGGCATGCACCTGTAATCCCAGCTACTTGGGAGGCTGACATGACAGAATCCCTTGAACCTGGGAAGCGGAGGTTGCAGTGAGCCGAGATTGTGCCACTGCACTCCAGCCTAAGCAACAGAGTGAGACCCCATCTCAAAAAAATAAAATAAAATAAATAAAAATAAATAAATTCCCCCAAAGAGTCTGGAATGTCAAGTAGTTAATCACCATTACCTAAATAAAGAAATTGACACTTGAATTAAGAAACTGACCCAAGTTCACAAAGATATTAAATGGAACAATCAAGATTAAAACTCAAGCCATTGAATTCCAAAGTCCATATATTTTTCTTTGTGCCACACTGCAGTGCTAGTTGGAGTAAACAGTTTTCAGCTTCTTTGTATTTTTGTCATAGAATTAACCAGATGTTGCTTAGGAACAATTTGCTGATGCCTGTGTTTTCCTTGATGGATCATCCTAAGAGACCTTTTGTTGTCCATCTGACTTCAGCAGTATTTGGAGTCCTGGGATCCCTGAAAGACTGTAATGACGTCAGTGCTTCAGTGAATAATTTAGCACTTGAACACTGCCATGTTGAGAAGTATAAGCAGTCCTAGACCTCCAAATTTTGCTCTGTTCTGTCATTTTCTGATGCCCTGGAAGAAACATTTCTTTCTTTTTTTAATGCAATTTTTAAAATCTTTAGCTTTTGATAAAAAGAAAAAGTAAGGCTATCATCCCCTTTGTTGCTCCAGAGTAAATTATTCCATATGATTGGAGTGTTTTACATGAGAAGGGAGGGTTAATTAGTATCATTTTTACATATTTTTTCAGATCTAAAGGATCAGAATTGTATTTGGGGGTGGCATGGAAGAAAAGAGTAATGATAAAGGCAATTACCTGGTATTAAACATCATGACGGTGCTCTAAAAATGATGAATACCCTGTAAATGTTACATGGTTGTATCATAATTGTTACTGCTATAAAAATTATAAGGTTGGAAAAAGTATAATTATAATGATAATAATATTCATTGATTCCCCATGGTGCTTCCCCACTCTTTGAGACATTTCATAATTTCATCCCACTCAGCTCTTCCAACCTCATCCTCTGCTCCCCACACACAACAAATGTTCATCTACGTGCATCAAGTTACTCTAACTGACAGTGGTGAATACTCAGTGTATACTCCAGCTCTCACCCTTTGTCAGGGATACTCACTTTTAAATTCCCTCCCAAACCCCAGGGCCTTACTGTTACCCAAACTATTACCTAAACCCCACCCCTCTTCAGGTCACAGATCAAGTCCACCTGCCTTCCGTGGTCCATAGTGGCTTCTATCTGCCCTCGACTCCAATAGCACTTACCATCCCGACCACCGCCCAGGCTGTCACGGACTTGTCACAGTGTTTTTTGTGTGTGCATCAGTCAGATCCCTAGAGGAAATGGAGGACACACTCAATAGGGGTGACTGAAAAGAAACTAATTAAGGGCTATCTGTGGAAGTGTAGGTAGGGAGCCAGGAAGGGCCCCAATCTTCTGCCGATCTTCCCATGGACTGAACCCTCTAGGAAGCCAGGCGACAGGGAGTCAGTTGATACAGTCTGTGAAAGTCATTCTGCCAAGACCCAGAGCAGGGTAGAGAGAGGATCCTTGTTTAGAGAATGGGCAGCTCATTTTGTATGTCTTGCTTCCTGAATCAAATTATTCGTAATCTATATTGGTTCCCACCACTTGTCAGTCAAATACTGACTTTCAGCTTCCACCACATCTGGAACAGGACAAGGAGTGAATGTTTGCCTTTGTACCTCTCAGCAGGTGTGTCTTGGCTCCTGGATCTTGAGAAGGACCTCAGTACCTACCTTCTACATCTGAGGCTGCCTTACACACCCCAGCATGATAGCTGTTTTGTCCATTTTTCTCTGCTTAGTGAGCACTGAAAACTAATCCAGGCTGTCTTTAAGAAATACAAGGTGGCTATTTTATTTCCATAACTGGATTCAGCATATATTTGCAGAGTGGTTATCCAATATCATTGAGACATAGCTCTTTCTGAGAAAACAGAAAACCAATTAGTAAAGAAGAAATTTAAGTTCACTTAAACGACTTAGTGTCGCTTTTTTAACAACAACTGCTGGCCAGGCGCGGTGGCTCACACCTGTAATCCCAGCACTTTGGGAGGCCAAGGTGGGTGGATCATTTGAGGTCAGGAGTTCGAGACCATCCTGGCCAACATGGTGAAACCCTGCCTCTACTAAAAATACAAAAATTAGCCAGGCATGGTGGCAGGCACCTGTAGTCCCAGCTACTTGGGAGGCTGAGGCAGGAAAATCGCTTGAACCTGGGAGGTGGAGATTGCAATGAGCCGAGATCGTGCCATGGCACTCCAGCTTGGGTAACAGAGCAAGACTCTGTCTCAAAACAAAGAAACAAACAAACAACAACAAAAAAAAAAACCACTTTTGGGGGATGTTTTTGCATACATTGTTTTTCATTGATGGCAGATATGATCAAACATGAACAAAGCAACTTATCACTGAAATGTAGGTTTTGAAAATCCTTTCTGATGAACCAAATGGCTCAGTTAGACAGCATCTAATTTTTTTAAAAAACTGTGTAGTTTTTATCCTTATTTCTAAATAAAAACAAATAAACCAAAACCTTGAGCTACTAAAAATGAATCTTAAAGTGACTTGATAACAACACTCCTCTTCTTCTTCCCACATTTATCAGAGAACTACACAGGTAGTAATACCGAATAAAGTTTTTGGGTTTTTTTTTTGTTTTTTTTGTTTTTTTACAGTCAAGGTCTCACTCTGTTGCCCAGGTTGGAATACAGTGGTGTGATCATAGGTCACTGTAAACTTGAACTCGTGGGCTCAAGTGATTTTCCTGCCTCAGCCTCCGGAGGAGCTGGGACTACAGGCATGTGCCACCATACCCAGCTAAGAGAATAAATTCTTGCATGTCAAAAAATAAATGAATGAAATTATTCTACCCTCTGCTCATTCATTCTGATACCCAATGACCCTCCCTGCTAGGGATCTCATTGCTAATCTATGTCCTGCTACAAAATTCATCTCCTCCTTCTCTTTCCCCCACTGAAGATGGAAACAGCTGCGAAATCAGCTCCGTATATGATACATTTTCAAGTGACTAAATTTTTCCATAGTAAAATAGATCATTGCGTCTATTTTACTACTTACAAAAATACAAAGATGCAAAAATTAATTGGTTGGCATGTTTACTAATCCCCCACTCAGTGGAGAATTTCTATCCCTACTCCCTATCTCAAAAAAGCCCAGGAAGGTCAGGGACCTGGTTTGTCTTGTTCCCCCGTGGATTCCCAGCTGTCATCAAAGTCCTGACACAGTACAAGCTCACCCAACAGTTCCCAAAGTGAATAGAAATCTACAATGTATCACCTGCAGCTACAGATTCACTCTAAGGATATACTACTCCACTGGTGGGAGCCTATCTCTACAATATAATGATTATGACAAAAGCAAGGACATTAATACCAATAAAATGCTACTGAGTGTCATGGTCTGCTCTACATGTTTTAATCTGTTAATAACTTAACCCTCAAAACAATCCTATAAAAGTCCTATGAAGTAGGCACCGTGACTATTCTCATTTTACAAATGAAAAAACTGAGGCCTGGAGCAGGTGTGTCATTTTCCCTATATTATGAGTCAGATAAAGAGGGGACCCAGACAGAGAGCATCAGAGCCAAACCTCCAAACACCTAACTGTAATGCATCTACTTTATCCTCCTAAAGAAAGTAACAGGAATTCCTTCCAGATACTAGCTGTGGTGTTTGTGTTTCAAAGAAAATGGGTGAATAGTTGAATTCATTTGTAAAAGTTTGGAAAGTGTACCAACTTAGAACTTTGTAAGTTCTTCACAAACAATCAGATGAGTAATAAAAACGTAAGACTCAGCTGTCTTTTCCAACATTGATAACCCACTGCAAATGGTTTGTTACTTTTCTTATCCCTACAATCATCGTTCGACTACTGTGTTTTTATCAGAACCCACTGGGTTTAGAATGGAAGGACAAAGTAGAGACATAACACTCGATGATTAAAAAATAGAACACAAGTGTGTCTAGTTCCTAAGAAGGAGAGAAAACAAGATAGGTGATCTTTCCCTCATATCTAAGATTCTTCCTCTCATGTAAGTTTCAGAAGAGAGATTGTTTTTTTCTTCAAGACAGTAGATCCTATTTACAGAAAGTTTTCTAAGAAAGTAACAAAGGCGTCATGAGGATGTAATTTCCTCTGTTGCTTTGCCCAGGGTTTAGTGGACAGTGAGAATGAAGGAAAATGAAAAACCCCAGGAGGACAGAGATGGTGAGAGGCAGAGGAGAATGATTCAGTACAATTTCTTTACTACTATTAAAACACACTTGTTCTTACAGCAAGAGGCTGCATTGTATTTGTGTTTTGGCCACAGTTACCCTTTACTTTCTTTTGAAAACATTATTTATTTACAGGCACAATCCCTGATTCTCTTTTTCTTTTTAACTGTTGATAAAAGCAATGAAATGTGTAGAGTTCTTCAGTGTCATTGCTGAAAAGTCAAAGCGGGGTTAGGAAAAAGAGTCTTATTGGTAAGTAAACACAAAGATGAAAGGAGACAGAAGAGCTTTATTTAAGTTCTCTAAATAAAAGTTCAAAGATAAGGAAAAATTACTTTAATTCCACCAATAAAAAAATTACAAACAAGTAGCCATGTATTCTACACTAGATGAACATAAGTGTTTAAGCACAAGCAAGGTGAATAAGAAAAGTTTTCATTTCCCTGGGCGAGGAACATCTTCTCCCTTTGTCCTCAGCATCAGTTTTACTTGCCCCAAGTCAGTGCATCACAAGCTTTGCTGCTAGAATACGCCTTAAGATGCAGGGCAGCAAGCAATCCTCCAATTGTTCCAGGGTGTGATCTTGTTTTACTTTGTTAATTATTACTATTTTAAGATTTCAATAGTTTTGGGGGTACAGGTGGTTTTTGGTTACATGGATACATTCTTTAGTGGTGAATTTTGAGATTTTAGTGCACCCATCACTGGAGCAGTGTACACTGTACCCAATATGTAGTCTTTTATCCCTCACCCCACTCTCAAGCTTCCCCTTGCAAGTCCCCATAGTCCATTATATCACTCTGGATGTCTTTGCATCCTCATTGCTTAGCTCCCACTTATAAGTGAGAACATATGGTATTTCACTTTCCATTCCTGAGTTACTTCACTTAGAATAATGGCCTCCAGCTCCATCCAAGTTGCTGCAAAAGACATCATTTCATTCTGTTTTAGGATGTGTTCTAATACCACTTGCTGCAAGCAAACTATTTTTTGAAAGATCAAGCTTTATGTGAATAATTCATACAAATTCAGCATTCTATTCCATGATATAGATCTTGTTTTAGTACAAAATATCTCCACCAAAATATCTGAGTAAAACTGATACTTAAAAGAGATTATTGTATCCACCTATGACTTTTCTTACACAGCCCTGGGAGTAAGACAATCCCAGTTCAGAAGCACAGTCTCAACTGAGATTAACCAGTTAGGTGATTGCCAGTTAACATTAAATGATAGCCTATTGGAATATCTGACATCATCTCTATTCAACACTCCAGCATCCAAAGTTAAATATGATGGAGAACCACACACATAAAAGAAATCTGCTCACAACTGACAGATTTGTTTGCAATTTACTTCTGCTTTAACCTCTAAAAAATGATGCTAAGAGCAATGAGCTTATCTAAAAGTGATTATAGCAAGAACAAAAAAAAAAGTGAAGCAAAATTGACCTCATAAACCACAAGGCCCAGAGCTTAATCACCTACATTTTTCTTTCTGCAATCCACTAACTAGCAAGCCTGATTAACACACTAATCTTCCCAAGTTTCTCAAACTTTTACCATTTTCAAAAAGTCTCTCTATTTACTTTTCGTAGCCCACTGTCACTAGCAAAGTGCTCCTTATCTCTTAGCTACAATGCTATGAAATGTCAGTCTGCTACATAAAAAGACCGAAGTAATCAACTAGGTCCCCTCACACACTTTCTTTCCCCCATTTTCCTATGCTTCCTTGTCACATGCACTGGAGCCATTGAGTGTGCAATATTTTTCTCAAGGAGTCTGGGAAAGTATTAATACTAACCAAGAAACCATACCAAAAAGACACACTATCTAGAAAAAACCTTAAAAATACCCTAACAAGAGCAGGAGATCCCTCTACTTTACATAACCCCTTCACTCTTTAACTTCATGCTTAAAAGAAAAATCACACTTCATGTCAGAAACACAACTTTGAAAGATAAGCATTAAAAGTGAGTCTGCACCTGTACTCTTGCCCCATCACTTTATATTGCAGTTAGCTGTGTGTATGTCTGGATCCTCTGCTAAATGGTGAGATCCTGGAAGGCAGGAGTCACATGGGACTCATCTTTGCATCTCCAGTCTCTGGCTCAGTGATGTCTGGTTCAAATGTCCATTCTTGACTATTAACTGGACTGATGTTTCTTTCTCATTTCTAATTTGACTCCAAGATCTCCTTGTTTTGACTATGCTCATATGCCTTCATCACTGAAATAAACTTGAGTAGCTTGGTTTGGGGAGTAGGAGTTTGCAAAACTAGTGACAGTAATTACTGCTAAGGGGTAATGGGGGAAAACACCAAGTTTAAGAGGCCAATTGCAAAGCCTGCTATATGGCCATTTGAATGAGAATGTAAACATATTACTGATAAGGCACAGAATTATATTGGTTGGAAGAAAACCTGGGTCCCATTTCAGATGAGATAAGATATAAGAAGTTTTACAAAAATATTTCAGGTACTTAGTAAGAACACTATACATATTAGTTATTACTGTTCTATCAGTACATTCTGAATACATCCTTGTCTTTGAAAATTCCTTAACTTTACTTCTTCTTTATTTCCCCATACCATGATATTCTAGGATTAATGGCAGTGTTTGTAAAGTGTTTTGAAATCCCTGAAGTGTTATAATCAACCCAAGTACCATTTTATTTAGGCAAACTGTGTCTACCCAGCAAGTCCACTTAAATACCTAGGATTGGGAACTGCTGTCTCATAAGGCTTAATAAATAATTCCCTCTGGCTCTAAAAGCAAGTACTTTTTCAATGACAATGGGAGGGAAAGCAAAGGAATTGCTCTATGGCATCTGTTGTGTAATGTTCTTCTAATGGCACATCTCGATAAGTGCATGAGAGTCCTTGGAGAGTTACAGCACACAGTAAAGAGAGAGTGGTAAAAATCCCAGTATTTCTGAAAAGGAAGGCAAGACAAATTAAAGTTAGCAAGGCCCCACAGTTTACATCAATAAAAATCAGCAATGCTGCAACTAACCTCTATACGTAATGGCAGCTTCCTAGGGTCTCTATTGGTGAGGCAAAAATTAAACGCAATATTGAAATGGGAGCAGTGAGGCGGTGGTATACAAGGAAAGGGGAGGGGAAATAACATTCTACAATTCAGAACCCAGGAGATAAGATAAAATATGCAAGTGTGAAGTGCCTGGATGAATCTAAACCAAAATAGCAATTTTAAACACATTATGTGCTTGGTGTGATGCATATATTCAGATATTTAATGGAAGTGAAGGATTAATGCAGCTCACTCAAGTTAGGTGACTTTTAAAAGTAACACAGCCAATAAGTAGCAGAATAAGATTACACCTAAGCCACAGACCTCCAAGCCCAGTGAACTTTGCACCCTGTGCCTGATACCTCTCCATGTGTTACAGACAGACTTTG